>NC_000008.11:30466163-30769193 GCF_000001405.40 Homo sapiens | reverse complement strand
TTGCCCAGTGTGTCCTCAAATTCCTGGACCAAGCAATCCTCCTGCGTTAGCCTCCTGAGTAGCTGGGACTACAGATGTGGACCACCATGGCCGCTTCCAACTTTGAAACTTTTATCCACAGTTTCAAAGCACTGTGGGCTTTCAGCAGCACTCTCCTCAAAGCCCACTGCCTGATTCCAAAGCCACTCCTGCATTGGAGGGTTTTGTTATGGCAGCACCTTGCTAACAGATACACAAATCTGTTATATATTGCTCCATTACAAATGAACTCAAAACTTAGCTGCCTCACAAATTACCTCACAAATCCTCAGAGCTCAGAATCTGGGAGCATCCTAGCCCAGTGGTTCCGGCTTGCGGCTTGCGTGCAGTTGTACTCAAGCTGTTGGCCAGAGTGGCCGGCTCTGAAGACTTGGCTGGGACCTGAGGGCTACCTCTAAGCTTTCTCTCGTTGCTGTGGGCAGGAAGCTTCAGTTCCTTGCTGTGTGGGCCTCTCCATGGGGCCACTAACAGGACTTCTTCCCCTAGAGCGAGGGACCCAAGAGAGACCACCAGGACAGCCATGGTCTATTATAACCTAATCTCAGAAGTGATGTACTACCACTTTTTTTTTTTTTTTTGAGACTCAAGTGATCCTCCCACCTTAGCCTCCCTAGTAGCTGGGACTACAGGCATGTGCCACCATGCCTGGCTAATTTTTGTATTCTATAATTTTTGTATTTTGTATTCTTTGTAGAGACACGGTTTCACCATGTTGCCCAGGCTGGTCTTGAACTCCTAGGCTCAAGCAATCTGCCCATCTTGCCCTCCCAAAGTGCTGGGGTTACAGGCATAAGCACCACGCTTGGCCTCATTTTTTTTGGTGTGAGATATTCTAGAACCAACCTGCCCTCCCACCCCTAATTTAAGGTTGAGACAACTTACTGTTTATTTTCAAAGAAGTATTAAGTATCTAACATACAGTAGGTACTTCTGGGGGCAAAAAAGACAGTCCCTGCCTTTGAGGAATTGCCTATTGAGAAAACAAGACATAGCTATAATACAGTGTGATGAATTCTACAGAAGGGTATAAAGGGAATGCCCAGGAGAGCCAGATGAGCAGACCTTTTTTTTTTTTTTTTTTTTTTTTTTGAGATGAGTCTCGCTCTGTCGCCAGGCTGGAGTGCAGTGGCGTGATCTAGGCTCAATGCAATCTCTGCCTCCTGGGTTTAAGCGATTCTCCTGCCTCAGCATCCCGAGTAGCTGGGATTACAGGCGCACGCTGCCACTCCAAGCTAATTTTTGTATTTTCTTTTTTTTTCTGAGACAGAGTCTTGCTCTGTCGCCCAGGCTGGAGTGCAGTGGCGCGATCTCGGCTCACTGCAAGCTCCGCCTCCCGGGTTCACGCCATTCTCCTGCCTCAGCCTCATGAGTAGCTGGGACTACAGGTGCCCGCCACCATGCCCAGCTAATTTTTTGTATTTTTAGTAGAGACGGGGTTTCACTGTGTTAGCCAGGATGGTCTCAATTTCCTGACCTCGTGATCTGCCCGCCTTGGCCTCCCAAAAGTGCTGGGATTACAGGCGTGAGCCACTGCGCCCAGCCAATTTTTGTATTTTTAGTAGAGATGGGGTTTCACCATGTTGGTCAGGGTGGTCTTGAACTCTTTTTTTTTTTCTTTTTTTTGAGACACAGTCTCACTCTGTCGCCATCTGGAGTGCAGTGGCATGATCTAAGCTCACTGAAACCTCTGCTGGCCGAGTTCAAGCGATTCTCCTGCCTCAGTCTCCCAAGTAGTTGGGAATTACAGGCACCTGCTACTCAACCTGGCTAATTTTTGTATTTTTAGTAGAGATGGGATTTCACCATCTTGGCCAGGCTGGTGTTGAACTCCTGACCTCATGGCCCACCCGCCTTGGCCTCCCAAAGTGCTGGGATAATGGGCGTGAGCCACTGTGCCCTGCCTGGTCTCAATCTCTTCACCTCAAGATCTGCCCGCCTCGGCCTCTCAAAGTGCTGGGATTACAGGCGTGAGCCACCACACCCGGCCTGAGCAGACTTTTAAAACAGAGCATGAGAAAAAAAAGGAGTGAGTAGAACAAAGTTAAAAGCCTTTTATACCACATTTGGTGTCTGAACTTGGTGTTACAGTGCATGACTTTATCATTATAGGCTTATAAGCAAGAGAGGGAAATGATGAGATAGATACAGTTTTAAAAATTCACCTATATTTTAATGCTTTCATAGTTTTATTTTTTAAAATACTGATTCATTTGGAACTTTGTAACATTTAATACAAGGCAAAATTATATAAATCGCAAACATCAGTTAAGTAAACTGTAATGCACACCCAACAGAAAGAACTTTAAAGCCTCCAAGAGCTTTGAAGCTTCTTCCAAGTTTTTAATTTCACAGAAATACAGCAGAATAAACATTCCTGCGTATAAGACTTTGAAGAATTTGAATCATGAAATATTGTGTGGTAAGATGGATTGAAGAGGCAGAAAGGAAAGTTCTAAGGGTTTGTTTTCTAACACTGAGAAATCATGTCAGCTGGGAAAAAATACCAATTAATTACTGAGTACCTTACTGCATACATTTCAACCTCATTCTCATTTGGTACACTGTAAAATGGCACAGTCCACAGATTATTATATATAGAAAGCAATCCTTTTCTAATCCTATTCCCATGGATATCAATGTTCAAAGTTTACTGCCATGAGCTCAATCAAGGTATAGTGTGATTTGAAAGTGAAGCCTTTATTGTGCCAGAAGGTCATAGCATAACTGACTTCATGCAAACAGGGAGCTCTCCCTTCTTTCCTAGTTGGTCTGCTCCTTCTCCTCCAGGATGAGTACAGTGTCCACAGTTATTCCTATGTCCTCCAGCGACTGGCCTCCCTCCACTGCCAGAGGCCGTCTGGGAAAGGAAGTAGAAAGGCTGTATAGAGATATGTGGTACCCAATTCTCGTCATCCAGTCAAATAAGACCTAGAAGATGAAAAGCTTGGCTTAGTCATTATCAAATACTTTACACACCATGTCCCTTTAGACCACCATAACATTTTATAATTTTGTCAATGTAAAATCATATCCCTAGGAGTAATGAGACAGAAGTTTCATACCTTTCAAAGAAACTTTCTAGAACTTAAAGGAAAATAGCTTGCCATGAGTTCAGAGATAGGAATATTCTTTTTTTTTTTTTTTGAGATGGGAGTCTCGCTCTGTCACCCAGGCTGGAGTGCGATGGCATGATCTCGGCTCACTGAAACCTCCACCACCTGGGTTTAAGCGATTCTCCTGCCTCAGCCTTCAGAGTAGCTTGGATTATACAGGCGCCCACTACCATGCCCAGCTAATTTTTGTATTTTTAGTAGAGACGGGGTTCCACCATGTTGGCCAGGCTGGTCTTGAACTTCTGACCTCAAGTGATCTGCCTGCCTGGGCCTCCCGAAGTGCTGGGATTATGGCCGTGAGCCACTGCGCCCAGCCAAAAATTAGCCAGGCGTGGTGGCGGGCACCTGTAATCCCAGGCCCTCAGGAGGCTGAGGAGGGAGAATGATTTGAACCCAGGAGGCGGAGGTTGCAGTGAGCCGAGATCCCACCACCGCACTCCAGCCTGGGTGACAGAGCAAGACTCGGTCTCAAAACTATATATATACACACACACATATATATATATATAAAATTTTTTTTCCCGAAACATATAATGGCACAGAAATTTGAGACCAGCCTGGGTAAGATGGCGAAACCCAGTCTCTACAAAAAATACAAAAATTAGCCAGGCCTGGTGGTGCATGCCTGTAATCCCAGATACTCAGGAGGTGAGGTGCAAGGATCACCTGAGTCCGGGGAGGTTGAGGTTTCAGTGAGCTGTGATTGCACCACTGTGCTTCAGCCTTGGTGACAGAGTGAGAACCAATCTTACAAAAATAAATAAAAATAATGGTAAATTATCTGTCAGGAACACTGATCTTATTTACATTCACATTAACAAGTTATGATGGCCAGGCACAGTGGCTCACACCTGTAATCCCAGCACTTTGGAAGGATGAGGCAGGAGAATCATTTGAACCCAGGAGTTCAAGATTGGCCTGGTCAGCATAGTGAGACCTGTTCTATTTTTAAAAAAATAAAAAATATTAAAGGTTTTGTTTTGTTTTGTTTTTTGTGATGGAGTCTTGCTGTCTCCCAGACTGGAGTGCAGTGGCACGATCTTGGCTCACTGCAACCTCTGCCTCCTGGGTTCAAGCGATTCTCCTGCCTCAGCCTCCTGAGTAGCTGGGACTACAGGCACGCACCACCACGTCCGGCTAATTTTTGTATTTTTAGTAGAGACAAGGTTTCACCATGTTGGCCAGGATGGTCTTGATCTCTTGACCTCATGATCCGCTTGCCTCAGCCTCCCAAAGTGCTGGGATTACAGGCGTGAGCCATGGTACCCGGCCAAAAAACTATTAAAGTTTTAAGAATCCCTGTTTTCCCAACGCATTTGCCAAATCTGGGTACTATTTCTTTTTAATCTTTGACAGTCTAGTTAAGTAGAAAATACTGTTTCATTTTATTTGTACTTCATTGATTCTATGTGAGGCCAAACATTTTTTTCATATATTTATCTATCACTGAGTCTTCTTCGGGAAATCATGATATTCATGTGTTTCTTTCCCTGCCAGTCTACTGAGATGTTTATCTCTTCCTTGATTTAAGTTCCTTATAAAAAATAACTATCATACATAAATAGTAAAATGGGCTGGTCGTGGTGGGTCACGCCTGTAATCCCAACACTTGGGTAGGCCAAGGTGGGTGGATCACTTGAGCCCAGGAGTTTGAGACCAGCCTGGCCAACATGGCAAAACCCCATTTCTACTAAAAATAAAAAATTAGCCAGGAACGGTGGTGTGTGCCTGGTCCCAGCTACTCACAGGCATGAGCCACCGCACCTGGCCGGAATTTTTATGTAGTCAAATCCAGTATTTTCCATTACGGTTTATAGCATTCTTGTCATTGAAGGTTAAATACAACAAACAGGACAGAAAATTATTTACATATATTTTTAATGCACACATAATTATATGTTTAAATGTACTTAGAGACGGAAATATACCAAAATGTTAGTAACTGGTTTTGGCATGAGACTACAGATCAAATTTTTTTCTCGCTCTACTTTTCCATGTTTTCCAAATTATCACTAACAACCACAGTATTGTTTTTATTATTTAGTATTTTTGAGACAGGATCTTGCTCTGTCACCCAGGCTGGAGTGCAGTGGCATGATCTCGGCTCATTGCAACCTCTGCCTCCCAGGTTCAAGTGATTCTCCCACCTCAGCCTCCCGAGTAGGTGGGATTACAGGCATCCGCCACCATGCCCGGCTAATTTTCTTATTTTTAGTAGAGATGGGGTTTAACCATGTTGGCCAGGCTGGCCTCGAACTCCTGACCTCAAGTGATCTGCCCGCCTTGGCCTCCCAAAGTGTTGGGATTACAGACATGAGCCACTGCACCCAGCCCACAGTATTGTTTTTAAAAGAAAAAAAAAAGTCTAAAGTTAATAGTGGCTACTTCCTAAGGATTTAAAAGCATCTTGCCCATCAAATTATGATAATGTAATGAAAGCAAACAACAAAGGAAAAATACACCAAAGGGAAAGAATGAGTAAAATGTGAATGCAGAGATCACAATTCAGAGACATCCGGCAGGCATGCCTAGTTAGCCAAATTTCTGCAACGTGGAGTACCTGGAAATGTCCTTTATCCATACCTGATGGGAGATGCAGATGACAGTGTGATCACACCTTCCCCCACGGCATGTGAATAAACTACTGCCATATTCAACAAAGATATTTCTCAAAATGTGAATTCCTTCACTTACCTGTGAGCTGTAGGACTTCAAAAACCTTCTCCTCAGGACATTCCCACTGGGACATCGGAGAGCAACAGTAACTACCTAAGGAAGAAATATTCACATAAGAACTCCGATCCATTGCTCTTTGCAATTCCTTTCATTCCATAAAACAGCTAAGCAGCTAAAAAGGACTTAGATACTGCTTTGCTAATTATTAAAAGACATAGGTAGGGCATGGTGGTGGCTCACGCCTGTAATCCCAGGACTTTGGGAGGCTGAGACAGGCAGACCACTTGAGGCCAGGAGTTTGAGACACCCCCCGCCATAAAAAATAGAAAAATTAGCTAGATGTGGGTGCACGCCTCTAGTCCCAGCTACTTGGGAGGTTGAAGTGGGAGAATAGCCTGAGCCCAGGGAATCTGAGGCAACAGTAAGCTGTGATCACGCCACTGCACCCAGCCTGGATGACACAGCAAGACTCTGTTTAAAAAAAAAAAAGACATTATAAAATGAGAAGATAACACATTAGTGTTTATTTTTCACCTGTCAAGAAACCCTTTATGACTAACATGATCATTAACTGTGCTGGGAGTTATGTGGGTATCATATTAGGCATAAGTGGTGGTTTTAGAGCAGCACCCCTCCCTCTCAGGAAAGCTATGTTAGAAAATATTTCCAATCAGGCCAGGTGCGGTGGCTCAGGCCTGTAATCCCAGCACTTTGGGGGGCCAAGGTGGGCGGATCACTTGAGGTCAGGAGTTCGTGACCAGCCTGGCCAACACGGTGAAACCCCATCTCTACTAAAAATACAAATATTAGCCAGGCATTGTGGCGTACACCTGTGGTCTTAGCTACTCAGGAGGCTGAGGCAGGAGAATGGCTTGAACCCGGAAGCAGAGGTTTCAGAGAGCCGAGATTGTGCCATTGCACTCCAGCTTGAGCAATGCGGTGAGACTCAGTCTCAAAAACAAAAACAAAAACAAAAACAAAAAACTTTCCCATCAGGCACAGTGACTCACACCTATAATCCCACCACTTGGGGAGGCCAAGGTGAGAGGATCACTTGAGACCAGGAGTCGGACCAGCCTGAGCAAAACACTGAGACCCAATCTTTACCAAAAAAAATTTTTTTTTAATTTAAAAATTAGTCAGGGCTGGTGGCACATGCCTGCAGTCCTAGTTACTTGGGACGCTAAGGTAGGAGGATCACTTGAGCCTGAGAGGTTGAAGATGCAGTCAGCTATGATCGTGCCAAGACACTCCAGCCTATGAGACAGAGCAAAAGCCTGTCTCTTTAAAAAAAAAAAAAAAAAGGTTTCCAAGGAGTATAACTGTTGCCGAGCCCCAAGAAGTAGGTTCTCCTTCTGGATTTATTGCCCAAATGACTTAATGGCTTTCAAGACACGTATGTGCTCCCCATACATTAGGAAGTGTCTATAAGTTGGGTGGCCAGTGACAGGAAGGCATCACGGACTATGACCCAGCAACTGGGAAGAAGACAGCTTGACACAGTTGGGGATCAGTCCCAGCCCAGCCCCCAACAGCAAACCACCCCTAAATTAAAACATCTACAAAGTAGTCGCCCTCTTCATTTTCTCCTTTGAAAAGGAGAACTGCAATTTGAAGTCATTTGCCTAGTTTTTTTTCCTTTTTTTTTTCCTTTTTGTAGCGACAGCGTCTCACTATGTTGCCCAGGCTGGTCTTGAATTCCTAAGCTGAAGTAATCCTCCCCTCTTGGCCTCCCAAAGTGCTCGGACATATGCCTATTTTGATTCTGTTTTAGTAAGCAACGCATTTTCTGACCTAAAGTTCTGGAAAAGCCCACGTGTCCTATGCCTGAGGCAGTGGGTGGGTGTAATCCCAGCGCTTTGGGAGGTCAAGACAGGCAGATCACTTGAGGTCAGGAGTTCCAGGCCAGCCTGGCCAACATGGTAAAACCCCGTCTCTACTAAAAATACAAAAACTAGCCCGATGTGGTGGCAGATGCCTGTAATCCCAGCTACTTGGGAGGCTGAGGCAGGAGAATCACTTGAACTCAGGAGGCGGACGCTGCAGTGAGCTGAGATCATGCCATTGCACTCTAGCCTGGGTGACAAGAGCAAGACTTCATCTCAAAAAAAAAAAAAGACAACTCAGCAGACAGCAGGCTTGCAAAATAGTACTCATGTTGAGGAATTTGATACTACACTACATTCCAAGTAAGACCCAGCTACCCAGGAGGCTGAGGCGGGTGGATCACTTGAGCCCAGGAGTTCAAGGCCAGCCTAGGCAACATAGTGAGACCCTGTCTCTATGTTCTAAAAAAGACCTAGTTACAGTATAATCACATGAACACTTATGCTATCACTTCTTTCTAAACCCAAGTTTAGATAAGACATATTTAATGGATGTTAAGCAAAGAAAATAGAAAATAAGTTTAATTTTCGAAGAGAAAAATAGACTTACTTCTTCTGCTGTTTGAGAAGGTTCTTCAGGTAAATCAGGAATCTAAAGAAAAGTATTGGTAAGAGGAATGTAAACATGTTCAACAAGCAAAAGTGTCAATGAGAAGAGTTCCTCTCAATACAGAGTTTAGACACACATCTAAGCTTACTTATATCTTTTCTTCATACATCTATAAAGAGTTTATAATGAAAATAGTTCAATTAATAAACATTTTTGGGCAAGTGTGCTAAAAATTAATCATAAAAATAGGATTTGAGATAATAGCTCCCAATCTATACATACTTAAAGGATTTTGCTTCTATTATGTTCCAAAATATTACTAATATATAAAAATGCACTATGTAAAAAAGCAAGCCAGATGCAGTGGCTCATGTCCGTAATCCCAGCAACTCAGGAGGCTGAGGCAGGAAGATCACTTGAGCTCAGAAGTTCAAGGCCAACCATTGCAACAAAGCAAGACCCTGTCACTTTAAAAAAAAAAAAAAATATATATATATATATATATATATGATTGTGTATGCATATACACATACATACATATAAAAACAGGATAAATGTTAACATGTATCAGCTGGGCGCAGTGGCTCATGCCTGTAATCCCGACACACTGGGAGGCCGAGGCAGGTGGATCACTTGAGGTCAAGAGTTCATGATCAGCGTGGCTCACATGGTGAAACCCCGTCTCTACAAAAATACAAAAATTATCAGGCATGATGGCGGGTGCCCATAATCCCAGCTACTCGGGAGGCTGAGGCAGGAAAATCGCTTGGAACCCATGAAGCAGAGGTTGCAGTGAGCTGAGGTTGTGCCACTGCATTCTGGCCTGGGTGACAGAGCAAGCCTCCATCTTAAAAAAAAAAAAAAAGAAAAGAAAATTCAGTAAGACCCCAAAATTATTTTGCTTCAAACATATACATATTTTATTTTATTTTATTTTATTTTATTTTATTTTATTTTATTTATTTATTTTTCTGAGACGGAGTCTCACTCTGTCGCCCAGGCTGGAGTGCAGTGGCGCGATCTTGGCTCACTGCAAGCTCTGCCTCCTGGGTTCAGGCCATTCTCCTGTCTCAGCCTCCCAAGTAGCTAGGACTACAGGCGCCTGCCACCATGCCCCGCTAATTTTTTGTATTTTTTAGTAGAGATAGGGTTTCCCCGTGTTAGCCAAGATGGTCTCGACTTCCTGACCTTGTGATCCGCCTGCCTCAGCCTCCCAAAGTCCTGGGATTACAGGCGTGAGCCACCACACCCGGCCCATATACACATTTTAACATGAATATGAACTTTTTGTCACTCACACTCCTAGGTGACTGCCAGAAACCATTCACTTTGGTTGCTTTTGTCATTTACTCATGTTTCCCTATTTCCATTAATCTATTAAGAATCCAGATATTGGGCTGGGTGTGGTGTCTCACGCCTGTAATCCCAGAACTTTCGGGGGCTGAGGCAGGCAGATCACCTGAGGTCAGGAGTTTGAGACCAGCCTGGCCAACATGGTGATACCCCATCTCTACTAAAAATACAAAAATGAGCTAGGCGTGGTGGCGCACACCTGTAATCCTGCTACTCAGGAGGTTGAGGCATGAGAATCTCTTGAACCCAGGAGGCAGAGATTGCAGTGAGCCATGACTGTGCCACTGCACTCCAGCCTGGGTGACAGAGTGAGGCTCTGTCTCAAAAAAATAAAAATAAAATAATCCAGATATTTAGACCATTTTCTTTCATTAAGACATTTGTGGCCGGGCGTGGTGGCTCACGCCTGTAATCCCAGCACTTTGGGAGGCCGAGGAGGGCAGATCATGAGGTCAGGAGATCGAGACCATCCTGGCCAACACGATGGAACCCTGTCTCTACTAAAAATACAAAAAATTAGCCGGGCGTGGTGGCGGGCACCTGTAGTCCCAGCTACCCGGGAGGCTGAGGCAGGAGAATGGCGTGAAGCCG
The DNA here is from genome assembly GCF_000001405.40 of Homo sapiens. Classification (NCBI taxonomy): domain Eukaryota; kingdom Metazoa; phylum Chordata; class Mammalia; order Primates; family Hominidae; genus Homo; species Homo sapiens. The sequence goes on along the minus strand of NC_000008.11, from coordinate 30,758,985 downwards.
GGAGGAGGAGCTTGCAGTGAGCCGAGATCACGCCACTGCACTCCAGCCTGGGTGACAAAGCGAGACTCCGTCTCAAAAAAAAAAAAAAAAACAAAAAAAACAAACAAAAAAAACATTTGTTACCAATGACTTCATCTCCAGGAACTCTTTATTAATACCATAGAGTATATTTTATAACATTTAATCTAACCTTACCTGCATTTGCTAAATAACTCATTTGTTTTCCTTTGGTATCAAAAGCATATGTGACTGTCAAGTAAAATCTGCCATCAGCATAAGACAGTGTCATTAACAAAACACAAACATGAATTTTTAATCAGTCCGTTTAGTTCATATCGATCTTTTTCAAAGGTCAGTGATAGTTCAATAATCTGATTCCCCTGCTCAATCTCCACTATGGGACCAGGAAATCTCAGATTGAGAAGCAATATCTTAGAAACTATTTTCAGGGAATAGACAGCCTCCCAGCTTTCCCTAAGGGCCAGTAAAAACAGATTTCTTATTTCTAATCTTTTCCAGCTCCAATTGGAATTAACTTAGTTAAGGATTGAAGATTTGAATGAACAACATGTATAATAAACCTGGGCACTAATCCAAAGTGACTGATTGCTAATCTATTCCCTAGAAGGGCCAGTAAGGAAAATTATACACTCATGTTAATAACAGCTATTAGCCACTCACAAGATAGGGCTTGATAATGTTCTTAAGTTAATAGGAATGCTTCCCTTCGTAAGCATTATATTTTTCATTTTTACATAATCAAATTCCTTAAAAAGAATTGAGTATTTTCGGCTGGGCGCAGTGGCTCACGCCTGTAATCCCAGCACTTTGGGAGGCCAAGGCGGGCGGATCACGTGGTCAGGAGATTGAGACCATCCTGGCTAACATGGTGAAACCCCGTCTCTACTAAAAATACAAAAAAATTAGCTGGGTGGGGTGGTGGGCGCCTGTAGTCCCAGCTACTCGGGAGGCTGAGGCAGGAGAATGGTGAGAATGGTGTGAACCCAGGAGGCAGAGCCTGCAGTGAGCTGAGATTTCACCACTGTATTCCAGTCTGGGCGACAGAGTGAGACTCTGTCTCAAAAAAACAAAGAAAAAATATCAATTCTTTTTTTTTTTTTTTTTTGAGACGGAGTCTCACTCTGTCGCGCAGGCTGGAGTGCAGTGGCGCAATCTAGGCTCACTGCAACCTCCACCCCGCTGGGTTCAAGAGATTCTCCTGCTTCAGCCTCCTGAGTAGCTGGGATTACAGGCGCCTGCCACTGCACCTGGCTAATTTTTGTATTTTTAGTAGAGATGGGGTTTTACCATCTTAGCCAGGCTGGTCTTGAACTCGTGACCTCGTGATCCACCCACCTCGGCCTCCCAAACTACTGGGATTACAGGCATGAGCCACCATGCCCAGCCCTTTTTGTTTTTTGTTTTTTGTTTTTGAGATGGAGTTTCACTACTGTTGTCCAGGCTGGAGTGCAATGGTGCAATCTTGGCTCACTGCAACCTCCACCTCCCAGGTTCAAGCGATTCTCCTGTCTCAGCCTCCTCAGTAGCTGGGATTACAGGTGCCTGCCACCACGCCCAGCTAATTTTTTTGTATTTTTAGTAGAGATGGGGTTTCACCATGTTGGCCAGGCTGGTCTTGAACTCCTGACCTCAGGTGATCTGCCTGCCTTCATGTCCCAAAGTGCTGGGATTACAGGCATGAGCCACAGTGCCTGGCTAAGAATTGAGTATTTTCTAAACCTATTATCATTTGTCTTTATTGCTTCCAAGTTGGATTCAGAACATCATTAATATTGAACAGGGAAAATTATTCTTTTTTTTTTTTTTTAAATAGAGATGGGGTTTCACCATGTTGGCCAGGCTGGTCTCAAACTCCTGGCCTCAACCTCCATCGGCCTCGGCCTCCCAAAGTGTTGGGATTACAGATGTCAGCCACCATGCCCGGCCTATTCTGGGGTGATTGCTTTGTAAGGCAGTGGGAAGACACCATCTGGATGAAAGGCCAGTCCTGATCTTCACCCAGTATACCACCTCACCCAGAGTTCAATACTCCTACTGCACACAGACACAATTCAATGAGAGGCATGAAGTACTTTACCTCCTTGCATGTGGGCTGTTCAGCAGGAGACGGAAATTCAGTTAAAGGTTTAGGCAAGTTCTGGCTCTTTGCTGCTTCTCTGTTTGATGTTTCAAAAGATGTCTGACTTGTACCTTCATCACCCTGGTCAAACACAACAGACAATTTCTAAAGAGATGTTTTCTATCAACTTTATTCTATTCACAATTGTTTTTCCTTTTTCCTTTTTTTACCCTGATGGCATATCAGTAGAAAAATATTAGCAAGCCATTATGAGACCCAAAAAATTAAAGCATTATCTCCGTGGACAGGAAAACACGAGGCTTGAGCCGGGTGCTATGGCTCACACCTGTAATCCCAGCACTTTGGGAGACTGAGGAGGGCAGATCACCTGAAGTCAGGAGTTCAAGACCAGCCTGGCTAACACAGTGAAACCCAATCTCTACTAAAAAAATGCAAAAATTGGCCGGGTATGGTGGCTCACGCTTGTAATCACAGCATTTTGGAACGCCGAGGTGGGCAGATCACAGGAGGTCAGGAGTTAGAGACCAGCCTGGCCAACATGGTGAAATCCCATCTCTACTAAAAAGACATACAAAAATTAGCTGGGCGCGGTGGCAGTTACCTGTAATCCCAGCTACGTGGGAGACTGAGGCAGGAAAATCACTTGAGCCTAGGAGGCGGAGGTTGCAGTAAGCTGAGATCGCACCACTGCACTCCAGCCTGGGCGATGGAGAGAGACTCTGTCTCAAAAACAAAAATTAGCTGAGGCAGAAGAATTGCTTGAACCTGAGAGGCAGAGGTTGCATTGAGCTGAGATGGTGCCATTGCACTCCAACTTGGGCGACAGAGTGAGACTCAGCCTCAAAAAAAAAAAAAAGAAAATTTAAAATTGTAAACTTCTATAGAAACTGACAAAATTCATATTCAATGCTGAAGGAAAACATAACCAAAGTTTAATTTGACTTAAAAATCAGAATATATAATATATAATAACATATATAACCTGAGCTTAATACCTTGGAGATCTTGACTTGAGGAAAGATCAGAATATTCTTGTCCTCATATAAGACAATAACAATTTATTTGACAGTTTTAAAGACTATCTTATGTCACAGTCAGTCTTCTTTTTTTTTTTTTTTTTTTTTCTGGAGAAAGGGTCTTGCTCTGTCTCCCAGCCTAGAGTGCAGTGGTACAGTCACAGCTCACTGCAGCCTCTTGACCTCCTGGGCTCAAGTGATCCTCCTGCCTCAACCTCCCAAGTAGCTGAGACTACAGCCACACACTACCACGTCTGGCTAATTTTTAATTTTTTTTTTGTAGAGACAGGGTCTTCCTATGTTGCCCAGGCTGGTCTCAAACTCCTCGTCTCAAGCAATCTGCCTGCCTCATCCTTCCAAATTGCTGGGATTACAGGCGTTAGCCACCACAACAGCTTTTTAAGGAACCAAGTTATATGCTCTTTAGGCACCAAAAACCACTTAACCAGCCAGGTGCAGTCCATGGTAGGGTGCACCTATAGTCCCAGCTACTTAAGAAGCTGAGGCAGGAGGATCCCTTGAGCCCTGGAGTTTGAGGCTGCAGTGAGCTATGATCGTGCCACTGCACCCCAGCCAGGGCAAGAGAGAGAGACTGTCTTTTAAAAACAAAGACCAGCTGGGCTCAGTGGCTCACGCCTGTAATCCCAGCACTTTGGGAGGGTGAGGCGGGCGGATCATGAGGTCAGGAGATTGAGACCATCCTGGCTAACACGGTGAGACCCCATCTCTACTAAAAATACAAAAAATTAGCTGGGCATGGTGGCAGGCGCCTGTAGTCCCAGCTACTCGGGAGGCTGAGGCAGGAGAATGGCATGAACCTGGGAGGCGGAGCTTGCAGTGAGCCGAGATTGTGCCACTGAACTCCAGCCTAGGGGAACAAAGCAAGACTCCATCTCAAAAAAAAAAAAAAAACGACCAACCCCTTAACCATGTAATAAACAAGTATGCTGAACAAAAACTGATAATCATTATCAATAAAAACTCCTAAAAGCAGTCTAACATCATTTTCAATTAAAAATCAATCATGTAATAGGAAACATAGTAAGAGGATTCAAAATATAAAATGAGAATATTTTCCAACCCCAAGTTTGTGACCACTGCTTAATTTCCAGGCTTCACCCGTCATTTGATAAAAGCGCTCCTCCAGTTTTCTCAATTTCATTTCCTGGTGAGGTTTTAAAACATTCTCTATGTATCTGCTGGCCTGTTGAAAACAACAAATTAGGTGTTGTTACTATCCATTAATGTTCCTAAAAATGTACACTGTCTATAAAGTTGTAAATAAGAACCAAGTAAGAACCCTGCTGGCTGAACAGAGCCACTGCCACCCTGTTTGGCTGCTTGGTTGTGGGGAGGCTCGTGCCGACAGCTGGACAGCAAGCGGGACAGGCATTTGTTTTTGACCTGCCTGATTATGACAGTATCAACCAGGTTGTGGTTTTCATGCTGGGAACAATCCCATTTCCTGAGAGAATGGGAGGATCTACTTTTCCTATCCTGATTCAAATTGAATGCCGGTATGGCAACTCCAAGGATTTGTCACAAATGGGAAACCAAGTGCCATCTTTAGAATTTCAGATCTTAAATCTGGAGAGGGAAGCCAACATCCTTTGTTTTTGTTTTTGTTTTGAGATGGAGTCTCACTCTGTCACCCAGGATGGAGTGCAGTGGTGCAGTCTCCACTCACTGCCATCTCTGGCTCCTGGGTTCAAGTGATTGTCCTGCCTCAGTCTCCCAAGTAGCTGGGACTACAGGTGCCTGCCACCACGCCCAGCTAATTTTTGTATTTTTAGTAGAGACAGGGTTTCACCTTGTTGGCCAGGATAGTCTCGATCTCTTGACCTCGTGATCCACCCGTCTCAGCCTCTCAAAGTGCTGGGATTACAGGCGTGCACCACCACGCCTGGCCCAAAATTTTTTAAAAATTAGCTGAGCATGGTGGTGTGTGTGTGCCTGTAGTTCCAGCTACCCAGGAAGCTGAGGCAGGAAGATCCCATGAACCCAGGAATTTGAGGCGACAGTGAGGTATGGTTGTACCACTCCACCCCAGCCTGGGCAACAGAGAGAGGCCCAGTCTCAAAAAAAAAAAAAAAAAAAGTGGTATATCTATTCAATGGAATATTATTCATCCACAATAGGTAAATCCATACCAACAGAAAGCAGATTGGTGGTTTTCAGAGGATGGGATGAGGGCAGAGTGGGGAGTGACTGTTTAAAGAGTATACGGTTTTCTTTACAGAAGATGGAACAGAGGTGGTAGTTGTACAGCCTTGTGAATGTACTAAATGTCACTGAACAGCTTGGTCAGTTTTGGCTGGGCATGGTGGCTCATGCCTGTAATCCCAGCATTTTGGGAGGCCGAGGCAGGTGGATCACCTGAGGTCAGGAGTTTAAGACCAGCCTGGTCAACATAGCAAAACAACATCTCTACTAAAAATACAAAAATTAGCTGGGTGTGGTGGTGCGCACCTGTAATCCCAGCTACTCGGGAGGCAGAGGCAGGAGAATCACTTGAACCTGGGAGGTGGAGATTGCAGTGAGCCGAGATTTCGCCACTGCATTCCAGCCTAGGTGACACAGCGAGACTCCATTTCAAAAATAAATAAGTAAAATAAAATGGTCAATTTATGTCACGTGAATTTGACCTCATTATATATTTTTTAAAATCTTAGCACCAAGACAGAAGCAACAGCCCTTAATTTTAATTGCCTCAGAGATTTTTGTATTTCTCTACGCATAAAGTCTCTAAAAATTCTGCCTTACCTTCTCTCCTTGTGCTTCTTGTTGTTTTTTTCTCACAAGTTTTTGTCTTTTCTCATTCTTTTCTTCTTCTTCTAAGACATCAAAACATAAAAGTGCTTTTTACTTCCCAAGTATCTTATTTGAAGTACAACCAATCAAATAATGTATCAAAAGAAAGAAAAAAATCTAAAGTCTATGATGGGGAGACCCTAACACATCACATTGTCATTTATGTTTGGGTTGAATAGTATAACCTTTTAGGATTATGGTTTTGTTCACAGTTAATTTGAAAGGGCTATACATTAAATACTGGTCACTTTCCTTTTATTTACTTACATTTTAATAAACAGTGAAACAAAACACAATGTACCAAATTCACTAATGACAAGCTTCTTCCTAGTAGCATAGAAAATATGTAGTTTTTGGTTTTAAGATTCACCTATTCTGAGGCTAAGTACAATATTATTTTAAAAGGCTTCTAGGACTCACAAACTTTTGCTTATCAAAAATCAAACAGGCTGGGTGAAGTGGGTCAAGCCTGTAATCCCAGCATTTTGGGCGACTGAGGCAGGACTTGAGCTCAGGAGCTAGAGACCAGCCTGGGCAACATGGCGAAATCCCACCTCTACAAAAACTATAAAAACTACAAAAATTAGCCAGGTGCAGTGGTACACACCTGTAGTCCCAACTACTCGGGAAGCTGAGGCGAGAGGATCACTTGAGCCTGGGAGGAGGAGGTTGCAGTGAGCCAAGCACGCCACTGCATTCCAGCCTGGGTGACAGAGCGGGACTCTGTCTCAAATTAAAAAACTAAAAACAAGCATGATTTCCTAAAATTAAAAACATTTACATATAAAAGACAAAGGTGCCTAAGTAAAAACTGCTAGAATGGAATAAAACATTAGGATGAAAAGCCTTTCAAGATTAATGGTAGATTGGCCGGGTGTGGTGTCTCATGCCTGTGATCCCAACACATCGGGAGGCCGAGGTGGGCGGATCACGAGGTCAAGAGATCGAGACCATCCTGGTAAACATGGTGAAACCCTGTCTCTACAAAAAATACAAAAATTAGCTGGCATGGTGGTGCATGCCTGTAGTCCCAAATACTCGGGAGGCTGAGGCAGGAGAATCACTTGAACCCAGGAGGTGGAGGTTGCAGTGAGCCAAGATCATGCCACTGCACTCCAGCTGGTGACAGAGTGAGACTCCATCTCAAAAAAAAAAAAAAAAAAGTTTAATGGTAGATACATTGACTCTGTAGAACAGCTCATAAACTGTAGGTATCAAATGGCAGTTAAGCAGCACAAACACACAATTTAAAATTAGGGAATTTACCATATAACAACTTAGAAATGATATAGCTTTAAAACACATATATAAGAAAAATGTACAATTTCTCATAAAAATGTTGGGATATACTCCATGCAAAACAATCATCACTAATGTTTAAAAACCAACACAAAAAATCATGACTAAAGTTGTACTGATTACTCTCCCTGAAACTACACATCACAAATTAATAGTAAAATGGCTCTTACTGTGCAAAGTTCTAGAATAAATAAATTTGAGTAGAATGGTATAAAAGGGTAGAATAAATAATAAACTTACCCTTCAGATAAACTTGGGGAGATTTAAATGAGTTAAGCCATGAGGTAGTCACAGAAATAGTTAAAGTAAGAAGAGCAAGCAGTAGCAAAATCCGGCCACAAAGCAAAAGAAAATCCTTGATTCCTGATAAAGGAAAAAAACTAAAATTAAAATTCAAAACTTTTTTTTTAAGAGATGAGGTCTCACTATGTTGACTAGGCTGGTCTCGAACTCCTGAGCTCACGTGATCCTCCTGCCTTGGCCTCCCAAAGTGCTAGGATTATAGGCATGAGCCAACATGCCCAACCCAAAACATTTTTCTTGATACTCCTAATAAATTATAACACATTAGAAGATTATTTGTACTGGAAAAGTATAGTAGAAGTTATACAACTGTCTTATGATTTTGTTCATATAATAGTCATCCCTCAGTATTCATGGGGTATTGGTTCCAGGACTCCTGAGTATACCAAAATCCACGGATGCTCAAGTCCCTGATATAAAATGGCACAGTGTTTGCATACAGTCTATGCTCCCACATACTTTAAATCATCTATAGATGACTCATATACTACCCAATACAATGTAAAGGCTCTATAAATAGTTGCTATACTTTATTGTTTATGGACTAACGACGGGGAAAAAAGCCTGTAGATGTTCGGGACAGACAGACAAACATCCATTTATCCATTTTTTTCCTGAATATTTTCTTTTTTTTTTTCCTTCTTTTTTTAAGAGACAGGGTGTTGCTCTTCTTTTTTTTTTTTGAGACAGAGTCTCGCTCTGTTGCCCAGGCTGGAGTGCAGTGGCATGATCTCGGCTCACTGCAAGCTCTGCCTCCCAGGTTCATGCCATTCTCCTGCTTCAGCCTCCCGAGTAGCTGGGACTACAGGTGCCTGCCACCACGCCTGGCTAATTTTTTGTATTTTTTAGTAGAGACGGGGTTTCACCATGTTAGCCAGGATGGTCCCGATCTCCTGACCTCATGATCCGCCCGCCTCAGCCTGCCAAAGTTCTGGGATTACAAGCGTGAGCCACCGTGCCCGGCCGACAGGGTGTTGCTCTTCTTGGTCTTGCTCTGCCACCCAGGCTGCTGGAGTGCAATGGTGAGACCACGGCTCACTGCAGCCTCAACCTCCTGGGGCTCAAGGAGGGCCTCCTGCCTTAGTGCCCCCAAGTAGCTGGGACTACAGGCACGTACCACCACACCCGGCTAATTTCTGTATTTTTTGTAGAGATGGGGTCTCGCCATGTTGTCCAGGCTGGTCTTGAGCTCCTGAACACGGGCAATCTGCTCGCCTCGGCCTCCCAAGGTCCTGGGATTGTAGGTGTGAGCCACCACACCCAGCCCTTTCTGAATAGTCTCAATCCACAGGTGCTTAAATGCTCAATGTGGAACTCAGGGATACAGAGGGTTTACTGTACTCTCCTTTGGGCATTAAAAAACTCATGATGGTTGTCATTTCCAGAACAAATGTACAGAGCATAATTCTAGAATAAACACTATCTTGGGAATACAGTTACAATTAGAGCGATCAGCTACACTATATTATGAATATCAGTAATGTATAAGTTGTAGTTTCCCATATAGAGAAAATTACATAACTAGAAATAAAACTGAAAATATCATCGTGTTGGTCAGGTGTGGTGGCTCACACCTGTAATCCCAGCACTTTGGGAGGCCGAGGCAGGCAGATCAGAGGTCAGGAGATCCAGACCATCCTGGCTATCACGGTGAAACCCTGTCTCTAATAAAAATACAAAAAATTAGCTGGGCGCGGTGGCGGGTACCTGTAGTCCCAGCTACTTGGGAGGCTGAGGCAGGAAAATGTCATGAACCTGTGAGGCAGAGCTTGCAGTGAGCCAAGATCGTGCCATGGCACTCCAGCCTGGGCGACAGAGAGAGACTCTGTCTCAAAAAAAAAAAAAAAGAAAAAAAGAAAATATCGTGTCAAATTCTAGTTCTATGATAATCTCACTGAAACACCAAATTCTTATTTCTCACAAATTGTGCAACTGTGTGCTTCTTTATTTCTTGACATTTAGTCACTTGTAAGTAAAATTACGATTTACATGCTTGCGGAGGAAAAAGTAAAAATATAGTATTTGGTCTATTTATTTATTTATTTATTTTATTTTTTTTTTTTGAGACGGAGCCTCAGTCTGTTGCTCAGGCTGGAGTGCAGTGGCGCAATCTTGGCTCACTGCAACCTCTGCCTCCTGGGTTCCAGCTATTCTCCTGCCTCAGCCTCCTGGGTAGCTGGGACTACAGGCATGCACCACCATGCCTGGCTAGTTTTGTATTTTCAGTAGAGATGGGGTTTCACCACGTTGGACAGGCTGGTCTCAAACTCCTGACCTCAGGTGATCCGCTGGCCTCAGCCTCCCAAAGTGCTGGGATTACAGGCATGAGCCACCGCACCCAGCCAGTATTTGGTGTTATATTAAGAACCAAAGTGAAAATTATTTGAGCAGAAATCTAACTACCTACTTTGCATAATACAATTTGGCAAATGTTGAGGGACAGGAAACAAAGCTGGGTTAAAAATGATTTCCATCCTCTTGGAATTTTTACTCGTTTTGTGTTTTTAATTTTCAAAAGATAAATGGCAGAGATACAGAGGAATCCAACGTGATCAAGGCTGGTAATTAGTCAATTAACTAAAACTTAAAGAAGGAATCAGAAAAACATATATATAGGCCGGGCGAGATGGCTCATGCCTGTAATCCCAGCACTTTGGGAGGCCAAGGCGGGTGGATCACCTGAGGTCAGGACTTTAAGACCAACCTGGCCAACACGGTGAAACCTCCATCTCTACCAAAATACAAAAATTAGCCAGGCATGATGGTGGGTGCCTGTAATACCAGACACTTGGGAGGCTGAGGCAGGAGAATCACTTGAACCTGGGAGGTAGAGGATGCAGTGAGCAGAGATCATGCCATTGCACTCTAGCCTGGGCAACAGAGTGAAACTCTGTCTCAAAAAAAAAGAAAAAAACATATATAGACTTAAATGTTTTATTTTAAACTGAAAACAGATAGATGTATATTCTTGCCTTTTTTTTTTTTTTCTTTCAGATGGCCTCTCACTCTCTTGCCCAGGCTGGAGTGCAGCAGTTGATAACAGCTCACTGCAGCCACAACCTCCAGGGCTCAAGCAGTCGTCCCATGTCAGCCTCCCAAGTAGCTGGGACCACAGATGTGGGCCATCAGATAATATATATATATTTTTTCCAAATGATCCTCCTTTCTTGGGCATGGTGGTTCATGCCTGTAGTCCCAGCTACTCAGGAGGCTGAGGCAGGAGAATCACTTGAACCCAGAAGGCGGAAGTTGCAGTGAGCTGAGACTGCACCACTGCGCTCCAGCCTGGGTGACAGAGTGAGACTCCATCTCAAAAAAAAAAAGAAAAAAAATTTAGCTTAAGTACAAGTAAAATGTATTGACAATAAAGGTTTTTACACAGTAGAAAAAGACAAGGCTAGTTTTTCAATATATGTCTGAATATTAGTACAGGCATAACCAGCCCTGCTGCTGGTATAAAGTATGATGTGTAAATCAGACTTAAATGCTGTTAAGAAATAATTATTGGAAGCTCACTATCAAGAATCCAAAGGTAGCAAAAAAAAAAAAAAAAAAAAAAAAGAAAAAATATATATTAAAAAAAGAAAACTTGGCCTCCCAAAGTGCTGGGATTACAGGCATGAGCCACCTTGCTTGGCCCAATATTCTTTAAAAACCCTAGCAATTTAAAGTTGCTTAGAGAAGAAGTATGACTTTAAAAAAAAAATCACGGCTCCTCCAACTTGCCAGTATTAACTGTTGATTCAGGTGTTATTCAATACAACACATAATTTAATCTATTTTATCTCTGGCCAATACAAAAGTAGTTTAATATCTAGAGTATTGGTATGTAAAGAAACCATTGAGGCCAGGCGCAGTGGCTCACGTCTATAATCCCAGCACTTTGAGAAGCTGAGGTGAGTGGATCACTTGAACTCAGGAGTTTGTAACCAGCCTGGGCAACATGGTGAAACCCCGTCTCTACTAAAAATACAAACATTAGCCAGGCACAGTGGTGCACACCAGTAATCCCAGCTAGTTGGGAGGCTGAGGCAGGATAATGGCTTGGACCTGGGAGGCGGAGGTTGCAGTGAGCAGAGATTGTGCCACTGCACTCCTGCGTGGGCAACAGAGTAAGACTCTGTCTCAAAAAAAAAAAAAAAAAAAAACACCACTGAGGTGTGGGATTTATGTTCCATACTACTGCTGTTCGTTCTAACAAGCAATTTGCAAACATCACATGAGAATATGAAAGAACTATATTTGTGTGTATACCTTTAAAGAAAAAAAATTTTAAGGTTTTTTCGTTTTTGTTTTTGTTTTGAGATGGAATCTCACTCTGTTGCCAGGCTGGAGTGCAGTGGTGTGATCTCGGCTCACTGCAACCTCCACCTCCCGGGTTCCAGCGATTCTCCTGCCTCAGCCTCCCAAGAAGCTGGGACTACAGGCGTGCGCCACCATGCTCCGCTAATTTTCGTATTTTTAGTAGAGACAGCGTTTCACCATGTTGGCCAGGATGGTCTCGATTACTTGACCTCATGACTCGCCTGCCTCGGCCTCCCAGAGTGCTGGGATTTTTTTGTGTACTTAAACTATAGACCCCATAAGCAGTGTACTTCAACGTGAGGAACTGGCCTTAAAATATTTAGCTTAGTCAGGGCGCGGTGGCTCACGCCTGTAATCCCAGCACTTTGGGAGGCCGAGGCGGGTGGATCACAAGGTCAGGAGTTGGAGACCAACCTGGCACAACATACCGAAACCCCGCCTCTACTAAAAATACAAAAAAATTAGTCGGGCATGGTGGTGCATGCCTGTAGTCCCAGCTACTCAGGAGGCTAAGGCAGGAGAATCGCTGGAACCCAGAAGGCGGAAGTTGCAGTGAGCTGAGACTGCACCACTGCACTCCAGCCTGGGTGACAGAGTGAGACTCCGTCTCAAAAAAAAAAAAAAGAAAAAAAAAATCTAGCTTAAGTACAAGTAAAATGTATTGACAATAAAGGTTTTTACACAGTAGAAAAAGACAAGGCTAGTTTTTCAATATATGTCTGAATATCAGTATAGGCATAACCAGCCCTGCTGCTGGTATAAAGTATGATGTATAAAACAGACTTAAATACTGTTAAGAAATAATTATTGGAAGCTCACTATCAAGAATCCAAAGGTAGCAGAAAAAAAAAGGAAAAAATATATATTAAAAAAAGAAAACTGAAAAGAGGAAACAATCCAAAGGAAACAATCATTCGTTCAGAATTCTGAGAAAGAAGCTAATCCCATGAAAATTTCAAGAACTAGATAAAGATGCTGCCAGGAGCCCAGGTGCAATTTATAGAACCCTTGTCCCTAGTTCTATTAAACTAGACACTGGTAAGTGCTGGGAATACAAAAACAAATTCCATTTGGTCTCTGCCTTCAAGAAGCATATTTCTGGCTGGGCACGGTGGCTCACACCTATAATCCCAGCACTCTGGGTGGCCGAAGTGGGTGGATTGCTTGAGCCTAGGAGTTCCAGACCAGCCTGGGCAACATGGCAAAACCACATCTCTGCAAAAAAATACAAAAAATAAGCAAGGCATGGTGGTGTGGCCCCTGTATTCCTAGCTACTCAGAAGGCTGAGGTGGGAGGATCACTTGAGCCGGGAAGTCCAGGCTACAGTAAGCCATGACCGTGCCACTGCACTGCAGCCTGGGTGACTGAGCAAGACCTTGTCTCAAAAAATAATAAATGAGCAGAGTAGGGGTGGATGTTGAAAAGACAAGGGAACAGGTGAATTGCGGAAATGGTGAGTGTGAATTCAACATTTCTGATCCTTTGGATAAAGGTCTTGTTATATTCCAACACAGCTTGAGTGAGTGAGAAGCTTCAGGACAGTCTTTGTACATTTTTTTAAAGCATTTTATTTTCATTTCTTATTGCACGCAACATTTCTAGGCATCTGACTCCTTGTGAGCAGGGAGAAAATGTGGAGAAAGAGAGGGAGTACACAAAGCCAAGTTTCATTATGGTCTCTAACTTTAGAATTGACCTTAAAAAGGGAGACAGACATGTAAACTGATCACTGAAATGTCCAAAAATCAACTCATGATTCTCAGCATCTCCACAGTTTTTCTTTCCATTTCCCCTTTACCAGTAGCACTACCAAATACCTAGGTTTGCTCAGTCCCCCATGAGGCAGTCGTCCTTGAATCCTTCCTTTCCCTTGCCCCAAACATCAACCCATAAACAAAGCCTGTTGGTTGATCCTACTCCGTCAATATCCCAATTCTGTCTACATTTCATCTCCTGTTATTGTTCTAGTCCAGGCCATCATCACCACTTGTCAACTTCCAAAGCCTGATGTGCCTCACTGCTTCCACCATAGCTTCTGTCCAAAGCATTCTCCATACAGAATCGAGTGACCTTTTTAAAACTTAGGGAAGTCACTTAACCTCCCTAAATTTTAGTTCCCTCAACTGTAAAATGGGGATTATAATAGTGCCTACCCTCCTCTGATTGCAGTGCAGATTAAATGAGATAATAACCAGCACCTGGTGTTTGGCTTATAATAGGTGTTCAATAAACGTCATTATCCTGAGCCAATTCCTCCTCCTCCTCCTCCCAACTCTCCTTGATTCAGCCACAATGGCCTTCACCTTTTCCTCCAACGTGTCACAATCTTTTTGCCTAAAATATTCCTCCCCTCCCCCATCCCTTCCCTGCCCCCACTGGCTTTTCACGGGCGTGGCCCCTTATTTAAACCTAGGGCCGGGCGCAGTGGCGTAGGCCTGTAATCCCAGCACTTTGAGAGGCCGAGGCAGGAGGATCTCTTGAACCCAGGAGTTCGAGACCAGCCTGGGCAACATAGTGAGACCCTGTCTCTAAAAACAAAACAAAAAACTTCTCAGCCTAAATTCTCACAAGACCTTCATCTTATCAACCTGTTTATTTCCTTTTCAGTGTTCGCCAGGATGCGAAAGCACTGTCTATGATTGCCCCTGTGCTCTTTGCCTCTACCCTCTTACACGTAAAACCATCACACCTGGAGGGAAAAGGTTCCTCGAAGTGAAGTCAGCTCCGGAAGTGGGGGGGCAGGGGCGATGCAGTCTGGGAGTTGTAGTCAAAGCTGCTCCGAAGCCACGCAGCCGAAGAGGCGGTCGTTCTATGCAACATTCCTGTGAAAATTACCCAGCTGTGACTGTCGAAGGGAAAAAGTCACACTTACCTATATCCGGGATCCCACGCCGGAGCTCCAGACACACAAGGGGGACAGCAGAGAGGAAGAAAATGCCAACAACCCCACGTGAAGCCATGGTGGCGGAAGCGCCTGGTGCAGGCGGAAAGCCCGCCCCTTCCGGCCGCGTTTTCCGGGAAGGAAGTGGAACTCTTCTTGCCGCGGGCCGGCTGGGAGAGGGTCAATAACGTGGTAAATACTGACGGCCGTGTCGTTATTGAGGGGGAGCTAAGCCCCGTGTTTTAAAGTTATAGTCTGTAGCCGTGTTTCAGAAGAAAGGCAAGTCGTCCCCCAAGTCACATGATGTCCAGAGGAGCCTGGGCTCTAGAGCGGTGGCTCCCTGGAGGGTAGCAGGGCAGGGGCTGCCCCTTCGGTCTTTGCAGCGTCTGTGAGAAAGCGCTTTCCAGAGGGAAATGAAGCCGAAGAAAAAGCTGATGCTGTGAGGAGGCAGCCTGGGCCCCCCGGCCTTGTGGCCGTATAGGATGAATGTGGGCTATAACACCTTCCTTATCTCCCTAACGGTTCCTGGTTCCTGGCCCCGTCCGCAGTCTCTGGTTCCTGCGGAAAGACAACTCGAAAGTGGGGCCTGGCTCCAAATACCTGCCCCCTAACACGCACGTCCTAATGCCAGGTCCTGGAGACCCGCTACCCCTTGTTCCGCCCCTTTTCAGTTTTGCCTGCACGCGTTATTGTTAACCTTGACTTCATAGTTCCATGACCTCATTGCCGTCCTATAACTCACCACTGTGCACTTCTCCCAAGCTACTGAGGTCCTCCCAATCTACAACATTTCGTACTTGGAAATTATCTTTCCTGGCCAGGCGCGGTGGCTCACGCCTGTAATCTCAGCACTTTGGGAGGCCGAGGCGGGCGGATCACAAGGTCAGGAGTTCCAGACCAGCCTGGCAAATATGGTGAAACCCCGTCTCTACTAAAAATACAAAAATTAGCCGGGTGTGGTGGCGGTCGCCTGTAATTCCAGCTATTCGGGAGGCTGAGGCAGGAGAATTGCTTGAACCCGCATGCGGAGGTTGCTTTGAGCCGAGTTTGCACCACTGCACTCCAGCCTGGGCGACAGAATGAGACCCCGTCTCAAAAAAAAAAAAAAAAGAAAGAAAGAAATTATATTTCCTGGCTAAGCGCGGTGGCTCACGCCTGTAATCCCAACACTTTGCAAGAAAAAAGAAAATTCTTTTTCCTGACCCATCCATCTAGCATCCCACCTGACTATTCAGTTTAGTTCATCTGAAATTTATTGAGCTCCACAGTTTGGTACTCTACAACTCTTGGATATTCAAATATTTACAAGTTACTGAATTTGTCCTCAAGAAACTCAGCTTATCCGACTTTGTGGTTCTATGGAGAAGAAAAAAAAAAACTGGGAAAGATAGCCCTGTAAGCAAATAAACATAATGCAGTTCCTGAGTGCTATGATAGAGATATACACAGGGTGTTGCAGAACCATACCCAGAAGGCTTGCAAAAGGCTTTCCAAAAGGAAGTCACGCCTACGTTGTGTTCAAAGGTTAGGAATCTGGGCAAGGATGTCCGGGAAGGGTGGGATTTCAAGTTTAGGAACCTGAGTGCAAAGGAACTACCAGTGATTATTGCTGCAGTTTAGAGCTTGAGGCCGGGCGCGGTAGCTCACTCCTGTATTCTCAGCACTTTGGGAGGCGGAAGGAGGCAGATTGCTTCAGCTCAGGAGTTCGAGACCCCTCTGGGCAACATAGCTAAACCTGTCTAAAAAAAAAAAATAGCTGCGCGTGATGGCGTAGCCTGTGCTCCCAGCTACTCAAGAGGCTGAGGTGGGAGAATCACTTGAGCCCAGGAGGTCAAGTCTGCAGTGAGCTGAGATCATGCCAGTGCACTCCAGCCTGGGCGATATAGTGAGACCCTGTCTCTAAAAATAAAATAAAGCTGAATGAAGGCTTTTAGAGGTAGATTGTTGCTAGGGCCGCAGAGGCTTTCCTTTGTATATAGGCTAAGAACTTTATCCTCCAAGCAAAGGTGCAAAATATTAGGGCACAATCTGAAGATCAGTAAGGGTGAGGTAATATAAATTACAGCATGACATACCATAAAATAATTAATTATATTGACTAGTTCAGATGTTCCCATAGTTGTCTGTATCTTGTGTTCATCATGCATAAGGAGGAAGACAGGAAAGAAAGTTCTACAGTCTGTATCTTGTGTTCATCATGCATAAGGAGGAAGACAGGAAAGGAAGTTCTACAGTTCTTAACCACCTACCTCCTGTATTTTTTTCTTCCTCCCTGGTCTTCCATATTACCTAATTTAATCTGTTGATGGCGCCATTGAATCTCTCTCTGGACTACAAAAGGCAGTTCCTAACCAATCCAAATTTACCTTGTCTTAACATATGGGAAGCCAGCATTTCCCAAACTTTGTTGTTTGTGAACTCTCTTCACTGCAACTGCTAGCTCTCCCCACCAAAGACCACCAGAATAACCTGTCAGTAAGTAAATTTGAGTTTCTTACAGCATTAGAAAAGAACATTGTGGCCGGGCGCGGTGACTCACGCCTGTAATCCCAGCACTTTGGGAAGCCGAGGTGGGTGGATCACCTGAGGTCAAGTTTGTGACCATCCTGGCCAACATGGTGAAACCCTGTCTCTACGAAAAATACAAAAATTAGCCTGGCATGGTGGCTCACACCTGTAGTAACAGCTCCTCGGGAGGCTGAGGTACCAGAATCACTTGAACTCAGGAGGTAGAGGTTGCAGTGAGATCATACCACTGTACTCCAGCCTGGGCAATAGAGTGAGACTCAGTTTCAAAAAAAAAAAAAAAAAAAAGAACATTGCTTTGACATAATCTTAGTCGTGTCTCAGAGGGGACGTCAAGGGTGATTTTTATTTGTTTATGAGACAGGGTCTCACTCTGTCACACAGGCTGGAGTTCAGTGGCACAATCACAGCCCACTGTAGCCTTGACCTCTCAGGGTCAAGCAGTCCTCCTGCCTCAGCCTCCAGAGTAGCTGGGACTGCAGGCACATGTCACCATGCCTGGCTAACTTTTTTATTTTTTCTATAGACAGGGTTTCACCATGTTGCTCAGGCTGGTCTTGAACTCCTGGGCTCGAGCAATCTGCCAGCCTCGGCCTTACAGAGGGCGATTTTTATAGGGTTCTATAGTCTAGTTAGAGTGGTTTAAGGTGGTCTTTTCAATATGGAGATTTCACTGGGATTGGACATAGTTCATGGTAGAATAGTTTGAGACGGTACACCCAACAAGGTGAAGAAATTGAAGTTAGATTTTCCCTCTTTTTTGACAAGGAAGGTGATTTGCCCAATTCAATGATCAGCTCAACTTCTCAGTGCCTGAGAAGGAAGCTTTGCAGCCTGATGAGCAACTTAGAGACCAGATAAATGGGAAGTTCCTAAAGCTCAGAATGAAGGTATGGATTGACCTATAGCCTATCTTCGTGAGTAAGAATTCCTGGAACAGTAAAATCAGGTTGATTTAGAGCTCTTAGTTCTCATTGGTGATTGTTAAGCTGTAAGTTACTGGTGTCTCCATTCTCACCAAAAGGGTCTCACTCTTGTCACCCAGGCTGGAGTGCAGTGGCACAAGCATAGCTCACTGCAGCCTGGAACCCCTGGGCTCAAGCGATCATCTCACCTCATCCTCCTGAGTAGCTGGGACTACAAACACATGCCACCATGACTGGCTAATTTTTATTTTTTCTTTCCTTTCTTTTTTTTTTTTTCCAGGAGATGGGGTCTTACTATATTGTTCAGGCTGATCTTGAACACCTGGTCTCAAGTGATTCTCTAGCGTTGGCCTCCCAAAGTGCTGGGATTACAGGTGTGAACCACCGCGCCTGGCCTGTTTTCTGCTCCTTAATTGCCTTTGGCCAAAAAATAATTTTTATCTCAAAGAGGCATATCTTGGGGTGGCACCTTCTGGTTTCCTTCACATACTTCATATGATATACATACTTCATCGTGCATATCATTAAACACAATGAAATGGACACATCATGAGCATACCATTCCTTGAGTTCCAATGTATGCATACCCAGTGCAACCTAAATCCCAAGCAAGATACAAAGCACTGACTGACCGTGGCGGCTCATGCCTGTAATCCCAGCACTTTGGGAGGCTGAGGTGCCCAGGAGTTTGAGACCAGCCTGGACAACATGGTGAGACCCCATCTCTACAAAAAAACACATTTTTTAATTAGCTGGGTGTGGTGGCATGCACCTGTGGTCACAGCTACTCCAGAGGCTGAGGCAGAAGGATCACTTGAGCCCAGGAGGTGGAGGCTGCAGTAAGCTGTGTTTGTGACACTGCACTCCAGCCTGGGCGACAGAGAGAGACCATGTCTCAAAACAAAAAGCAAAAAGCATTGCACAGAGAGCAAGCATTGCTCTGATTTTTTTCCACCATAGGTTAATTTTGCCTCTTCTAGGACTTCTGTAAATTATACAAAATGTACTCTTTGGATAAGGCTTTGTTCACACTGTATGCTTTTTTAAACATTTTATGAGATAATTATAAATTCACATGTTGTTATAAGAGGTCACGGAGATTGCATAAATCCTTTACCATTTCCCCCAGTGTTAAAATTGTGCATAAGGACAGTATAATACCATAAACAGGAAATATATATTGACACAATCCAGTGACTTCATTCAGATTTTACCAGTTACAGATACTCATTTGTGTGTGTGATTTAGTTTTTTTATTTTATTTTTATTTTTTGAGACAGGGTCTCGCTCTATCACCCAGGCTGGAGTGCAGTGGCACAATCTCGGCTTACTGCAAACTCCACCTCCCAGGTTCACGCCGTTCTCCTTCCTCAGCCTCCCGAGTAGCTGGGACTACAGGCGCCCGCCACCACGCCCGGCTAATTTTTTGTATTTTTAGTAGAGACGGGGTTTCACCGTGTTAGCCAGGATGGTCTTGATCTCCTGACATCGTGATCCACCCGCCTCGGCCTCCCAAAGTGCTGGGATTACAGGCGTGAGCCACCATACCCGGCCATGTGTGATTTAGTTCTATGCAATATTATCACCTGTGTCAATTTCTCTGAACACTACAGTCAAGATATAGAGTAGTTCCATCACAGGAATTCCTCATGCTACCCTTCTACAGCCAAACCACCTCACTTTCTACCCTCACCACCATCAACCCCCATGAAACCACTCGTCTGGTCTCCGTCTCCTTTTTTCCCCCTCCATCTTAATTGAGGTATAATTGAGTTAAAATCCATCTCTTTAATTTTGTCATTTCAAGAATATTATATACATGAATCATACAGCAGCAACAACAACAAAAAAGCCTTTTTTGAGATGGAGTTTCACTCTTGTTGCCCACGCTGGAGTGCAATAGCACAATCTCAGCTCACTGTAACCCCTGTCTCCCAGGTTCAAGCGATTCTCCTGCCTCAGCCTCCCGTGTAGCTGGGATTACAGGCGCCCGCCACCACGCCTGGCTAATTTTTTGTATTTTTAGTAGATACGAGGTTTCACCATGTTGGTCAGGCAGGTTTCAAATCCTGACCTCAGGTGATCCACCCACCTGAGCCTCCCAAAGTGCTGGGAGTACAGGTGTGAGCCACCGTGCCTAGCTTTTTTTTTTTTTTTTTTTTGAGACGGAGGCTGTCGCCCAGGCTGGAGTGCAGTGGCACGATCTCGGCTCACTGCAAGCTCCGCCTCCCAGATTCAGGCCATTCTCCTGCCTTAGCCTCCTGAGTAGCTGGGACTACAGGCGCCTGCCACCATGCCGGCTAATTTTTTTTGTATTTTTAGTAGAGACAGGGGTTTCACCATGTTAGCCAGGATGGTCTCGAGCTCCTAACCTTGTGATCCGCCCGCCTCGGCCTCCCGAGTGCTGGGATTACAGGCGTGAGCCACCGCACACGGCCTTTATTATTATTATTATTTTTTAAAAAGACAGAGTCTTGATTGCTCTGTTTCCCAGGCTGGTCTCAAACTCCTAGGCTCAAGCAATCCTGCCTCAGCCCCCTGAGTAGCTGGCACTACAGGAATGTGTCATTGCACCCAGCTGTTACTGACTTTTTGATGAGAAGTTTTTAATTTTGATGACAATTTATCTAAGTTTTCTTTTATGATTATTGCTTTCTGTGTCCTAAGAAACCTTTGCTTTTCTTGAAGTCGAGAGATTCTCCTATTTTTTTTTTTTTTTAAATAGACACAGGGTTTCACCATATTGTTCAGGCTGGTCTTCAACTCCTGAGCTTAAGCAATCTGCCCACCTTGGCGTCCCAAAGTGCTGAGATAACAGGCATGAGCCACCGTGCCCGGCCTCTATATTTTCTTCTAAAAGCTTTGTATTTTAGCTTTTACATTTAGGCTTATGAAATTGCTCTTTTAGTAGTCTCTTTTTCCCCCCTAAAAAATAAGATGGCTACGTGTGTGTGTTGGTTGTTGTTGTTTTAACAGGGTCCAATCGTGTTGCCCAGGCTGCAGTGTGGTTGTACAATCACGGCTCACTGCAGCCTCCACCTCCCAGGCCCACGTGATCCTCCCACCTCAGCCGCCTGAGTAGCTGGGACCACAGGTGTGCACTACCATACCTAATTTTTTTGTTTGTTTGAGACAGGGTCTCGCTCTGTTGCTTAGGCTGGAGTGCAGTGGTGAGATCACGGCTTACTGCAGCCTTGACCTTCTGGGCTCAGACTAGGCACCAAAATCACATAGACTTGATTCATCCAATGAACAATAAATATGATGCACCTACCACACCCCAGGTGCTGTTACAGATGCTGGAGATATAGCCACAAATAAGACAAGATTCTTGCACACCATGGAGTCTGTACACTAGTGTGTGATGACTAGTTTTATATGTCAGCTGGGATGGTGTTTTTGGATGAAATTAACATTTAAATCACTTAACTCTGAGTAAGCAGATTGCCCTCCATTATGTGTGTGAGCCTCATCCAGTCAGCTAAAGGCCTGAATAGAAAGAAAAGAACAGCTTCCCCGAGTAAGAGTGATTTCCCAACAGACTGCCTTTGGACTGGAACTGCACCATCATGCCAAAAAGCAGAAGGTAACACAAGCAGGAGAAAAAAAAATCAATCAACAGAAACAGACCCAGAAATGACAGAGTTGATGGAATCCACAGATACAACTTTAAATATGTCAACAAGGAAAAATGGTTATGCTAGACTGGTGCAATTATGATTTTTTTCTTATTTTTCTAAATATATGAAAATTAAACAAAAAGAACATTAATCCCTTATATGAATATTTATTTTTTGATGATGAACATTATTCCCAAGAACAGATAAATGAAGGAAATGATAAACACCACATTTAAGACATTGATTACCTCTTGGGGGAGGGAGACAGGGAGAAGGGTGCAACTGGGATAGCTATGTAGAACTAGACAGTGTGGTAGTACTACATTTCTTAAGCTAAGAGGTGTGGATGTGCCATTGTATTATTCTTTATACAGGTACTTTGTTTATCTTAAATATTGCAAAATACAATTCAAAAATAAACAAGGGCTGGGTGCAGTGGCTCACGCTTGTAATCCCAACACTTTGAGAGGCCAAGGCGAGTGGATCACCTGAGGTCAGGAGTTTGAGACTAGCCTGGCCAACACGGTAAAACCCTGTCTCTACTAAAAATACAAAAAGTATCTGGGCATGGTGGTGGGTGCCTGATATCCCAGCTACTCAGGAGGCTGAAGCAGGAGAATCGCTTGAACCCAGGAGGCAAGGTTGAAGTGAGCCGAGATTGTGCCATTGCACTCCAGCCTGGGAGATAAGAGCGAAACTCCGTCTCAAAAAAATAAAAAGTAAAAATAAAAATAAACAGTTACAGAAACAATACCACATATTTATATTCAGAATAGGAGTAGTAGTGTTATTTCCAAAACTTTTTATGATCTCCCCCATGATCTTTCAAGATATGTTACTGAAATGAGATCAAAAGCGTGAAAGAGATCCTCAGTGCATGTGTGATTTCCCTTTAGATGTTATCTTCTGAGGATGTATCCAGTTTTCTCAACAAGGCAGACTTGCTATGTCCCTCTGAAAATTTCTTTCCCTTTACTGTATAACTTGCTTTTTGTTAATTCCACGTTTAGTTATAGTTATTGTTCTCTGCCTCTTCAGTGTTTATCTTTCATCTCAATATTAAACACTGATATTGGGTAACTGAGTAATGTTCAATTATTCCTTTCCTTGTGTTATTTTTATCCTAAGTGACTGCAATTATCTTCATACATGGAACATGAAAAATTTTATTGAGCAACCTGTATTTGCAAAGTTATTTCTGTACCACTATTTCCTGCATAAATTTCTCAAATTGTTTATAGAAGTACCATCACCACCTTTCGGGTGACACAGTATCTCTTGACCTACAACCTCAACACAGAGTTGTAATATGAATTAGTCACTATTAGTGGGAAAGGACTTTTTTGTTTATTTGTTTTGAAACGGAGTCTCACTCTGTCCCCCAGGCTGGGGTGCGGTAGTGTGATCTCAGCTCACTGCAACTTCTGCCTCCCAGGATCAATTGATTCTCCTGCCTCAGCCTCCTGAGTAGCTGGGATTACAGGCACATGCCACCATGCCTGGCTAATTTTTGTATTTTTAGTAGAGACAGGGTTTCACCATGTTGGTCAGGCTGGTTTTGAATTCCTGACTTCAAGTGATCCAACCACCTTGGCCTCCCAAAGTGCTGGGATTATAGGCGTGAGCCACTGAGCTCGGCGTTGTTTTTTTGAGACACACTCTGTTGCCCAGATTGGAGTGCAGTGGTGCCATCTCAGCTCACTGCAACCATGGCCTCCAGGGTTCAAGACTCATGTCTCAGCCTCCTGAGTGGGTGGGACTACAGGTACACACCACCACTCTGGCTAATTTTTGTATTTAGTAGAGACGGGGTTTTCCTGTGTTGCCTAAGCTGGTCTTTTATTTTCACTGTAAGACATACTCAGTGATGGTTTCTTTCTAATAATGGTTAATAGGCTTCTGAGTTAGGCCTTCAGAATTTGAATTCCTGCTCTGCCATTCACCAGCTGTTTAATTTTTAAATTTTTTTATCGTTACAGAATTTTTATTTGACGATCCTAGCAAAACATCCACAAGTCACCAGCTGTTTAATCTTGTGCAAGTTATTTAACCTCTTTGAACCTCAGTGTCCACATCTATAAAATGGAGACAATAACAGTACAGTATTTATTTCTTGGGTTGAGGGAAGATAACATATAAAGGTCTTAGCACAGTGCTTAGCTCAATACAAATTAATTATGGGTTTATTATTTTGAGAAATATTTCATAATGTCTTCATAGAAATCACCTACGTTTGTCCAGTGGGGTTTTTTTTGAGACACGGTCTCACTCTGTTGCTCAGGCTGGAATACAGTGGTGTGATCACATTTCACCACAGCCTCAACGCCCCGGGCTCAAGTGATCTGCTACCTCAGCCTCCTGAGTAGCTGGGGCTACAGGTGTGCACCACCACACCTGACTAATTTTTAATTTTTTTGTAGAGACCAGGTCTTACTATGTTGCGTACGCTGGTCTCGAACTCCTAGAATACAGTGATCCTCCTTCTGTGGCTTCCCTTCCCAGAGTGCTGGGATTACAGGCATGAGCCACTGTGCCTGGCATCCTCTAGTGTTTGAAAGAAATTTTTTTTTTTTTTAAGAGATAGTGTCTCATTCTGTCACCCAAGCTGGAGTGCAGTGGTGCAATCATAGCTCACTGTAACCTTGAATTCCTGGGCTCAAGTGATCCTTTCACCTTACCCTCCAGAGTAGCCAGGACTACAGGTGTATCCCACCACACCCAGCTAATTTTTAATTTTTTTGTGGATATGAGGAACTCCCCTATGTTGCTCAGGTTGGTCTCGAACTCGTGGGCTTAAGGGGTCTTCCTGCCTCAGCCTCCCAAAGTGCTGGGATTACAAGTGTGAGCTACTGCACCCAGCCCAAAATGGTGATTTTTGTGTGTTCCATCTCCATTTATTACATGTCAGTCTGTAGGAAGGAAGAACTTTCCCTTTTTCCCTTAAATTTTGTAATCAGAAAAAAATTTTTGTAAAAGAATTGGATCCCATTCTAATTGAGGTGTGGTGTGTTTCCATTCTCCTTCATTGTGCTGGGCCTCGCTGCCCTGTGACCTGGACCTTCCTTCCTTTGCCTACCGGGCTCAGCCGTGTGCTCGGATGACCTGTGCACTGTCCTTGTGGGCACAGGATCGTGGCCTACCACAAGACAAATTCGAAGCTGCACTTACTACTTTGTTGTGCAGTTGGTAGTTGTAGATATTCCCAAAGGAGACCCAGTCTCTACAGCTTGGGAGATCAATGTTTTTGTGTCTCCATCTCTATCCTTTTCTCTGTGCTTCATCTGTGGATCACAAAAACCGCTACTCCGAATTAATCCACTATTCCAATGTTTCTCAAATTTAAGAGTCACCTGAAGGCAAGAGACAGTGTTGGTCAAAATGTAGTTCCTAGCTGGGCACATGCACACCTGTAATCCCAGCTACTCGGGAGGCTGAGGCCAGAGGATCTCTTGAGCCTAGGAAAGGAGTTTGAGACCCCTGACTTTAAAAGAAAAATAAGGCTGGGCACGGTGGCTGGCATCTGTCCTCCCTCTGCCTGGAGAAAGTCCTTTTCCTCTTTAGAATAAGTAGGTACAAGATCAGGTGCTTGAGGGAGCAGGGGGGCTGTCACTGATGCCCGGAAGGGGGCAGATGCTGCTTTTCGAGCCTCTAAGTCAGCGTGGGAATTCCCCAAACCCACCAAGGTGGAAGCTCGCTGGTGTCCTCTGCAATGTATAACTGCCACCTTGTGGGGTTTCCATACTGCTTCTAATAATTGCAAGATTTCTTGTTGATATTTTATGTCTTTTCCCCCAGAGTTCAATAGGCCCTTTTCTTTATATAATGCTCCATGCACTTGAAGGGTTAAAAAGGCATATCAAGAGTCAGTGTAAATGTTTACAGTCTTACCTTCACTGAGTTCTAAGGCCCGAATTAAAGCAATGAGTTCAGCTTTCTGAGCTGAAGTGCCCTGGGGCAACGATCTGGCTTCAACAACAGTGTCCAGAGTTACCACCGCATACCCTGCAAATCTCTCTCCTTGTGGGTTGATAAAGCTGCTCCCATCCACGTATAGTTCCCAGTCTACTGATGCCCAAGGCTGGTCCCGGAGGTCAGGTCTGCTAGAGTAAACTGAGTCCAACACTTCTACACAGTCATGCTCAACAGGGCTCTCTGATACTGGGAACAAGGTAGCGGGGTTCAGGGTGTTACAAACTTCAATGGTTATACGGGGATTTTCACAAAGCAAACTTTGGTACTTAGTGAGTCTAGCACTCATTAGCCAATGATGTCCTTTAGTATTCATTAAAGTCACCACAGCATGGGGGGCCTTTATGTTCCGGTTTTGCCCAAGAGTCAGCTTATCTGCTTCTTGTACTAGCAGGGCAGTTGCTGCCAAGGCCCTCAAACATGGGGGCCATCCTTTAAAAACCCCGTCTAGTTGTTTAGAGAGGTAGGCCACCGGCCTCGGCCAGGGCCCCACAGTTTGGGTTAAAACTCCCAACTGCCATCTTTTCTCTCTCTGACACATACAATGTAAAAGGCTTTGTCAGATCGGGTAGCCCCAGGGCTGGGGCTGACATAAGTCTTTCCTTTAACTCATGAAAGGCTTGCTGTTGCTGGGATCCCCATTCAAAAGGTTCCCGGTCCCCTCCCCCTTTGTGACCTCATACAAAGGCTTAGCTAATACTGCAAAGTTTGGGATCCACAGTCTGCAAAACCCCACAGCCCCTAAGAATTCTCTCACCTGCCTTCTGGTCTTAGGCTCCGGTAGATTACAAATGACCTGCTTTCTTTCTGATCCCAGGCTGCACTCCCCGTCGGATAGTAAATCCCAAGTAACGTACCTGCTGTTGGCAGATCTGAGCTTTTTTTCTTGGACACCTTATACCCACAGTCCTCCAGGTGCCGGAGTAGAGCATCTGTTCTCTTGGCGCACCCGACTGCCGTGGGGTGTCCCAGCAAAAGGTCATCAACGTACTGGAGCAACACGCAGCCTAGGTCTCTGGTGGGAAACTTCTGGAGGTCTCGAGCCAATGCCTCCCCGAAGATGGTGGGGGAGTTCTTGAACCCTTGGGGAAGCCAGGTCCAAGTGTACTGAGTAGTGACACCTGACTCCGGATCTTCCCACTGAAAGGCAAACAGCTTCTGCCTCTCAGGGGCTAATCTGATGCTAAAGAAAGCGTCTTTCAGGTCCAAGCAGGTGAACCAGCTGTCCTCAGCTGGCAGCAACCCCAGCAATATGTACGGGTTAGGTACTGTTGGATGTAAAGTCACTGTAGCCTGATTAACCAAGCGCAAATCCTGTACCAGCCTGTAGTCCTTGGTCCCAGGCTTGGGAACAGGCAGGAGGGGAGTGTTCCATGGAGACTGACAAGGAACTATAATTCCAAAGGTTCTTAGGTGCTTGAGATGGACCTGGATACCTTCAAGAGCTTCTCTGGGGACCAGGTACTGTTTTTGCCTAACCGGCTGGGCCCCGGGCTTAACTTCTATAAGTACGGGGGCTTCGTTGACTGCCAACCCTGGAGGTTGTCTTCCGCCCACACTCTTGGCCACCGCTTAGCCAGAGCTGGTCTTATCTCTTGGCCCGGCTCAGTTAACAAAAGTCTCCATTCCTCCTCTCGGGGGACCGTAAGGGTCATAATGACTCCCGTTCCGGGTAACTTTAGCAGCAAAGAGCCGTGCTCTGTAAAAGAGATAGTGGCTCTCAGTTTGCTAAGCAAGTCCCTTCTCAACAAGGGCAAGGGATAATCAGGCATGTACAAAAACTGATGAATCACTTTATGTCTTCCTACAGTACAAGTCCGGGGCAAGCAGAAAGCTTGTTTTGCTGAAACTCCCATGGCTCCGATGATGTCAATAGTCTTTTTGGATAAGGGGGCGACTGGGCCGGTTACTACCGAATGTTCAGCACCGGTATCTATAAGAAAATCAATGTCTTTACCCCCAACTGTCATCCTGACCATAGGCTCTTTGGGAGTCCTTGAGCCCGGTCCCCCTCAGTCCAATAACCCTTCTGCCAGGTTGAGCAGGGCCCCTTCCTCCTTGTCTGGAGCCTCCTGCTCCGAGTCACCTTGTTTTCCTTTTAGCTGAGGGCATTTGTTCTTCCAATGTCCTATTTCTTTACAATAAGCACACTGATTACGCTGCAAGCTCTGACAGCCAGGCTGAGTTTCTTTCCCGGGGCCCCCCTTCCCTTGCCTTTTTGTGGGAGATCCCTCTAATTGCTGCAGCTAACAGCTCGGCATTTCGCCGGGCCTGACGTTCATTCTCTCTGCGGTTTTCCTTACGGCTTACTGCATCCCTGTTTACAAACACCTGGTTAGCTATTTCTAATAATTGTGATGTGTTCATCCCTGCAAACCCAGCCTGTTTCTGCAGTTTTCTTCTAATGTCTTCTGCGCTTTGACTAACTAAAGCCATGTTAATCATGCGTTGATTTTCAGGGCTATCGGGATCAAAGGGAGTATACATGTGATAGGCCTCACACAGTCTCTCGTAGAATTGTGCTGGACTTTCTTCTTTTCCCTGAATGACCTCAGAGAACTTATTAACGTTTGTGGCCTTCTGGGCTCCCCTCTAATCCTTCTAAGAGAGCTTCCCTGTATCGGTTTAGCCTTTGCATATCCTCTCTTTCATTTGGGTCCCACTGGGGGTCGGTTCCCGGTAACTGGGTCCTTACATACTCTTGGGGGTTTTGGTAATCAGCCGGTGCATGTTCCCCTAGCCACTTAGTTGCTGCTTGGAGCACTCTCCGCCTTTCATCTGTGTTAAAGAGGAACATGAGCAACTGGTGGCAATCAGCCCAAGTGGGGTTATGGGTCTGGATAATAGTTTGGAGCAAATCAATTAGAGCTTGTGGCTTTTCAGTACAGGACGGGGTATTGTTTTTCCAGTTGAGAAGGTCGGCAGAGGTGAAGGGCTGGCACACAAAAACACGCCTCTCCGCCATGTGCCCATCCTCATCTATTCCAGTATACCGCTGCTCTCTCAAGGGCATTTGTATCCCCGTTTTGGGTCTTAAACGAGCTGCCAAGGGAGGGGTTTCTCCTGAGGCTTCACCTCCTCTCTTGTCTACTCTGGGTGGCCTAGGGATATGTTTGTCTTGCGGAGGCACAAGCACTGTGGACTCAAAAGTGGGGAGCCTCTCTCCCTGGTAAGGGGAGGGCACCACTGGGATGACTTTTGCCATCTCCTGCAATGGATCGTCTGATGTTGGGTCGAACAGAACTTCAGGAGTTGATTTCCCTCGGTGGGTGGAGCGGGATCCTTCCTTGACTATCTGTCCCTTTGCTACTAGCACTGCTGCTGCCTGCCCTCTTACCCACTGTGGTAACCAAGTGTCTATGTATGGAAACTGGTCTGAGTGTCCTGACTTACCAGTTACCTTGTGCCATACCTTAGAAACAAGGGACCTGTCCAGGCTTCCTTCTGATGGCCAACCCACTTCTAATGTTGGCCAATCTATTTCACACAAAGTTCTAAGTTTCCCTGGTGTCATAGTAACCCCATAGTCGCCATTAAATCCCTTCTTAAAATTTTTCAACATAGTTCCTAGAGGAGTAGGCTTATTTTGTGTCTGACCCGTGTTTCCTCAAGACAAAACACCAAGCTCACACCAAACGCACACCACAAAACAAAGAATGGGTAAAAAGGGCACACACGCACTTTTTCAGTTTTCACCAAACCAGAATCAAAACCAAAATCAGAGTATCCAGTAATCCAAGCCAGGTCAAACCAAAACCAAAGTGTCAAGCAATTCAAGTCAAGTCAAAAACAAAAACCAAAGTGCCAGTACAGGCACGCCGTGGGTGATCAGGCCATGCTTCCACTCAAATGGAGTGGGCAAGTTCCGAAGACCAGTCTTACCAAGTTTCAAATGTCCGGACTCCAAGTGCCTGTTCCTTCCCGGTGTTCAGCCACTGCGTTGATACTCCACGGGGGCCTGCCACGCACTGCTCTGACTAGGCGTTCCACCGGGGCAATTGCCTACCCAGGAGCGCTCGCAGGATCCGCGTCGCTCAAGCTGGCGGGAGTTCCCCGCAGGGATGCTCCACAGGGCAGGCCTAAGCCCCCTAAGGGGCTGCCTCGACTGTCCGTCAATTACCTCGCTTCCCAGTCAGGGAACCAAGAAATATAGCAGGATGAGTCACAGACAAAACTCCTCAGACACCAGATTAAAGCAGGAAGAGGTTTTTTATTCGGCCAGGAGCGTTGGCAGACTCGCGTCTTGAGAGCCGAGCTCTCCGAAAAAGAAATTCCTAGCCCTTTTAAGGGCTTACAACTCTAAGGGGTCTACGTGAAAAAATCATAATAGATCAAGTAAGCGTGGGAAACGTGACTGGGGGCTATATACATCAGCTAACAGAACAAAAAGTTTTACAGTGCTTTCTCATACAATGTCTGGAATTTACAGATAACACCAATAGTTTTGGTCAGGGGTTAATAATATTATTATTATCTTAGCCACCAGGGCCAGGTGGTGGTGCCAAGGTCGTCTAGCTATTTATCTTACTTCTGTTTCTTTCCAACTTTTTGCTTTCTCCCTTTTCTCCTGTCTTATAAACTAGGGAAAAGGGGAGGTTGGGGAGAAACTGAGAAGGACAACAGGAGAAGTGGTGACCTCATACCATAATCCTAGCATTTTGGGAGGCCGAGGTGAGAGAATCGCTTGAGGCCAAGAGTTCCCTACCAGTCCTGGTAACATAGTGAGACCCTATTTCTAAAAAAAAAATAAAAATAATAAAAAAAATAAAAAAAAAAATTAAATAAATAAATAAATAAATTAGCTGGGCGCTGTGGCGGGCACCTGTAGTTCCCAGCTACCGGGAAGGCTGAGGAGGGAGGATCGCTGCTTGAGCACAGTAGGTGGAGGCTGCAGTGAGCAGAGATCGCATCACTGCACCCCTGCCTGGGGGAGAGTGAGACCCAGTCTCAAAGAAAAAGCAAGAACAAACAAAAGTGGTCTCTGGAACAAACCTGGACAAACAACCCTTCGAATAGAGGCAAATTTCTCTTCCTGGAGAAGCCGTGCCACTGGCAACTCCCCAGGGGGCCAGCTCGGGAAAAGCCAGCTGAAACGAGAGGACGTTCACCGTTCCTCGCCTCGATCCACCGGACTTCAGAAGGCTACACGCGGCAGGCGCCGCTCGGGATCCAGGGGCCGGGGTGAGAACGGAGGCGGAGAAACCCCTCAGGCTCCGCCACCGGGGCGGGGAACTGGGAGGCGGCCCCGCCTCTGGGCATCCTCCTGGGTCTTGCCTAGCGGCGGGCGCATGCTTAGTCACCGTGAGGCTGCGCTTGCCCGGGGCCCGCGCCCCCCTACCCCGGGGACCGCCCCCGGGCCGCCCGCCCCACTTGGCGCGCCACTTCCGCGTGCATGGCCCTGCTGCCCCGAGCCCTGAGCGCCGGCGCGGGACCGAGCTGGCGGCGGGCGGCGCGCGCCTTCCGAGGCTTCCTGCTGCTTCTGCCCGAGCCCGCGGCCCTCACGCGCGCCCTCTCCCGTGCCATGGCCTGCAGGCAGGAGCCGCAGCCGCAGGGCCCGCCGCCCGCTGCTGGCGCCGTGGCCTCCTATGACTACCTGGTGATCGGGGGCGGCTCGGGCGGGCTGGCCAGCGCGCGCAGGGCGGCCGAGCTGGGTGCCAGGGCCGCCGTGGTGGAGAGCCACAAGCTGGGTGGCACTTGCGTGAGTACCGCCGGTTTGTTCGGGCGGGGGGCGCCTCTTTGTCTCGGTCTTTCGGGGGACAGCCTGTGCTCGTTCCTATGGCGATCCTGTCCCCCGGCGCTGGGCTTTCCTCTTTTCCACCCCCGCAACTCCCCATTCCGAAGCCAGGAACCCAGCAGGTGGAGGAGAGAGAGGCGTCCGGGGGCTTCTCTGCGGCCCGCAAAGCCGAGCCAGCGTCTGCTTCCGCACGGATGCGATATTGACCAGGGCCGGGGCGGGTTAGATTAACCTTCCTCCATCCTCACTTGTCCAAGTGGGAGAGGATTGGATTCTGTTCTTGACCGCGTGAAACACAAAACTGCATCTGGGAACATTGCTGGTGGCCTGTGTGTAGGGACGAGGGTGACGGTGCCATAGATCCTGGTTCTTGAAAAATGTAGATCCTGGTTCTCCCGTTTCAAGGGCAGAATGATTTATAGCGGTTGTTGTCAACCTTGGCTACACATTCGAATCACCTGAGGGTGCCTGGATTCCCGACTTAATTGGTCTGAGGTGCACTTGGGCTTTGGGATGTTTCCCGACTTAATTGGTCTGAAGTGCAGCCTGGGCTTTGGGATTTTCGGGTGATCTGAATTGCAGCCAAGGCGACCTTGAGTAGGTGAGTTCTCAGAGCTTTTGTTTTGTCTTGGTTTTATGTGGATTGCAAAACTAAAAACAGAGGGATGTAAATCCTGAGATTTACAAAATTCATAATTTTTGAAAATAAGGGTTTTTGTTTGTGTTTGTTTTTTGAGACAGGGTCTTGCCCTGTCACCTAGGCTAGAGTGCAGTGGCCATCATAGCTCACTGCAGCCTCGAACTCCCGGGCTCAAGGGATCCTCTCACCTTGGCCTCCTGAGTAGCTGGAACTACAGGGGGCTAATCACCACGCCTAGTTAATTATTATTATTTTTTGTAGAGATGGGGGTCTCGCTATGTTGCCCTTGCTGATTTCAACCTCTTGGACTCAACCGATCTTCCCGCCTCAGCCTCCCAAAGTGCTGGGATTACAAGCCTGAGCCACTGCACTCATTCTAAAAATAAATGTTGTTTCCAAGTTATTGGTGTGCCCGCCCTTTTCTATCACAAGATTTGGGTGTTGACGATTAAAATGCTGTATCCAAGAGGAACCTGGGATTTGGGATAGGTTCTCTAAATTCCTTTGGAGATGAATATTTAAATTATGTCAAATTGGGAGCTCTTTAAGGACAGGGATGGGCTTCTGTGTTTGTGTGTCTCTTATCACCTTAAAATCCCTTGCTCAATAAGCACTTGTGCAATGAATGAAACTAAAAATGGACAGTTATGAAAAGGTTGACTTCATTGTTCAGTGCCTTGGAGATGAACATGGAGATGAAGAGAAAGGAAAAATCTCTGTTAATTATCAACTTGCACTTTGACACCATAGTCCAGACAGAAGGTTAGAAATCTGTCTCTCCAGAAGGCAGATTGTGGGGTGCCACTAAGTGCCCCCCTCCCACACCTCATGAGAGTACTTGATCACTTCTCACTTCTGTTCTGCTCTCCACATTTTCTCTGTCTTCCTCTTTCTCTACTTATGTTATAATGTGCTTCAGAGGTTCACCCACTTTACCTTCCTGTTATGAATTCTTTTTTTTTTTTTTTTTTTGAGAGGGAGTCTCACTCTGTCACC
Source organism: Homo sapiens (assembly GCF_000001405.40). Classification (NCBI taxonomy): domain Eukaryota; kingdom Metazoa; phylum Chordata; class Mammalia; order Primates; family Hominidae; genus Homo; species Homo sapiens. The sequence continues at coordinate 30,725,857 of NC_000008.11, read as the reverse complement.
CAGGCTGGAGTACAGTGGTGCAATCTGGGCTCACTGCAACCTCTGCCTCCCAGGTTCAAGCAGTTCTCCCGTCTCAGCCTCTCGAGTAGCTGGGAATGCAGGTGCATGCCACCATGCCCGGCTAGTTTTTGTACTTTTAATAGAGATGGGGTTTTGCCATGTTGGCCAGGCTGGTCTCAAACTCCTGACCTCTGGTAATCCACCCACCTTGGCCTCCCAAAGTGCTTGGATTACAAGCATGAGCCACCACACCCAGCTAATTTTTTATTTTTAAAATGTATTTATCTATTTTTTTTTCGATATGGAGTCTTGCTCTGTCACCCAGGCTGGAGTGCAGTGGTGCAATCTCGGCTCACTGCAACCTCCGCCTCCTGGGTTCAAGCAACTCTCCTGCCTCGGCCTCCCAAATTGCTGAGATTACAGGTGCCACTACACCCAGCTAACTTTTGTATTTTTAGTAGAGCCAGGCTGGTCTTGAACTCCTGACCTTGTGATCCGCTCACCTCAGCCTCCCAAAGTGCTGGGATTACAGGCGTGAGCCACCACGCCTGGCCTGTTTTTATTTTATTTATTGTTTTTTAGAAACAGGGTTTTGCCATGTTGCCCAAACTGGTCTCTTATGCCTGTGCTTAAGCAGTCGGCCTGCCTTGGCCTCCCAAAATGCTGGGATTACAGGCATCAGCCACCACTCCTGTCCCATTTTTTGTATTTTAAGTGCTGGGATTGGGGGTGGGTAGGGAGAAAACGATAGATATAAACATTTGTGAGACATGTCCCTTCCCTTAAGGAATTTTGTGGTTGTGAAAGAAAAAAATATTGGAACCCCAAAGTATGCCAGAAGGAAAGTTCAGCTTGGGAACTGAATCACACAAATACTGCTTTTCCTTTTGTTCCCAAACAGACAGCTGTAATTTCACAATCCCATGTCATAGCCTTATCTCCTCTACTCCTGCTTTTCACTTTTACTTTATCTTATGTAAAATGTAGATTTACTGAGGCTCATAAGAACCTCACAAGAATGTAACCATCTAGGCTGGGCGTGATGGCTCACGCCAGCACTTTGGGAGGCCAAGGTGGGCAGATCACCTGAGGTCAGGAGTTCGAGACCAGCCTGGCCAACACGGTGAAACTCCGTCTCTACTAAAAATACAAAAATTAGCCGGGTGTGGTGGCACATGCTACTTGGGAGGCTGAGGCATGAGAATCACTTGAGCCCAGGAGGCAGAGGTTGCAGTGAGCCAAGATCATGCCTCTGCACTCCAGTGTGGGCAACAGAGTGAGACTCTGTCTCAAAAAAAAAAAAAAAAAAAAAAGGTGGGGGGTTGGGTAGTATTCTTTGACATTCGGAACCTCAAAAGATGGGTCCCAGGCCTAGGCATCAAAACGGGATATGTTGTGTAATCAAATTTGGAGCACAGAGTGTCTCTTTAATAGAAATAAGAGATGAGAAGCTGATGGGTAGGTTGTGGTTTGAAAAATGTGGAGTTTCTGGACACACAGTGAACTATGGGGGCAGGGGTGGGTTTGAGCAAACCAGTGACTCAGTGAAAGTAGTTTTGTGGTAAGCCATAGGATTGAGATCTCACCCTTGGCGATGCCCAATAGAAGTTTGTCTTTCTGTCTTTTTCTTTTTCTTTTCCTTTCAGTTTATAGAGATAGGGTCTCACTACATTGCCTAGGCTGGTATTGAACTCCTGGACTCAAGCAATCCTCCTGCTTTGGTCTCCGAAAGTGTTAGGATTACAGGCGTGAGCCACTGTGCACGGCAGAAGTTTAAGATTGGTTCTCCCATGAGTTCTTTCCTAAATAAAATCCATTAATTTCTAACGCTTGGGGAAGTTTTAAAGTTGTGGTGAATGAACTCACACGGAAGGTTCAAATTAGAATGTGTGTCTAGCAGTGGTCATTTACAGGTAGTGAGATTGGTTGGTTTTTCATTGTTTTATCAGTGTTCCTTCATTTAATTGTTCAACCGTTAAAGTTTATGGGAGGCCATTGTTTTGGACCAGTCTCCTGTACTAGGTCCCAGCAGACCTGGGTGTGTGTGTGTGTGTGTGTGTGTGTGTGTGTGTGTTTGTTGCTCTGTCACCCAGGCTGGAGTGCAGTGGGGTGATCTCGGCTCACTGCAACCTCCGTCTCCTGGGTTCAAGGAATTCATGTGCCTCAGCCTCGTAAGTAGCTGGGACTACAGGCGCAGGCCACCACGCCTGGCAAATTTTTTGTATTTTTAGTAGAGATGAGGTTTCACCATGTTGGCCAGGCTGATCCCGAACTCCTGACCTAAAGTGATCCACCCGCCTCAGCCTCCCAAAGTGCTGGGATTACAAGTATGAGCCACCGCGTCTGGCATGTTGTTTCATTTTTAAGAGACAGGGTCTCCCTCTGTTTCCCAGGCTGGAGGGCAGTGGTGTGATCTCAGCTCACTGTAGCCTCAAACTCCTGGGCTCAAGCGATCCTCCCACCTCAACCTCCCGACTAGCTGGTTCTGCAGGTAGATACCACTGAGCCTTGCTTGAATTCAGCATTTCAAGTCTCCAAAAGGTTAAGTATATTGCTTATCTCATGATCTCGTGTAGACTGGAGAGAAATGCAAAGATCGCCCAAAGTCAAGGTGAATTAGAGCCTTCTGGGAGCTTTGCCTCTGTGGTTCGCTTCTCTGCCTACACACGTGATGGGAGAGTCAGCTTAAGGAAAAGTTGTTTCTAAATTGCTGCTCCCTTTGCCCCAGGGCCTGGGGAACTTGCGGTCCTGGGTTCCTGCTGAGTGTACTGATTCTGTGATAAGAATAACCAGGTTCCTGTGGTTTTGGCGAGTAGTACTTACCAATGAGAGTTGGGTAGTAAGGGTTGATCATGTGACAAAAGTTCATGATTGCCAAGTCACAGTGAACTATGCTGCACAGCAGCAGTTGGAGAGGCCTAGGGGAGAGAGAGGTAGGGGCTTTGAAAGATCAGTGAACAGCAGGCTGCTCAGTGAATCATTGTTCATCTAGGCTGAAAACAATTACCCAGCAACATGTAAATCATAACCTCATTTGGAAGTGATACTGTGTACTTTGATATTATGATGTCTATACCCTGGTAAAGCTGAACACTGGACATGCTTTTTTTTTTTTTTTTTTTTTTTGAGACAGGGTCTCATTGTGTCACCCAGGCTGGAGTGCAGGGGCATGATCATAGCTCACTGCAACCTTGAACTCCCAAGCTCAAGTGACCCTCCCACCTCAGCCTCCCCAGTAGTCAGGACCACAGGCACATGGCCACCACCATGCCCTGGCTGATTTTTTAAATTTTTAGTAGAGACAAGGTCTTGCTTTGTTGCCCAGGCTGGTCTCGAACTCCTGAGCTCAAGCAGTCCTCCCACCTTAGCCTCTCAAAGTGCTGGGATTACAGGCATGAGCCACCGTGCCCAGCCTGAACATGCATTATTAAATGCAATTTACTAAAAGGAGGTCAGTTTAAAGGAACTCTGTCATCAGTTCCTGCAATATTGACAGATAGCCCTCCGAAATAGAAGGTTACCCTAATGTGTCTCCTGGGTTTAGAATTTCATAGAATGGGGCCCACCCATATTCATAAGTGACAAATAAAGGAGTGGCCATAAAGGGTGGGGCTAGTTAAAGCAAGCAAATGCTATTGTTGAAATTTGGCTTTTAACTTACCTTGTTGACTGCTTCCTTTTTTTGTACTAGTCTTCATATACTGTTGCTTTGCCATCTGCCTCAAAACCCACTAAATCTGCAGGGCTAGGAAAAGATAGACTGCCTCTGAATCCTTCAGGGTGTCTATTTCTTTGTAAAACATACTTTGAAAAGTAACCACAGAGAATGCTTTTTTTTTTTTTTGAGACAGAGTCTGGCTGTCACCCAGGCTGGAATGTAGTGGTACCATCTTGGCTCACTGTAACCTCTGCCTCCCGGGTTCAAGCGATTCTCCTGCCCAGCCTCCTGAGTAGCTGGGACTACAGGCGTGTGCCACTACACCCAGCTAATTTTTTTTTTGTAGAGACGAGGTTTCACCACGTTGGCCAGGCTGGTCTCGAACTCCTGACCTCAACCGATCCACCCACCTCGGCCTTCCAAAGTGCTGGGATTATAGAAATGAGCCACCGTGTCTGTCCAAGAATCCAAGAACTTTTTTTATAGAGGGAAACTAAAGGAATGATATGGAAATACTGATACCCTTTGGCTTTTTTTTTTTCTTCTTGACACGAAGTCTCACTCTGTCACCCTGGCTGGAGTGCAGTGGCACGATCTTGGCTCACGGCAACCTCCACCTCCCAAGTTCAAGTGATTCTCCTACCTCAGCCTCCTGAGTAGCTGGGATTACAGGTGCCCGCCACCACACCTGGCTAATTTTTTTATATTTTTAGTAGAGACTGAGTTTTGCCATGTTGGCCAAGCTGGTCTCAAACTCCTGACTTCAAGTGATCCGCCCACCTTGGCCTCCCAAAGTGCTGGGATTACAGGCCTGAACCACCATGCCCGGACCACTTTGGCATTTGTAAGTGGCTTCCAGTCAGTGAGAATTCATTACCTTCTATTCACTAGGTGTTGCAACATTAAATATTACTGCAGTTACTTTTGCACCAGCCTAATAGGATGTGGAGGTCCTAGGTCCTTTTCTTTTTGGGGGACGGGAGATGGTGGGTATCAGGTAATAGTGGGGACTGACATCCAGAAGAGTTGTCTCACAAAACTCTTTCTTCTTCTCCCCGGATGCCCGTAACAATTATTTTTATTTTTTAAATTTTTTTGTTTTTTGAGGCAGGGTCTCACTCTGTCGCCCAGGCTGGAGTGCAGTGGCACGATCATGGCTCACTGCAGCCTCAATATCCTGGGTTCAGATGATCCTCCTGCCTCAGCTTCCCAACTGGCTGAGACTACAGGCTGTTATTTGTGGTGATGGGGTCTCGCTGTGTTGTCCAGGCTCCTCTCAAACTCCTGGGCTCAAAGGATCCTCCAGTCTTGACCCGTCAAAAGTGCTAGGATTACACACCTGTGTGTGAGCCACGGCACCCAGTCACACTTTTTAAAAATCTGGTGATTTCCTGAGACTGGAAGGTTCAGGTTAATGTTCTGCTTAGCTAAGAATTGAACAAAAACAGCCTTTGTTAATATCTCTTGCAAATGTATCCATTGATTTTCTTGCTTTAGATTCTGCTTTACACAGACTGCTTTTTTTTTTCTCTTTTTCTCAAGTTTGATGCCTCCCTGAACTAACCTTCATCTGAAATGAAAAAAAAGACTTTGAAGGTGGAGACATGGATATTGAATAGTGAATATGTGCCAGGGACAGGGCCATGTCCAGACAGCATTATATTTAGTCATGGTTGGTGTAAAGCTGATGAAATGCAACAGAGACAGGGATCTTTATCTGTTTAAGTCATCAGTATAGTCCAAGCCCCTAGAACAGTGTTTTGCACATAGCAAGTACTCAGTATATAGTTGCTGAAATAATTGAGTTGATAAATCGATAGTGTTTTGCCTTGGAAATTATGACTCGTCTATTTTCTGAGTAGTTCTCATTCTGGTCTTGAATTAGATTTTAGGCAGCAAAGAAGGACGACAGAGGGAGGAAACTGTAGGCAATTCTGTGGTGGGAGGTTGTGGGGAACCAGAGGAAGGAAGTTAACAATTTTTTTTTGAGACAGGGTCTTGCTCTGTCACCCAGGCTGGAGTGCAGTGGTGCAATATAGCTCATGGCAGCCTCAAACTCCTGGGCTCAAACGATCCTCCCACCTCAGCCTCCCATGTAGCTGGGACTACAGGCGTGCAACACCACACCCGGCTAATTTTTAAATTTTTTATTTGTGGAGACGAGGCCTTACTATGTTTCTCAGGCCGGTCTCTAACTCGTGGGCTCAAGCAGTCCTCCCACCTCACCTCCCAAAGTTTTGGGATTACAGCGTGAGCCACCACACCCAGCCGCAAGTTCACTATTGAACACAGTTGATGTTCTTGGCAGGCGCAATTGCAGATTAACCAAGTTCTTGTTTTACTGCCAACATGGGCAATGTGAAGTTTCTACCTGGCTAGGCAGGATTGAAGGTAACGAGGCAGGCCCTAGGAAAAATGGTGAAGCTTCTGAATTTTGCCACCTGTTATCACCAGATAACAGGCGGCCCACTGATCGGGATTCTGAACACTAGATTGATGCCAGCAGGCCCACTGATCGGGGTTCTGAACACTAGATTGGTTGGAAAAGGAAGCTCTCAGGAATGGATCATCGGTTTGGAAAGGGAGGCTGAGTTACAGGAGTCTCCTTGATGATGTATTTACTGAACAGCCTGTGAAATTTTGTTTCTTAGCTGGGTGTGGTGGCTCACGCCTGTTATCCCAGCACTTTGGGAGGCTGAAGTGGGTGGATCACTTGAGGCCAGGAGTTTGAGACCAGCCTGGTCAACATGGTGAAACCCCATCTCTCCTAAAAATTCAAAAATTGGCCAGGCGCGGTGGCTCAGGCCAGTAATCCCAGCACTTTGGGAGGCCGAGGTGGGCGGATCATGAGGTCAGTAGATCGACACCATCCTGGCTAACACGGTGAAACTCCGTCTCTACTAAAAATACATAAAAAAAAAAAAATTTATCCAGGTGTGGTAGTACACACCTGTTGTCCCAGCTACTCGGGAGGCTGAGGCAGGAGAATTGCTTGAACCCAGGAGGCAGAGGTTGCAGTGAGCCGAGATCGCACCACTGCACTTCAGCCTGATGACAGAGTGAGACCTCGTCTCAAAAAAAAAAAAAAAAAAAAATTTAAAAATTAGCTGGGCGTGGTGGCGGGCACCTGTAATCCCAGGTACTCGGGAGGCTGAAGCTGGAGAATTGCTTGAACTCAGGAGGCAGAGGTTGTGATGAACCGAGATGGCACCACTGGACTCCAGCTGGGCAACAAGAGTGAGACTCCATCTCAAAACAAAACAAAGCAAAAAAAAAAAACAAAACACCTTAGCAGGGCATAGTGGTGCGTGCCTATAATCTCAGCTACTCGGGAAGCTAAGAATCACTGGAACCTGGGAGGCAGAAGTTGCAGTGAGCTGAGATTGTGTCACTGCACACTCCAGTCTGGGCGACAGAGTGAGACTCTGTCTCAAAAAGAAAAAAAGAAACTTGTTTCTTATCCCTCATTAATGCCCACCTGGAGAACCGGGGAATCTGCCAGTGTTGTATGCTGAGGGTCTTAGCAATGTGCAACTCTGGGCAACCAGAGCCCTGAGAACTCATCTGATAATGCTCCAGTCTGGGAGGCAAACTTCCTTTGTGATCAGCTGATGTGTTTTAGGTAGGAAGGCCCCTGGGGAATTTATCTCCGCCTTTCCGTATGCCTTGTGTGCGTGTGGGGAGCCAGCAGACGCAGAAATAATTCAGAGGTATCAGAGTCACCATCACATCTATCATAGATTAGAAATAGATGCTTTATATACCTTATCTCTGACCTGCTCAAAATCTCCATAATGGAAGCATTCTTCCCTTAACTGAGCTAGGAGAAATTTGGAAACTCACCCACCTCTAGCCACTAAATGGGAGAGCTGAGAGTCAAACTCCTATCTGTCTGACTTGAGGCCTGTGCTCCCTCTAACAACCTGATGCACAGGTCAGCTAGAGCAGCAGTCCCCAGCCTTTTTGGCACCAGGAACCAGTTTTGTGGAAGACAATTTTTCCACGGACCAGCAGTGGGGTATGGTTTCAGGATGATTCAGGATTCAAGTGAATCACATTTATTTATTTATTTATTTATTTATTTATTTTTATTTTTTTGAGACAGAATTTCACTCTTGTTGCCCAGGCTGGAGTGCAATGGCATGATCTCGGCTCACTGCAGCCTCTGCCTCCTGGGTTCAAGCGATTCTCCTGCCTCAGCCTTCCAAGTAGCTGGGATTACAGGCACCCACCACCACACCTGGCTAATTTTTGTATTTTTATTAGAGACGGAGGTTTCACCATGTTGGCCAGGCTGGTCTTGAACTCCTGACCTCAGGTAATTGCCCGCCTCGGCCTCCCAAAGTGCTGCAATTACAGGCTTGCGGCACCACGCCCAGCCTGCATCACATTTATTGTGCACTTTATTTCTATTATTATTATGTTGTAATATATAATGAAATAATTATGCAACTCACCATAAACTAGACTCCGACGGAGCCCTGAGCTTGTTTTCCTGCAACTAGTTGGTCCCATCTGGGGCTGATGGGAGACAGTGACAGATCATCAGCAATTAGATTCTCATAAGGAGTGTGCAACCTACATCCCTTGCATGCACAGTTCACAATAGGGTTCACGCTCCTATGAGAATCTAATGCCGCCACTGATCTGAAAGGAAGTGGGTGGAGCTCAGGCAGTAATGCTAGCGACGGGGAGCAGCTATAAATACATATGAAGCTTCGCTCACTTGCCCGCCACTCACCTCCTGCTGCAGCCTGGTTCCTAATAGGCACCTGGCGGTCAGGGAGCCCTGAGCTAGAGAAAGGGGAAAGAAGGCTGAGTGCGGTGGCTCATGCTTGTAATTCCAACTTTTGGGAGGCTAACGTGAGAGGACTGCTTCAGCCCAGCATTTTGAGACCAGCCTGCGCAACATAGTAAGACCCTGTCTCTAATGTGTTTGTTTGTTTGTTTCCTTTTTCTTTTGAGATAGAGTTTCGCTCTTGTTGCCCAGGCTGGAGTGCAATGGCACGATCTCCGCTCACGGCAACCTCCACCTCCTGGGTTCAAGCGATTCTCCTGCCTCAGCCTCCCAAGTAGCTGGGATTACAGGCATGTGCTACCACGCCCAGCTAATTTTGCATTTTTAGTAGAAACAGGGTTTCTCCATGTTGGTCAGGCTGGTCTTGAACTACCGACCTCAGGTGATCTGCCCGCCTCGGCCTCCCGAAGTGCTGGGATTACAGGCATAAGCCACCATGCCCAGCCTCCGTCTCTAATTTGTAAGAAATTGAAAAAAAAAAAATTTGGGGGGAAAGAGAAGGGAGCAGCAGAGGGGATGGGTGAGCGAGAGCATGCCAGCTTTTCACCCCTGGCCTCCCCAGCTCTCACTGGAACTAAGTGTATGTGTATTTTTTGAGATAGGGTCTCATTCTGTTGCCCAAGCTGGAGTGCAGTGGTGCTATCTCGGCTCACTGTAGCCTTGACCTCCCAAGCTCAAGTGATTCTCCTGCCTCAGCCTCCCCAGTAGCTGGGACTACAGGCTTCACTATCACACCTGGCTAATTTTTGTATTTTTTCTAGAGACAGTGTTTCACCTTGTTGCCCAGGCTCATCTTGAACTCCTGGCCTCAAGCGATCCACCTGCCTTGGCCTCCCAAAGTGCTGGGATTATAGGCATGAGCCGCCACTCCCAGCCTAAATGTGCTTTTCGTTCCTTCCAAGTCAGAGGCGCTGAAGTCATGTCATGTTGCTGGCATGTAAATAGGCCTCTAAAAGCAGTGGAAATCCCTGGAGGCCTGTTCACAGGAGCTGGCAAAATAGGACAGTGGTATTTCAGGGTCATAGGCTTCCTTTCAACCAGTGCCCCAGGCCCCAAAGTGTGTTGTGCTGGGGCGCAGCTTCTCTGGCCCAACAAGGCCACAATTTTCCACCATCCTCTTCCTCTGGTTTCTGGCCCAGTGCTCTTCAATTTTAGGGAATGTGGAGATTCTGCTGCTGCCCCTTGAGTCAGTATCTTGGACAGGCTCAGAGCCTCTCTCTGGCTGGCACTGTAGGCCAAGATACTGATACAGTCCCCAAGAGCAGGGACTGTATCTGTTTAGTGCCTTACCTTGCATAATGCCTGGCACAAGTGAGTGCTTACTCAGTACCTCTGAATGAATGCCTGCAAGCTAAGACGACGTAGAAGCAAAAAAGGCAGAAACTTCTAAAAAAACAAACCAGAGTTATAGACACCAGGCACCAGTGAAAGCCCACCTTGGCGCTTAGAAGAAACATATTCCAAAAAAAGAATATGTTTTAAAATTAAACATATTTTTTAAAAACTTTTTTAAAAAACATATTTTTAAAATTAGAAAAAGAAGCCTTAAATAACTTTAAAGTAGCTTCAAATATACATGAGGAACAAACTGATGGTATGTGAGAGTAGTTTAGAACATTGAGTGCTTTATGACACCCTTGGATTGCTTTTGATGATTCTTGGGAAGCCAGAAATGGTGACTGGAAGACCAGCAGTATTTATGTAGCAGACAAATCATCTCTACCTTTGGGAAAATTGCTTTTGGAGTCTGTCCTAGTTGAAGCCACTTAGTGAACTTAAATGGTGAACTGCAGGGTATAAAGGTGTGGGTGGAAGGCACGGGGAAGCACGTTGCCTGCCAAATAACTGGAAAAGGCAGGTTGGATGAGAAAATCATTCCCATTATGGGGCTAGCATTGTTCTTCCCACAGAGTTTCGACCTCCTTTCTCTGCTCTTACCATTAGGAAACCCCTGCTGTGCGTCCTCCTTTCTTAGAAATGGCTTATTCTATTTATCCCAGTAATGTTGTCAGGTACTTGGGGGTTGAGAAGTAGCATATCCTCAGCTTGGCCAGATGAAAGGGCACTCTAGATAGAAAGCCATACGTTTATTATTATTATTTATTTTTAGAGGTAGGGTCTGGCTCTGTTACCTAGGCTGGAGTGCAGTGGTATGATCAGAGCTTATTGTAGCCTTCAACTCCTGGGCTCAAGAGATCCTTCCGCCTCAGCCTCCTGAATAGCTGGAACTACGGGCATGCACCACCAAACCCAACTAATTTTTTATTTTTTATTTTTTTACAGAGATGGGGTCTCAGGGTCTCACTGTGTTGCCCAGGCTGGTCCCTAACTCCTGGGCTCAAGCAATCATCTTTCTTTTCGGCCTCCCAAAGCGTGGGGATTACAGGCGTGAGCCACCACACCCAGCCCATAAATTATTCTAATTTTTAGTATGAAGTACTTGTGATACTCTGCCATGAAGGATGCAGTGCTGGCAGGAATAGTGGAATAATTGCTGCTTGTAAACATTTAAGATTCTCCTGTGGATTTTGGTGAGTGATCATTAAACTGTTTTCCAAAAGCATATACAGGCCAAGCGTGGTGGCTCATGCCTATAATCTCAGCACTTTGGGAGGCTGAGGCAGGAGAATCACTTGATCTCAGGAGTTCAAGACCAGCCTGGGCAATATACTGAGACCTTGTCTCTATTTTTATAAAGTATTTTTAATTTTTATTTAAAAAATAAAATAAAAAGCATATACAGGCCACGTATGGTAGCTCACACCTGTAATCTCAACACTTTGGGAGGCCGAGTTAGGAGGATTGCTTGAGCCCAGGAGTTTGAGACCAGCCTGGGCAACATAGTGAGACCCTGTCTCTATATTTTTAGAAAAATATTTTTTATTTTTTTTTAAAAAGTATATCCAGGCGTGATGGCTCACGCCTGTAATCCCAGCACTTTGGGATGCCAAGGCGGGTGGATCACTTGAGCTCAGGAGTTTAAGACCAGCCTGGGCAACATGGTGCGACTCTGTCTCTACTAAAAATACCAGGCATGGCGGTGAACGCCTGTGGTCCCAGCTACTCGGGGGCTGAGGAGGGAGAATTGTTTGATCCCGGGGAGCGGAGGTTGCAGTGAGCTGAGATTGCACCATGGCACTCCAGCCTGAGTGACAGAGCAAGACTCTGTCTCAAAAAAAAAAAAAAAAAAAAAAAAAAAGCATATAGAACAAAATGTGAAAGTTTTCTCCCTCTCCAGAGAAACACTGTTGACTGCTTGGAGTATAGCCAAACTGTGTTTACACCCATATATACATACACACATACTGCATATGAATACGAATTGGGTTGTGGCATAACTACTATTCTGCAACTTTCTTTTTGATGCATAACAGTGTATGTTAGAACTCTTTCCATATAGTGCATAGAAATCTACCTTGCCCTTTTAAATGGCTGCAGAATATTCCACAGACTCAATGTATAACTATTTACTACTTCCCTGCCGATGGATATTTAACCTGTCTGTAGTTACCCGTTATCACCAAGCTTCAAGGAATAGCCCCATAAATGCATCTTTGGACACGGGAGCATAATATGTGACTACTTTTCTAGGTTACTGTAAAAGTAGAATTGCTGGGCCAATCAGGATATGTTTGCTAACACTAGTTATAGTCAACCTTTAAAATTTTTGCCAATCTGACAGATGAAAAATATTTCATTATTTAAATTATCTTTTATCTTTACTTTTAAAAAATGTAGATTTCGTCTGGGCGTGGTGGCTCATGCCTGTAATTCCAGCACTTTGGGAGGCCAAGGTGTGTGGATCACTTGAGGTCATGAGTTCGAGACCAGCCTGGCCAACAAGGCGAATCCCCATCTCTACTAAAAATACAAAAATTAGCCAGGCAGGATGGCAGGCGCCTGTAATCTCAGCTACTCGGGAGGCTGAGGCATGAGAATTGCTTGAGCCTGGGAGGCAGAGGTTGCAGTGAGCTGAGATCTTGCCACTATACTCCAGCCTGCGCGATATAGTGAGACTCAGTCTCAAAAAAAAAACAACCAAACAAAAAAATAATGTAGTTTTCTGGCTGGGCACAGTGGCTCATGACTGTAATCCCAGCACTTTGGGAGGCTGAGGCAGGTGGATCACCTGAGGTCAGTAGTTCGAGACCAGCATGGCCAACATGGCAAAACCCCATCTCTACTGAAAATACAAAAATTAGCTGGGCATGGTGGTGCACACCTACAGTCCCAACTATTCAAGAGGCTGAGGCAGGAGAATCGCTTGAATCTGGGAGGTGGAGTTTGCAGTAAGCTGTGATCGCACCATTGCACTCCAGCCTGGGCAACAAAGCGAGACTCCGTCTCAAAAAAAAAAAAAAGTAGTTTTCTGAGTCTTGCTTTTTCTACTTTTATTCCATAAGTGTATTTCTATATATTAACTAAGAGTGAAATGGAAATGATTGTAACCAAATATGTATTTGTACATAACATGATAATCTGTGCATTTGTGCATTTCGCTTTTCTACATCTTTGGTTACTTCTTTAGGCCAAATGCCTAGTAGTTATAAATCAAAGTCATTTTATGAGATCTAATATTTATTTAGGTTTTCTCAAGTTTCTGTACTAATGGTTAATCAATATCCTAAGTTCCATGCCATGTACTTTAAATTTTTGTGCTTTTGGTGAGTATTCACCAGTATCTCAATGTTCAGCCTTTCTTTGTGTGTGTGTTTCTTTTTTGAGGCAGAGTCTTTCAGTGTCACCCAGGCTGGAGTGCAGTGGCATGATCATGATCATGGCTTACTGCAGCCTTGTCTTTCCAGGCTCAAAGGGTCCCCCCACCTCAGCCTCCTGAGTAGCTGGGACCACAGGCATGCACCACCACACCCAGCTACTTTTTTTTGTAGAGACGTGGTCTCGCTTGTTGCCCAGGCTGGTCTCGAATTCATGGGCTTAAGCAATCCAACTGCCTCAGCTCCCAAAGTGCTGGAATTACAGGTGTGAACTACCAAGCCCTGGCCCATCTTGGGTGTTTATCCATGTATTCTGCAGTACTTTCCCGAGAAGTCCTCTTAGACAGCAGCTCAAATGGGCTGATTGTTCTTTCTCCGTCCAAGAAAAATGCTGATGAATGAACTTCTCTCCCTCATTACAGAAGGAAAATAATGTTCTTATCTTTTTGTAACAAAGAAAGTAACTAGAATTTAGTACACTGTGACTTAGAACCCAAGGAAGACTCCTCGCTTGATGCTTAGCGTGCATTTCTTGCAGATTTCGTTTGATGGTTTGAATTCAATATTCTTAAAGTGTGTCTCTTTTTTTTTTTTCCAGGTGAATGTTGGATGTGTACCCAAAAAGGTAGAATTTTTATTTCTCTTTCCCTTTACAATCCTTTTTCTATTTGGTAAATCATAATCAAAATCAGAATGTTTCCAAATAGATCAGTTAAAATTCTTTCTGCAAAAAAAACCCCTAGACCCTACTAAAAGTAGCTTAAGCAATAGGATTGTTTTTGTTTGATTTGTGTTTTTTAAATTTTTTTATTTATTTTTAATTACTTTTTATTTTTATTATTATTGTTTTTTTGAGACGGAGTTTCGTTCTTGTCACCCAGGCTAGAGTACAGTGGCGCGATCTTGGCTCACCGCAACCTCTGCCTCCTGGGTTCAAGTGATTCTCTTGCCTCAGCCTCCCAAGTAGCTGGGATGACAGGCGTGCGCCACTGCACTTGACTGATTTTTGTATTTTTAGTAGAGATGGGGGTTTCACCGTGTTGGCCAGGCTGGTCTCGAACTCCTGACCTCAGGTGATCTGCCCACCTCAGCCTCCCAAAATGCTGGGATTATAGGCATGAGCCACAGACCCCAGCCAAGGCCTGGTCATCTACACCACAGGATAGTTTTTTCTCAGCAAAAAGACCCAGCCAGCAAACCAAACTGTTGAATGGAATCTTCTCAAGTTCTGTGGGTTCATGGATTTTCTGTATCACATTAGTGATTTTTTCGTTGTTAATATCTGTGGTGCAGGTCACATTGAATGAATTCATTTTTTTTACCCTTGACAAAGAGGAAAAAACAGCAGCTCTTATTTGTAAAGCTGCCTCTTGCTTATACTTGCAAAGAATTTTACCACTCATTTGAATGTACTTTCAACATATGTTGTAATCTCAAGCTTACCACCTTTATTAATGACATTCCATTTTAACTTGTCATCTTTTTGGTATTATATAAGCAAATCTCCTAATCTCATCAGTGATGCATACCTGAGTTTAATTCCAAAAAGTCTTTTTGAAGTCTTTTCCGTGGTATAGGTAAGGTGTTTTTCTTTCTGTCTTAGGAAGACTTTTCTTCTCTGGGACATTTTCCCTCAACTATTTCCTTTCCTATTAGTCATACTTTTTGTAATCTGTTCTACTTGGAGCCATGCAATTATGACTGTATGAATTATATAAATTAATTATAAGGTGGTTTTATGTAGTTTAAACCAGTTATGGTGGTAAATTTCGTGTTGATTGGTACAAGTTTATTTTTTTTTAAATATACCACTGGGCTAATACTGCACAGTAAACTGATTTTGTAATGTTTTAGTCTCATATTTACTTATTCCTTCTGATCACATGCGGTAGACATTTATGTATGTTCATTTATATATTTTTTTTTCTTTTTTTTCTTTTCTTTTTTTTTTTTTTTTTTTTTTTTTTTTTTTGAGACAGAGTCTCACTCTTGCCCAGGCCGGAATGCAGTGGTGTGATTTCAGCTCACTGCAATCTCCACCTCCCAGGTTCAAGTGATTCTCCTGCCTCAGCACAAGTAGCTGGGACTACAGGCGTGCATCACCATGCCTGGCTAATTTTTTTTGTATTTTTATTAGAAATGAGATTTCACCATGTTGGCCAAGATGGTCTCGAACTCCTGACCTCAAGTGATCTACCTCCCTCTGCCTTCCAAAGTGCTGGGATTATAGTCATGAGCCACTGTGCCCGGCCTTGTGTTTGTTTCTTTTTAGTCTGTTTTTAATAGCTTTCCCCTTATCTCTTTAAAAAAAAATGTTTTAAGTTAGCAAGGTATAGTAGATTTTATTTATTATTATTATTATTATTTTATCTTTTGAGACAGAGACTCTGTCACTCAGGCTGGAGTGCAGCAGTGTGATCTTGGCTCACTACAACCTCTGCCCTCAGGGTTCAAGCAATTCTCCTGCCTCAGCTTCCCAAGTAGCTGGGACTACAGGTGTGTGCCACCATACCCAGCTAATTTTTGTATTTTTAATAGAGATGGGGTTTTGCCATGTTGGCCAGGCTGGTCCCGAACTCTTGACCTCAAGTGATCCACCTGCCTCGGGCTCCCAAAGTGCTGGGATTACAGACGTGAGCTGCCGTGCCCAGCTAGGTTTGTTTTTAATTTAAAGGGCAGTATTTTTATCTGCTGTTACCTAGTTACCATTCATTCATGATTCCTTTTTTCCCTCAGGACTGATTTACTGCTGTTTTGGATCCTTTTTTTTTTTTTTTTTTACAGGTAATGTGGAACACAGCTGTCCACTCTGAATTCATGCATGATCATGCTGATTATGGCTTTCCAAGTTGTGAGGGTAAATTCAATTGGCGGTAAGTGTCAACACTCAGAGGGTTCAGTTTCCAAGTGTAGATATTTTTCTTTTATAACTGAGCCATAAACTTTTTTAGGGATGGAGGAGGAATTGCGGTAAATATTCACAATACGAGATTTACAGTTTAGCCATTTTTAAGTATACAATTGAGTGCCATTAAGCGCATTCACATTGTTATACAGTCGTCACCACTATTACCACTTCCAGAACTTTTCTGCTATCCCAAACAGAAACTATTCTATTAAACAATAACCCCTCATTCTCTTCTCCCCCTGGCCCCTGGGAACCTCTATTCTGCTTTCTGTCTCTATGAATTTGCCAATTCTAGGGAACTCATATAAGTGGAATCATACAATATTTGTTCCTTTATGTCTAGTGTATTTTGTTTTCACGGTTTGTCCATGTTGTAGTATGTATCAGAACCTCATTCCTTTTTGTTTGTTTGTTAAGACAGGGTCTTGCTCTGTTGTCCACGCTGGAGTGCAGTGGTGCAATCATAGCTCACTGCTATCTTGAGCTCCTGGGCTCAAGCTATCCTCCCACTTCAGCCTCCTGAGTAGCTGGGACTACAGGCACGTGCCACCATGCCTGCCTATTTTTTTTAATTTTTGTTTTTAGTAGAGATGAGGTCTCACTGTGGTGCCCAGGCTAGTCTTGAACTCCTGAGCTGAAGTGATCCTCCCGCCTCAGCCTCCCAATGTGCTGGGATTACAAGTGTGAGCCACTGTGCCCAGCCTTCATTCCTTTTAAAGGCAGAATAAGATTTCTTCATATGGATAAAACCACATTTTGTTTATCCATTCATTTGTTAGTGAATTTTTGGGTTGTTTTTACCTTTTTTTTTTTTTTTTTTGAGACGGAGTCTCACTCTGTCACCCAGGCTGGAGTGCAGTGGTGCGATCTCGGCTCACTGCACGCTCCGCCTACCGGGTTCACGCCATTCTCCTGCCTCAGCCTCCTGAGTAGCTGGGACTACAGGCACCCACCAGCATGCCTGGGTAATTTTTTGTATTTTTTTTAGTAGAGACGGGATTTCACTGTGTTAGCCAGAATGATCTCGATCTTCTGACCTCGTGATCCGCCCACCTCAGCCTCCCAAAGTGCTGGGATTACAGGCGTGAGCCACCGCGCCCGGCCTGTTTTTACCTTTTGGTTATTGTGAACAATGCTGCTATGAACATTCGTATATGGGTATCTGTTCAGGTCTCTGCTTCCAGTTTCTTTTGGGTCTGTACTTAGAAGTGAAATTGCCGAATCGTATGGTAGTTTTGTGTTTAACTATTTAAGGAACTGCTGTAAATCCTTTGAAGCCATTAACAGTTTTGAAGAAATTTAGCAAATTTATTTATTTAGCAAGTGTTTATTAAGTGCCCACCACGTCCTGTGCACATCATGTTCTAGGCACTTTGCCAAAACATTTCTCCTTGTCTTCTGCGCAGAAAGATGATGCCAACTGAGTGTGTTCTCCACTGAGTGGCACAGAGGCTTTTAACACATGGGGCAGCAGAATGACACAGGGAAGGGATGACTGTCTTCGGAGACATTCACTCACTGCGGTTGCTGTTGACAGTCAGTGATTCTCTGCTCGGGGTGTTCAGGGACAGATGCCTTAGTTACTAACTAGAAGGGGAAGATCCTGTTTCTGAATACTGACTTGGGTTTCATTGCAGTGTTATTAAGGAAAAGCGGGATGCCTATGTGAGCCGCCTGAATGCCATCTATCAAAACAATCTCACCAAGGTGTGTATGCTGGGTTTTTAACTTTGAGAAAGAGCTGTTCCCTTCTTGAGTACTCAGCTAAGTCTTGCCAGACTGTAGCCCTATTTATTTATTTATTTTTATTATTATTTTTTTGGAGACAGGGTCTCGCTCTGTCGCCCAGGCTGGAGTGCAGGGGCGCAATCTCGGCTCACTGCAACCTCCGCCTCCTGAGTTCAAGCAATTCTCCTGCCTCAGCCTCCTGAGTAGCTGGGACTACAGGCGTGTGCCACCACACCCATCGAATTTTTGTATTTTTTTAGTAGAAACAGGGTTTCACCATGTTGGCCAGGCTGGTCTCGAACTCCTGACCTCAGGTGATCTGCCCACCTTGTCCTCTCAAAGTGCTGAGATTACAGGCATGAGCCACTGCACCCGGCCCTATTTTATTTTTAACGACCAGGTCTCTATCTGTCGCCAGGCTGGAGTACGGTGGTGCAATGATAGCTCACTGTAGCCTCCAAGTCCTGGGCTCAAGCAGTCCTCCCACCTCAGTCTCCTTAGTAACTAGGACTGTAGGCATGCACCACCACACCTGGCTAATTTTTAAAATATTTTGTAGAGATTTCTCACTGTGTTGCCTAGGCTGGTCTTTAAACTCCTGCCTTAGCCTCCCAAAGTGTTGGGATTATAGAGATGAGCCACTGTGCCTGGCCTCTTACTTTTTCTATTATTGAAATTGACCTGTCAGAGCAGAAGCCTCTGACCTAGATGGCCAGTCTCTTCTGCAGAGAGAGGGTGGCATGTGCCAGAGCTGGCAGACCAGGCCTCACCTAATGGCTGCACCTTGAGTAGGTCTGGCCTGGCAATTAGATTCAGAAGTCACATACGAGAGACTTTGTGCACCAGTATACCAGTTTATTAATTAAAATGAGGAGTGCTATCTAGCTGAAAACCTGCCATTGTGTGTTTGTTTGTTTTTTGAGACAGAGTTTCTCTATTCACCCAGGCTGGAATGCACAATCTCAGCTCAGTGCAACCTCTGCCTCCCGCCAGGTTCAAGCAATTCTCCTGCCTCAGCCTCCCAAGCAGCTGGGATTAGAGGTGTGCACCACCACGCCTGGGTAATTTTTGTATTTTTACTAGAAACGGGATTTCACCATGTTGGCCAGGGGTCTCGAACTCCTGACCTCAAGTGATTTGCCCACCTCGGCCTCCCAAAGTGCTGAGATTATAGGCGTGAGCTACCGCACCTGGCCAAACCTACCATTGTTTATTTGCCTAGAGTAAGACCTCCTTAAGAGACCAAATTAGGATTCAGAAGGTTGTTTTTATGAATGACATCTGATCAAGAAAACTGGGCAGAGGTGTGTTTGCCTCCAGCAACTGTATGTCATCCTTCACTATCCTGATGCTTTTCCCCCATAGTGCTGGGATGTCACACCTTTCCCACCAGGACCATGTAGGTGACATTGACAACCTGTGCATCACTTAACTCTCCTTTTCCTTGACAATATCTTCCCGCCACCCTTCATTTGTCTTTGTGGTCTCACTTTGCTGTTTCTAAGATTTCTTACGGTTGTTTGTTTGTTTGTTTGTTTGTTTATTTGTGAAACAGAATCTTGCTCTGTCGCCCAGGCTGGAATGCAGTGATGTGATCTCGGCTCACTGCGACCTCTGCCTCCCAGGTTCAAGCAATTCTTGTGCCTCAGCCTCCCGAGTAGCTGGGACTACAGGCACGTGCCCCCACACCTGCCTAATTTTTTTTGTATTTTTAGTAGAGATAGGGTTTCACCATGTTGGCCAGGCTGGTCTTGAACTCCTAGCCTGAAGTGATCTGCCTGCCTCAGCCTCCCAAAGTGCTGGGATTACAGGGGTGAACAACCACTCCTGGCCCTCTTAGGTTATATTTAGATCAGTAACTTTTTTTTTTTTTTTTGAAAAGGGTCTTACTCTGTCACCCAGGCTGAAGTGCAGTGGCATGATCTCAGCTCACTACAGCCTCGACCTCCCAGGCTCAAGTGATCCTCCTGCTTTGGCCTTCCAACATGCTGGGATTACAGGCATCAGCCACTACACCTGGCTTAGATCAGTAGATTCTTGATGATAATTAGGCCACTGTGATCTCAGTAGCAGCATATTTATAAACCAATTTTTAGGACGAGTTACTTCATACATAGCTAACTGTGTACAGTTTTATATTCTTATTCATTGGGTTTATTTTTTGGAGGGTGAATTTTCCAACCTTAATCCTCAATCCAGGGGGAAAAATATTTAAAGGCCTGCAGTCCTTAAGCACAGGAGATTTTAAGGCTGAGTATAGAGTAACACTGGCAGTACTAAAACACACCAAGTTTTTTATTTTTATTTTTTATTTTTTTGAAGTCAGGATCTCACTCTCTTGAGCAGACTGGAGGGCACTGTCGTGATCACAGCTCACTGCAGCCTTAACCTCCCAGGCTCAAGCAATCCTCCCACCTCAGCCCCCTGAGTAGCTTGGGCTATAAGCACTGTCCCACCACACCCTACTACTTTTAAAAAACGTTTGTAGAGGCCGGGCGCGGTGGCTCACACCTGTAATCCCAGTACTTTGGGAGGCCGAAGCGAGTGGATCATGAGGTCAGGAGATTGAGACCATCCTGGCTAACACGGTGAAACCCCAGCCCTACTAAAAAATACAAAAATTGACCAGGTGTGGTGGCGGGCGCCTGTATTCCCAGCTATTTGGAAGGCTGAGGCAGGAGAATGGCGTGAACCCTGGAGGCGGAGCTTGCAGTGAGCTGAGATCACACCACTGCACTCCAGCCTGGGCAAAAATGCAAGACTCTGTCTCAAAAAAAAAAATTTTTTTGTAGAGATGAGGTCTTGCTATGTTGCCCACGCTGATCTTGAACTCCTGGACTCAAGCAACCCTTCTGCCTTGTCCTCCCAAAATATGGGAATTATAGGCATAAACCACTGCATCTGGCCTTTTTTTTTTTTAATGGAGCTGACTGAAATACTTTTGCAAAAGAGGTAGGAAAATTATTCAGGAACCAGCATTTTGTAATACTTAGAAATCTTGGTGTGTACTATAGCTTATGGTGATCTTATGGGGAAGGAATTACCTATAGTTGACCCAGAAATTCTATATTGCAAAGGAAACTTTCTATCTAATATCCTGGAAACTGAAAGTAAAAATCTCACTGCTTCCTCCTCTGAACTAGTGTCTGTCCTATCGCCACGCGAGCCATACTCCTTTTTGTCTAGCATTGCAGATGAAGTCATTAAGACCTGAGGGAATGGTGTTCTGGAGGCCTGTGGATTTTGTCTTTGACCTTGATTCAGCTTGATTAAGCCTGGCACCTGCAGGAACAGGCCTGGAGGGTGCAGGGAAAGAAGAAGATAACTCAATTCAGAATCAAGCACGTTCCAATATGTTAAAGCATTCCACTTTGTAATCATGCTTACATGGTTCCATTATTCTTGTAAGTTGACCACATTTGCATGCCCCTGCATGTATCATGGCTGGCGAAAGCGTGCCAGCAGCCCCTAAGTGAAGGCCTGGGTACAGAGGATTCCAGTAAGAGCAAATCCAAAAGTAAGAGTCTGAGTTCTCACCGTCTCCAGCGTAGAACTTCAGTGTCATGTACTTTTGTGGTATTCTTCCCATTTTACGAAAGCACAAGCATTGCGTTTCCCTCCCTTGGCCAGAGTATTCCTCTCTTGCTCTTGCCTCTGTTCATTTCACCATTATCCTGTTGTCTTTCTTAGCCTTCTGCCTCTCCTCCAGACACACCAGTCTTTTTGAGAGAGGGTCTTGTCTCTGTCGCCCAGGATGGAGTGCAGTGGCGTAATCTCGGCTCACTGCAACCTCTGCCTCCCAGGTTCAAGGAATTCTCGTGCCTCAGCCTCCTGAGCAGCTGGGATTACAGGTGCCCGCCACCACTTCTGGCTAATTTTTATATTTTTAGTAGAGATGGGGTTTCTCCATGTTGGTCAGGCTGGTCTCGAACTCCCGACCTCAGGTGATCTGCCTGCCTCGGCCTTCCAAAGTGCTGGAATTACAGATGTGAGCCACCATGCCCAGGCCAGACACACCATTCTGTAATGTGATTACATTGCACATAAGGAACTTTCGCCCTCAATTCTTGGGGGCAAAGATGTCATCTTTCTTACGGGGGTGCCTTGCATATACTTTTTTGTCTCTGGGTTTTGGCCCAAGTTAGCACTTTTATTTCTTCTTCTTTTTCCTCCTTCTTCCTTCTTTCTTCTTTCCTTCCTTCTTCTAACTTCTTTCTTTCTTCCTCCTCCTCCTCCCTCTTCTCCTCCTCCTCCTTCTTCCTTCCCCTGCTCCCCTTCCCTCCTTCCTTCTTCTTCTTTCTCCTCCTCCTCCCCCTCACTTTGTCATCCAGGCTGGAGTGCAGTGGTGCCATCTCAGCTCACTGCAGCCTCAACCTCCCAGATTCAAGCAATCCTCCTGCCTCAGCCCCTCAAAGAGCTGGGACTACAGGTGTGCAGCACCATGCATGGCTAATTTTTGTATTTTTAGTAGAGACTGGGTTTTGACATGTTTCCCAGGCTGGTCTCGAACTCCTGAGCTCAAGCTATCCACCCACCTCTGCCTCCCAAAGTGCTAGGATTACAGGTGTAAGCCACCTGTGCCCAGCCTATTTCATCTTACTGTATACTTCCGGCAACTAATGGCAACCCCTTTCCTAAGTATAGGTTGCCAGTTAGAAGTTCTACAGAAACTTGAAAAACGGAGAATTGTGTTGGCATCAGCAAACCAAGAATCAAAATGTTCAGTAGAGAAATGAAAGTTCTGATAAGTTGCAGTAGGTGTCTTTGTTTTTATTCTAAGAACAGGCTAATGTCATGGTTCCTTCTTTAGTCCCATATAGAAATCATCCGTGGCCATGCAGCCTTCACGAGTGATCCCAAGCCCACAATAGAGGTCAGTGGGAAAAAGTACACCGCCCCACACATCCTGATCGCCACAGGTGGTATGCCCTCCACCCCTCATGAGAGCCAGATCCCCGGTGAGTCATACAACAGGTACTCATTAACAGCAGTCAGGAGTTTACTGTTGCTTTCAACCTGAAAAGCCATGCCAGGGGATCTGCCTAAACCAGTTCTCTCTTTGGAGCCAGGCCATGGGAGAAGGTCTCTGCAGAACCTAACTCCAGTTGGCTTAGTGGTAGCTAGTGATGCAGTCGCCCAGGCTGGAGTGCAGTGGCACGATCTTGGCTCACTGCTACCTCCGCCTCCTGGGTTCAAGTGATTCTCCTGCCTCAGCCTCCCAAGTAGCTGGGACTACAGGCATGCCACCACCACACTTGGCTAGTTTTGGTATTTTTAGTAGAGATGGGGTTTCATCATATTGGCCAGGCTGGTCTTGAACTCTTGACCTCAGGTGATCCACCCACCTTGGCCTCCCAAAGTGCTGGGATTGCAGGCCACCGTGCCCAGCCAAGAGATTTCATTTGGCCCCAGGCTCAGACATATTGCAGGTAACAGAGGGAGAGAAATCAATGAAAGCCTCATTCTTTCCTTCTTAGCTTAGCATACATTGTTTCCAGCCTCAGTTTGTCAGACGGGTTGTTATTTACAAGACACGTGATAATTTATTGTTTTGTTCAAGAGAGAGAAATCTTGTAAGGATGTAGCTTGAGTAGCTAAGTGAGCTTTTATATGCATATTTTTCTCTTTTAAGTAGAGACTTATAGAAGATTAAAGCTGTAAGGAATCTCAGAGATGGTCATAACTTCTTTTGCATTTTATTTTATTATTTATTTATTTATTTATTTATTTAGAGACAGAGTCTGGCTCTGTCACCCAGGCTGGAGTGCAGTGGCACAACCTCAGCTCACTGCAACCTCCACCTCCTGGGTTCAAGCGATTTTCCTGCCTCAGACTCCCGAGTAGCTGGGATTACAGGTGTCCGCCACCACGCCCAGCTAATTATGTACTTTAGTAGAGACAGAGTTTCACCATGTTGGTCACATGGGCCCACCTCGGCCTCCCAAAGTGCTGGGATTACAGGCGTGAGCCACTGTGCCCGGCCTATTATTTTATTTTATATTATTTTATTTTTTTGAGACAGGGTCTTGCTCTGTTGTCCAGGCTGGAGTGCAGTGGTGTGATCACAGCTCACTAAGGCCTTGACCAGGACGTTTAGATGGGAGATGGCTCAAGCGATATCTTTCTTTTTTCCCAGCTAGATTATAAGGACTTTGTGGATGGTGAACATAGTTTATACATCTTTTGAATTTTCCATGGATTAGCTTCATAAGATCCATTATCAAGGTGAATTTTTTTTTTTTTTTTTTTTTTTTTTGTGAGACAGATTCTTGCTCTGCCACCCAGGCTGGAGTGCAGTGGCGCAATCTCCACTCACTGGAACCTCTGCCTCCCGGGTTTAAGCAATTCTCCTGCCTCAGCCTCCTTAGTAGCTGGTACTACAGGCACATACCACCATGTCCAGCTAATTTTTTTTGTATTTTTAGTGGAGGTGGGGTTTTGCCACGTTGTCCAGGCCAGTCTCAAACTCCTGACCTCAGTTGATCTGCCCACCTTGGCCTCCCAAAGTGCTGGGATTACAGGTGTGAGCCACTGCACCCGGCCAAAATGCAACATATATATTTTTTTGTTTGTTTGTTTGTTCAGAGACAGAGTTTTGCTTTTGTCACCCAGGCTGGAGTGCAATGGGAGGATCTTGGCTCACTGCAACCTCTGCCTCCTGTGTTCAAGCAATTCTCCTGCCCCAGCCTCCTGAGTAGCAGGGATTACAGGCATGCGCCACCACACTCAGCTAATTTTTGTATTTTTAGTAGAGACGGGGTTTCACCATGTTGGCCAGGCTAGTCTCGAACATTTGACCTCAGGCGATCTGCCTGTCTTAGTCTCCCAAAGTGCTGGGATTATAGGTGTGAGCCACTGCACCTGGCCTAATATATTTAATAACTGATGAGAAATGAGGGTAGGGGGGCTACAGAGAGAAGGAATCAGCAGTTGACAACTGAAGGCTTTGTCTGCATTATTGGGAGCAGGTGGTAACTGAAGTGGTAAACTTGAGAGAGATATGGGTTGGAAGATAAAATTAAGGTTCAGTTCTAAATAGACTAAGTTTGAAGCCAATGTAAAATTGTGTGGCGAGATAGTTAGAAACATGGAACTGCAACCTGGGGAGAAGGTCAAACCTGGAAGAATGCATCTGGAAGTCCTGCAAGATAGGACCTGCTATCCTATATCCAAAGGTTTCAATCTCCTTTTCACTACATGTATATTTCACTATATAGGTTGTACCTCTTGTAATTCAATGTGTACACCATATAGGTTGAAACCTTTGAAAGAATAAGCAGAGAGGAAAGGGCCACGTCGATTTTTTTTTTTTTTTTTTTTTTTTTTTGGAGACAAAATCTTGCTCTGTTCCCAGGCTGGAGTGCAGTGGCACGATCTCGGCTCACTGCAACCTCCACCTCCCAGGTTCAAGTGATTCTCCTGCCTCAGCCTCCCAAGTAGCTGGGACTATAGGTGCGTGCCACCATGCCCAGCTAATTTTTGTATTTTTAGTAGAGACAGGGTTTCACCACGTTGGCCAGGCCACATAGATTTTGAACTACATAGAAATTTGTCTTTTCAGGCAGGAACGGTGTCTCACACCTGTAATGAGCTGAGCCCCAGGGTTCCTACCTGCCCTTGGGGTGGGAGGGTGAACAGATCCAACAGAGTCTGTTCATGACCACTGAGATCTTCATTCTTCAGAGAAATGTAAAAGTTATTTAGCCATCATGGCTTCTGTTTCTAGAGAGAAAATAAAAATGTTAACTCAGGGAGGATTTGGTTGGCAGCTTTCCAAGCAGAGACTTTAACAAAACTTGTCAAAACGGAGACTATGTTGGCTGTGAAAGTGTTTGGTTTTTGGCATAAAATGTTGTGATTACTTTGCAAGAGAAAGAGCAGTCTTGTGTGATCTATGTTGCCTTTTTCTACATAGGTGCCAGCTTAGGAATAACCAGCGATGGATTTTTTCAGCTGGAAGAATTGCCCGGGTAAGCCAACCTGACCTGACCTCAGTGACTCATTCTTCCTTACTGTCTCCTGGTAACTTTTCTTCGTCTTCTCCTCCCAAGCATTTAATGTAGGCCTTTCCTGAATTCCCTCCTCTTACAGCTTCTCTTTTCATGACCTTGTATATCTCATTCCTAGAACTCCTCAGTAGATCCCTCAAATCTTTCATGCTTTCAATCAGAGGCCAAAGTCAAATGCAGGGTAATTTGAAGACTGCATAGCAAAGTCCTAAAACTGTCTTCTTTCTTCAACTTAATACAGCATCAATTAAGAATGTGTCTAAAGTAGCTTGTATTTTAGAATAGAATAGCTGGTTTTGGCCAGATGTGGTGGCTCATGGCTGTAATCCTAGCACTTTGGGAGGCTGAAGCGGGCAGATCACCTGAGGTCAGGAGCTCGAGACCAGCCTGGCCAACATGGTGAAACCCTGTCTCTACTAAAACTATGGAAATTAGCTGGGTGTGGTGGTGTGGGCCTGTAGTCTCAGCTACTCGGGAAGCTGAGGCAGGAGAATCACTTGAATTCTCAAGGCGGAGTTGCAGTGAGACAAGATCACACCAAGAAAGAAAGAAAGAGAGAGAGAGTGCCACCACGCCCCGCTAATTTTGTATTTTTAGTAGAGGTGGGTTTTCTCCATGTTGGTCAGGCTGGTCTCAAACTCCTGACCTCAGGTGATCCGCCCGCCTCAGCCTCCCAAAGTGCTGGAATTACAGATGTGAGCCACCACACCTGGCCAGATTTTCTTTTAATGAACAAACATTTTTTTTTTTAGAGACAGGGTCTTCTTCCATCGCCCAGGCAGGAGTGCAGTGGTGCCATCATGGCTTGTGGTAGCCTTGAGCTCTTGGGCTCAAGCAATCCTTTCACCTCAGCCTCCCGAGTAGCTGGGACTACAAACGTGCACCACCATACCTGGTTAACTTTTTAATTTAAATTTTTGTAGAGATGGGGTCTCGTTCTGTTGTCCAGGCTGGTCTAGAATTCCTGGCCTCAAGCAATCCTCCCACCTTGGCCTCTCAAAGCAGTAGGAATACAAGCATGGGCCACCGTGCTGAATGGATTTAGATTCATAGAGGGGCAAAAAGATCATGAGGAAGTTTGTTTCTCTGATTTGAAGTTGCTGTACATTGCAGGCTTTCTAGTTTAGAGGGATGCTCCTGTCACTTGTGAGAAGAGGTGATGCCTGGAAACAGGTGGAGGGACCCAATGTGTTGGCGCAGGGACTGGCCTTCATTCATCTTCTGAGTGGCACTCACTGTGGAGTTTGCATTGCTCAACTCTTCTGCTCCCTCAGGGGCTGTGCTAATCCAGTTTGAGGTCCTAATCCTATGCTTTTAGAAGGGCTTTTAGGGAGAGTGACTCATAGTCCATGAGCCTATCTTCACTTTGATTCACCCAGAGTCATGGACAGTTCAGACAGCACGAGGCAGTTCAGAAAGGACCAGGGAGCTGCTTTGCAGTTCCATAGGATGGTGAAAATGTCCCTTGAAGATACCTCAGACCAGGCAGGCTTCTGACTTGGAGGAGTTCTAAGAAAACCATACAATCTTTTTTGGTTTGCTATCAGGTCGCAGAAATGTGTTAGAGAACAGCCTTCCTTCCCTGTGATCCACCCTGCATTGTTTGATTTTAGGGTTGAGTGACATGACATATGTGAGGATGTAGTGAGACATACAGTCATGACTCATTATGTTTGGATAATGTAATTTCATTCCGGACTCACCCTCAAAGAAGTTTCATTATAAATAGCTGTTCATTAGCAATTTTAAATATTTACATTTATGCATGTCATCAACAAAAGGCTCTGAAACACAAGAAAATGAATTTACGATTGATACGTGATTCTTCAAGTCTACTTTATCTTTGTTACGGTGTTGGTGAATAAGTAATAACTGGGCAAGTACATAAATAATGTAGGGAAGATAGCATGATTTAGTTTTTGCACTGAGGGGGCTTCTGTTTGGATGGAGCATGAACCTTGTGGAATACTGTGCATGAGTAGTCCTGGGGCTGCAACGAGGTAAAGAGAAATCTTTTAGGGATTCAGCCGCCTGAAAGATCAGTTCCAGAAGCCAGGCACAGTGGCTTATGCCTGTAATCTCAGCACTTTGGGAGGCCTGAGGCGAGCGAATTTCTTGAGCCCAGGAGTTTGAAACCAGCCTAGGCAACACAGCACAACCCGATCTCTGCAAAAAAAATACAAAAATTAGCTGGGTGTGTTGGCACATGCTGGTAGTCTTGGCTACTTGGGAGGCTCAGGCCGGAGGATCACTTGAGCCTAGGAGTTCGAGACCAGCCTGGGCAACATAGGGAGATATTGTCTCTGCACAGAGTTTTTTCCTCTCTGAAGAAATGAGGCTAAAGAGCTTTAAAAACAATGAAAAATACATTTCCCTTCTGTGACGGGATATTAGGGATTTTTCTTTTCTTTTGAGATAGGGTCTTTTGCTCTGTCACCCAGGCTGGACTGCAGTGGTATAGTCATAGCTCACTGCAGCCTCCACCTCCCAGACACAAGTTATCCTCCTGCCTCAGCCTCTCAAGTAACTGGGACCACAGACATGGACCATCATACTTGGATAATTTTTATTTTTACTTTTAGGGGTTTTTTGTTTGTTTGTTTGTTTGTTTGTTTGTTTTGTTTTTTTGAGACAGAGTCTCGCTCTGTTTCCCAGGCTGGAGTGCATTGGTGCAATCTTGGCTTACTGCATCCTCTGCCTCCTAAGGGCAAGCGATTCTCCTGCCTCAGCCTCCCGAGTAGCTGGGATTACAGGCACACACCACTGCACCTGGCTAACTTTTTGTATTTTTAGTAGAGACGGGGTTCACCATGTTGGCCAGATTGGTCTCGAACTCCTGACCAGGTGATCCACCCACCTCAGCCTCCCAAAGTGCTAGGATTATGGGCATGAGCCACCGTGCCTGGCCTTACTTTTATGTTTTTGTAGAGATGGGGTCTCACTTTATTGCCCAGGCTCAAAGGAATATTTTCTACTTAAAGTTGCAGTGGTATCCAGGATTGGATCTTGGAACAGAAAAAAAAAAAGATTAATAGAAAAACTGGGCTAGGCAAGGTAGCTTACACCTGTAATGCCGGCACTTTGGGAGGCCAAGGTAAGAGCATTGCTTGAGCCCAGGAGCTAAGACTAGCCTGGGCTAACATGGTGAGACTCTGTCTCTACAAAAGAAAATATAAAACTTAGCTGGGTGTGGCGATGAATGTCTGTAGTCCCAGCTACTCAGGAGGCTGAGGCTGGAGGATGGCTTGAGTCCTGGAGGTTGAGGCTGCAGTGAGCCGTGTTCACACCACTACACTCCAGCCTGGGTGACAGAGACCCTGTCTCAAAAAAAAGGGAAAAAGTGAAAATCTGCAGTCTAGGGTTTAGTCATTAGTAATGTACCAATGTCAATTTCTTATTTTGACAAAGGTATCCTAATTAAGTAAAATATTAACTTTAGGGAAAACTGATCAAGGGGTATAATAAGGGAAATCTCTGTACTATCTCTGCAACTTTTCTGTAAACGTGAAATTATTCCAAAATTAGTTTATTTAAGAATACTAACCCTCTGCTCGCGTCTCAGCCGCAGCGTCATTGTTGGTGCAGGTTACATTGCTGTGGAGATGGCAGGGATCCTGTCAGCCCTGGGTTCTAAGACATCACTGATGATACGGCATGATAAGGTAAATGCCACCTTTTTCTTTTCGCTTTTCTTGATGTTAATTTAAAAAATGAAGAATTTTTTCTTATGTTGTCGTTAAATACTAGGGTGCAAAGCAGGTGTGGGGGTCATTTGGTTGGTTTCATATGGTGCTGTATCCAAGTTACCTGAATTTGGCCTATATCCCTCCCAGTTGCTGGTTGATGATGATAATTTTGAGTTGGTCAAATTGGCTGGTAATTTCATCACTAAGTGGTAGATAGTCATGAGATGCCCTCATAGGGAGACGTGGGGCCTAAACATAACTATTAGCTAAATTAAACAGACTGTTAGGTTAATTTATTTTTTTATTTTTATTTTTTGAGACAGAGTCTCACTCTTTTGTCCAGGCTGGAGTGCAGTGGCACCATCTCGGCTCACTGCAACCTCTGCCTCCTGGGCTCAAGCGAGTCTCATGCCTCAGCCTCCCAAGTAGCTGGGATTACAGGTATCCACCACCATGCCCAACTAATTTTTGTATTTTTAGTAGAGATGGGGTTTCACCATGTTGGCCAGGCTGGTCTCGAACTCCCTACCTCAGGTGATCCACCCACCTCGACCTCCCAAAGTGCTGGGATTACAGGTGTGAGCCACCAAGCCCCGCCAGGTTAATTTATTAATTTCTGGAAATCAATTTTATATGATCAAGTAATGTTAGATTGTTACCACTCATTCTAAACAATTTACTAAATTCTTTGCATTAAAGCAGGGGTGTCCAATCTTTTGGCTTCCCTGAGCCACACTGGAAGGAGTAGAATTGTCTTGGACTACACATAAAATACACTAACACAAACAATAGCTGATGAGCTAATAAAAAAATAAATTGCAGACTGGGCACAGTGGCTCACGCCTCTAATTCCCAGCACTTTGGGAGGCTGAGGCGGGCGGATCACTTGAGGTCAGGAGTTGGAGACCAGCCTGGCCAACATGGTGAAACCCCATCTCTACTAAAAATCCAAAAATTATCCAGGCATGGTGGCAGGCAACTAATCACAGCTACACGGGAGGCTGAGGCATAAGAATCGCCTGAACCCAAGAGGCAGAGGTTGCAGAGAGCCAAGATTGCACCACTGCACTCCAGCCTGGGCAACAGAGCAAGACTCTGTCTCAAAACAAAAAACAAAACAAAACAAAAAAACTGCAAAAAAATCTCATAGCATTTTAAGAAAGTGTACAAATTTGTGTTGGGCCACATTCAAAGTCATCCTGGTCCGCACACGGCCTGCAGGCTGCAGGTCGAACGAGCTTACATTAAAGGGAATCTTGTAGATCATACACTTGAAATTTTTTTTTTTTTTAAGAGACAGAGTCTTGCTATGTTACCCAGTCTGCAGTACAGTGGCATGATCATAGCTCACTGCAGCCTTCTGAGCTCATAGGATTTTCCTGCCTCAGCCTTCCAAGTAGCTGAGGCTACAGGTGTGGGCCACCATGCCCTGACTAATTTTTTTTTTTTTTTTTTTTTGAGACAGAGTCTCACTGTGTTGCCCAGGCTAGAGTGCGGTGGCACATCATGGCTCATTGCAGCCTCAACCTTCTGGGCTCAAGCGATCTTCCCACCCCAGCCTCCCAAATAGCCAGGACTACAGGAACATGCCACCACACCCAGTGAGGTTTCACCATGTTGCCCAGGCTGGTCTCAAACTCCTGAGCTCAAGTGATCCGCCCACCTCGGCCTCCCAAAGTGCTTGGGATTACAGGCATGCGCCACCTGACTACTTTTTATATATTTTTAGAGATGAGGTCTTACTATGTTGCCCAGGCTGGTCTCGAACTCCTGGCCTCAAGCTATCCTCCTGCCTCAGCCTCCCAAGTAGCAGGTGGAGTTCAAGACCAACCTGGGCAACATAGTGAGACCCCCATCTCTACTACAAAAAATTAAAAAATTAGCAAGGTGTAGTGGTATACGCCTGTAGTTGCAGCTACTTGGGAGGCTGAGGTAGGAGAATCACTTGAATCCAGGAGGTCAAGGCTGCAGTGAGCAAAGATTGTGCCACTGCACTCTAGCCTGGGCAGCTGACTGTCCCTAACAAACTTGTGACTTAGGCAAGCCACATAATGCCTTTGGGGCCTAGTTCTGCAGGGACAGAATTTATCAGATCCCTGACTACCAAGATGCTATGATTCTAATTCTTATGTGAGCAGATGGAGGGAGACAGGGATTCTGAGAATCCTAGGCAGTATGTACTTTAAGGAACTTTCTCTGTGGCTTTGAAACTGGTTATATAATTAGCTCCAGGAGATTGAGGTCCTGAATAATATTTTTTCATAGGTAAGTATTATTTTGCTAGAATATATCCAGCAAATTAGAAGGATGGGGAAAGGTAGAGGAGTTCCTAGCTTGAATTTATATATAGATAAGTAAATAAACTGCAGCAGTCTGTCAATAAAGGGGGTAATTCTTGCATCTGTAAAATTGGCTACTTTGCAGAGAGCCACATCTACTTGGGCTTCCTGCCCTCTCCCATCCCAAATGCACCAAGTTCATTCTCCCTTTTTTTCCCAGTGTTAACTCCATTTTAGAGCTACTCTGTGGGTGGGCATGGTGGCTCACACCTATAATCCCAGCACTTTGGGAGGCCTAGGTGGGCGGATCACCTGAGGTCAGGAGTTCGAGGCCAGCCTGGCCGACATGGCGAAACCCCGTCTCTACTAAAAATAGAAAAGTTAGCCAGGCATGGTGGTGGGCGCCTGTAATCCCAGCTCCTCGGGAGGATGAGGCGGGAGAATTGCTTGAATCCAGGAGGCGGAGGTTGCAGTGGGCTGAGATGGTACCACTGCACTCCAGCCTGGGTGGTAGAGCAAGACTCCCTCTCAAAAAAATAAAAATAAAAGAACTACTCTGTGAATAACTCATGACCTCCCACCTGAACTCCACATGTGGATGGTCACAGATATATCTCCAAGGCCATACTGTTGAGATTTATGGCTAGACAAGATTTTGCTAGTAAATCTTCCCTTCAATCATATCAGAGGGAAAGCAGACCTTGAGATACGAAAAGTGGAAAGAGAATTTCTGTTCCCTGGACTTAAGGAAAAGAGAAGCAAGCTTTGTGAGGAGAAGACAGTGGACAATGGCTGTCCATTTAACTGTAGGACAGGAGTTGGTGAAGTCATATGTATTGCAGATGGTGGTGGTGATGTAGGAAAATAGGGAATTTATTAATACTCCACTCCCAATATGGCCATAAGTAAGGAGGAAATAATTAGGGGAGAGATAATGCTGAAGTTTCCCTCCCAAGTTTGTGGTGTGTCTTTGCTCAAGTTTTCTTCCTCTCGCATTACCCATCCCTATGTTGATATGCAGGTACTTAGAAGTTTTGATTCAATGATCAGCACCAACTGCACGGAGGAGCTGGAGAACGCTGGCGTGGAGGTGCTGAAGTTCTCCCAGGTACAGTGCCAAGCCCAGGCATGCACGCGGCCCCCAGTCAATCACACTTTCTGCTTGTGGCTTCGCCCAGTTAGTTTAAAAACACAAACACTATGTCTACCCCGGTCCATATATTCCACCTCTAGGGTACTCCCTATTATTTCCTTCCTCCTAAGAAGCTGTATTTTAGCCAGGTGCGGTGGCTCACACTTGTAATCCCAGCACTTTGGGAGGCTGAGGTGGGCGGAACACTTGAAGTCAGGACTTCGAGAACAGCCTGGCCAACATGGTGAAACCCTCTCTCTATTAAAAATACAAAAATCAGCTGGGCGTGGTGGTGTGCACCTGTAATCCCAGCTACTCTGGAGGTTGAGGCAGGAGAATTGCTTGAACCCAGAAGGTGGAGGTTGCAGTGAGCCGAGATTGTGCCACTGCACTCCAGCCTGGGCGACAAGAGCGAGACTCCGTCTCAAAAAAAAAAAAAAAAAAAAAAAGTCTGGGTGTGGTGGCTCACACCTGTTATCCCAGCACTTTGGGAGGTCGAGGCAGGCGGATCACCTGAGGTTGGGAGTTTGAGACCAGCCTGACCAACATGGAGAAACTCCATCTCTACCAAAAATACAAAATTAGCTGGGCGTGGTGGCGCATGCCTGTAATTCCAGCTACTCGGGGCAGGAGCATCACTTGAACTCAGGAGGTGGAGGTTGTGGTGAGCTGAGATTGTGCCATTGCATTCCAGCCTGGGCAACAAGAGCGAGAGTCCATCTCAAAAAAAAAAAAAAAAAAAAAAAAAGCTGTATTTTACATTCAGCCTTGAAGTCAAGGGTAAAATATTAGAAATCTGGCAGTTGAATTTAGATGAACTTTGATTTTTTTTTTTTCTTTTTGAGACAGTGTCTCACTTTGTCACCCAGGCTGGAGTGCATTGGTGCAATCTCAGCTCACTGCAGCCTCAACCTCCTGGGCTCAAGCAATCCTTCCACCTCTGCCCCCACCAAGTAGCTGGGACTACAGGCACATGCCACCACGCCTGGCTAATTTTTTTGTATTTTTTGTAAAGATAGGGTTGAGCCATGTTGGCCAGGCTGGTCTTGAACTCCTGAGCTGAGACTATCTGCCCACCTTGGCCTCCCAAAGTGTAAGGATTACAGGTGTGACCCACCACACCCGGCCCCTGATTTTTTAAATTTGGATTTTAAAACTTTGATTTTTGTGCTCAGGTGTCTTATTACACATCCTTAATATTTTTAGATTTATATTTATTTTTTAGGAAATATTATGGAATCTAATTTTTATCTTTTTTTTTTTTGAGATAGAATTTCTCTCTGTTGCTCAGGCTGGAGTGCAGTGGTGCCATCTCGGCTCACTGCAACCTCTGCCTCCTAGATTCAAGGGATTCTCCTGCCTCAGCCTCCTGAGTAGCTGGGATTACAGTCACGCACCACCATGCCTGGCTAATTTTTGTATTTTCAGTAGAGACGGGGTTTCACCATTTTGGCCAGGCTGGTCTCCAACTCCTGACCTCAAGTGATCCGCTCACCTCAGCCTCCCAGGGTGCTGGGATTACAGGAGTGAGCTACTGTGCCCAGCCTATCTTTCTTGGGTTTTTTGGTTTGTTTGTTTTGTTTTGTTTTTGAGACAGGGTCTTGCTCTGTCACCCAGGCTGGAGTGCAGTGGCACAGTCACAGCTCACTGCAACCTCCACCTCCCAGGTTCAAGTGATTCTCCTGCCTCAGCTGGGAATATAGGCACCTGCCAACAAGCCCAACTAATTTTTGTATTTTGTTTTAGTACAGATGGGTTTCACCATGTTGGCAGGCTGGTCTTGAACTCCTGGTCTCAAGCGATCTGCCCACCTCACCCTCCCAAAGTGCTGGGATTACAGGCATGAGCCACCATGCCTGGCCTCTATCTTTCATTTTTAAAATTATTTTTCTTGACACAAGGTCTTGCTGTGTTGCCCAGGCTGTAGTGCAGTTCCATGATCATTGCTCACTGCAGTCTCCAACTCCTGGGCTCAAGCAATCCTCCCACCTAGCTTCTACAGGTGCATGCCACCATGCCTGGCTAATTAAAAAAAAAATTTTTGTAGACATGGAGTCTCACTATGTTGCCCAGGCTGTTCTCAAACTCATGAGCTCAAGTGATCCTCTAGCCTCGGCCTCCCAAAGTGTTGAGATTACAGGTGTGAGCCACCATGTCCAGCCTAGAATCTAATTTTAAATCATACCCTTTGAATTTTGTAGTTAGAAAGAATTACAAAGTGCTTTATTCCTCAAGCAATCACTTGAATTTCAGGCAGTATTTTCCTAGAGAATTAGCCTTTTAAAAATGATCTTCCCTTCCCCCACACAGCCTCACCTTTTCAGTATAGACCACATCAAATAAAATTGTGAATGTAAAAATGCTCGGCTGGTGGAGGAGGCTACCATCATAACCACCTTAGGACCTTCAGTAAACTATTTATTTTCTCCACTCTCCAAACCCAAGTCTTACTTTCCTTCATTCCAATTAAGAATATACAGAGATCCCAGGCACAGTGGCTCACACCTGTAATCCCAGCACTTGCAAGGCCAAGGCAGGAGGAGAATCAGTTGAGGCCATGAGTTAGAGACCAGCCTGGGCAACATAACAAGATGCCATCTCTATGAAAAATTTAAAAATTAGCCAGATGAGGTAGCACGTGCCTGTTGTCCTAGCTACCCAGGAGGCTGAAGTGGGAGGAGAGCTTGAGTCCAGGAGGCTGATCTTGCCACTGCACTCCAGCCTGGGCAACAGAGCAAGACCCTGTCTCTTAAAGAAAAATAAATAAATAAATAAATAAATAAATATATTATTTTATTTATATGTAAATGTATATTTATATAAATAGATTTATATATGTATATTTTATTTATATATTTATATTTTATATATGTATATTTTATTTATATGTATATTTATATATAATATACATATATAAATATACGTATTATATAATATATGTATATAAATATACATATATATACATTTATATATATAATAAATAAAAATATACATATATTTAATACATATATTTAATAAAAACATTAAATACATATATTTAATAAAAATATAATTTATATATAATATACATATATTTATATATAAATATATTTATATATAATATGCATATGTTTATTTTACATATATAAATATATTTATATATAAATATACGTATATTTATTTTATATATATATGTGTGTGTGTATATATATATATATACACACACACACGTATATACCCAGGGAGAGGCACTAATTGTGCAGTTTTGAAAAGTTTCCTAGTGATGCTGCCGTGGCCTACTTTCAAAGCACTATGCTTAGGTTTACCACTTAAAATGTTATTACATTTTTCCAGAAGTACACTTTAAAATACTTTGTTTTTAAAGTGAGGCATTACAATGGTGTCATGAGCTGACATTCCCAGCCACTGACTGGAAGATTTGGGTCAACCCAGGGAACAGGCTTGGTTTAAGGGAGTTCAAGTGTTGGTGGCCTTTGGGTAAAAGTTTATGTCTATCTTTGTATGTGGGATTCAGTAGGGATTTTCTTTAATGTTAAAAATTCTAGTTTCCTCTGTATTTGCTTTCCTTCTTCCCCTGTCCTCCCTGAGCCTCCACACATGTGTAACACATTTTATTTGCCAATAGGTCAAGGAGGTTAAAAAGACTTTGTCGGGCTTGGAAGTCAGCATGGTTACTGCAGTTCCCGGTAGGCTACCAGTCATGACCATGATTCCAGATGTTGACTGCCTGCTCTGGGCCATTGGGCGGGTCCCGAATACCAAGGACCTGAGTTTAAACAAACTGGTAAGCTGGCTTGGTCTGCCCGAAACATTTGTGAATCTACTAGGAGTCTTATGGTTTTATTTTCCCCCCAGACACCCAAAACTTGGGTGGATTCCATTGGATTCTTTTCTCTTTTTCCCATGTATTCAGTTTGTGATCAAATTTCATTGCTTCTTCCTTTGAAATTAAAAAAAAAAGTTTTCTCTTCTCTTCTTTCCTTTTCCTTTCTTTTCTGTTTTTGTTTTTTTCTTTTTGTTTTTGAGAAAGGTCTTGCTCTGTCACCCAGGCTGGAGTTCAGTGGTGTGATCATAGCTCACCGCAGTCTTAACCTCCTAGGCTCAAGTGATCCACCCACCTCAGCTTCTGGAGTAGATGGAACTATGTGTGTGCCACAATGCCCAGCTAATTTTTTTATTTTTATTTTTTTTAGAGATGAGGTTTCACCATGTTGCCCAGGCTGGTCTCCTCGGCTCAAGCGATTCGCCCATCTCAGCCTCCCAGAGTGCTGGGACTATAGGCATGTCCCAGCATGTCCCAGAAAAAGGCCGCCACGTCTGGCCTTTTTCTTTTTTGTTTTCTTTCCTTTTTTTTTTTTTTTTTTTTGAGACAGGGTCTTGCTTTGTCACCCAGGCTAGTGTACAGTGGCATGATCATAGCTCACTGCAGTCTTGAATTCCTGGGGTCAACTGATCCTTCTGCCTCAGCTTCCCAAGTAGCTGGAGCTACAGGAATGTGCCACCACACCTGGCTAATTTTTAAGTTTTCTGTAGAGATGGAGTCTTACTATGTTGCCCAGGCTGCTCTTGAACTCCTGGCCTCAAGTGATCCTTCCACCTCGGCCTCCCAAAGTGCTCGGATTATAAACATGAGCCTCCATGCCCAGCCGGCCTGCCACCTCTAACCTAGTTTCCTATTGGCCTCCCTCTTACAGACTTCGTTTTTGCTATGTGAATGTCTCTTTCAAGTCCTATGCTGATCTTTTAGCATCTGTAGTAGGTAATCCAGATTGCTGGGTGGGTAACTGTCTTGTACATTGTACACAGGGATGGGAACAGATGTGAAGCTGTCTCTCTTGGCTCTACCCGTGCTGTCTGTATTTGTGGACAGTTGGCATTCTTACTTGTTCTTTTAAATGTTGAAGTAAAATCTAGAATGGGAGCTTGGGGTTTGGTTCCCAGAGTTTGACCCAAATTTGAACCTTAGTTCTTACAACATAACAGTTGCATGGCTTTGAGCAAGCAGCTTAATTTCTCTGCTTCAAGTGGTTCATATTCACAATGGGAATGAAAAAAGTTCTTGCCTCATTGGGTTATACAGAAGAGTAAATGAAAAAGTGCATGCAAAGTAATTTATAACTGAGACCCTAGCTTACATTATGAACACAATGAATGTTCACCTGCTATTGATAATGATGATGATTTTTCTGATATGCTATACTACTCTATTAGTAATAATAGGATATTTTATGTTTGAGGTGCATATATTTATTTTGTTCTGGGTTTTTTTGTTTGTTTGTTTGTTTGTTTGTTTGTTTTGAGACAGAGTCTTGCCGTGTTGCCCAGGCTGGAGTACAGTGTTGTGATCTAGCTCACTGCAACCTCTGCCTCCTGGGTTCTAGCGATTCGCCTACCTCAGCCTCCCGAGTAGCTGGGATTCCAGGCGTGTACCACCACGCCCGTCGAATTTTTGTATTTTTTTAATAGAGACAGGATTTCACCATGTTGGCCAGGCTGGTCTCGAACTCCTGACCTCAGGTGATCCACCCACCGTGGCCTCTCAAAGTGCTGGGATTACAGGCGTAAGCCACTGCGCCCAGCCTGAGGCGTATATATTTGATAGAGCTGCTTGAGCAGTGTATACCTTTTGACTTATGTTCTAATACTAAGTTCCTGTTGTAATGTGGATTCCTTTTCTGTTTCTGTAAAAGGTCATTTTTCTGCATGTTAACTTATAAAATATTCAGGGAGATGTTTTGATTGTTTGTAATCTTATTCAATGACATTTAGTAAAATTAATTGCCTATTTTCATATTAACAAAACTAGTCAGCCAGGCGCCGTGGCTCACACCTGTAATCCCAGCTCTTTGGGAGGCTGAGGCGGGTGGATCACCTGAGGTCAGGAGTTCGAGACCAGCCTGGGCAACGTGGTGAAATGCCGTCTCTACTAATAATACAAAAATTAGCCAGGCATGGTGACGCATGCCTGTAATCCCAGCTACTTGGGAGGCTGAGGCAGGAGAATCGCTTGAACCCAGGAGGCTGAGGTTGCAGTGAGCCGAGATCACGCCATTGCACTCCAGCCCTGGCAACAAAAGCAAAACTCCGTCTCAAAAAAAAAAAACCAAAAAAAAACACCAAAAGAAAACAACAACAACAAAAAACTGGTCATTCAGCTTTTCACCTTTCAAGAGATATTTTGCCATTGTACAGATGTAAGCACTGATAGGTCCAGTTTTCAACTAAATTTGCTAACTTTTTTTGGGGGGGTTGGATAGGGTCTTGCTCTGTCACCTAGGCTGGAGTACAGTGGTGCCATCATGGCTCACTGCATCCTTGCAGCATCAAACTCCTGGGCTCAAGCCATCCTTCTACCTTAGTCTCCCAAGTAGTAGGAACTACAGGCGTGGTCCACCACACCTGGCTAATTTTTAAAAAAAATTTTTGTAGACACAAGGTCTCGCTGTATTACCCAGGCTAATTTTGAACTGGGCTCAAGCGATCCTTCCACCTCAGCTTCCCAAAGTGCTGGGATTACAGGCATGAGCCATTGCACCCAGCCTATATTTGCTAAATTTTTGAAGAATGAGGCAAAAAAAAAAGGTTCAGTCTCATTTGACATTAAGATATATTTATATAATGCAAATTGAGTGATTACTATGTGCTAGGTCTTGTCAACATGTTACTAATCTAATTTAATCTTGCCAACAACCGGCAAGGTATAAGGAAGCCAGGAGCACAGAGATACTAGATAATTTACTGGGCTGTAAACTCTATGGTGTAGGGAGAATGTCTGTCTTACCATGGTATTCTCAGTGATGAAGTCAAAGTCTCATTTGTAATAGAAGCTTAAATATTTGTTGATAAACAGGTGGTTATACAAGGTCTCATAACCGGTAAGTTGCAGAGCTAGGATTTGAATTTTGGTCTGTCTGTACCAAAGGTTGTACTCTTTTTTTTTTTTTTTTTTTTTTTTTTTTGAGGCAGAGTCTCTTTCTGTTGCCCAGGCTGGAGTCAGTGGTGCCATCTCAGCTTACTGCAATCTCCGCCCCCTGGGTTCAAGTGATTCTCCTGCCTCAGCTTCCCAAGTAGCTGGGACTTGCCAAGTAGGTGGGCATGCACCACCATGCCTGGCGAATTTTTAGTATTTTTAGTAGAGACAGGGTTTCACCATGTTGGCCAGGCTGGTCTCAAACTCCTGACCTCAGGTGATCCGCCCGCCTTGGCCTCCCGAAGTGCTAGGATTTACAGGCCTGAACCACTGCGCCTGGCCAGTTGTACTCTTAAGCTCTGTGGCTACTTACTTCCTACTTCTGCCATATCTCTACTTCTCATATATACTTAGGATTTGCAAAGCCACATGATAAGCATAACATGTCTTCTTAAAGCAAAAATTTGACTACATATAGGAAAATATTTTTGGTTAAGGGAAACATCAATATGTGTTTTTGTTTTGTTTTGCTTTTACTTTTCTTCTGGGAGTCTGAAAAAAACATCAGTATGTTTTAGAGTAGAGTGCAAAAGTTGCTTGGATTTTTAAAGACAAAATGGTAAGCTTCATAGAAATGTGCTTTTGGCCAGGCATGGTGGCTCACACCTGTAACCCCAGTGCTTTGGGAGACCTAGGCGTGAGGATCACTTGAGGCCAGAAGTTTGAGGTCAGCCTGGGAAACAGCAAGACCTATTCTATAAAAAAATGTTAAAAAGGCTAGGCGTGGTGGTTCACGCCTGTAATCCCAACACTCTGGGAGGCCGAGGCAGGTGGATCACGAGGTCAGGAGATCAAGACCATCCTGGCTAACATGGTGAAACCCCGTCTCTACTAAAAATACAAAAAAATTAGCTGGGTGTGGCGGCGGGCACCTGTAGTCCCAGCTACTCGGGAGGCTGAGGCAGGAGAATGGCGTGAACCTGGGAGGCAGAGCTTGCAGAGAGCCTAGATCGCGCCAGCCTGGGCGACAGAGCGAGACTCCATCTCAATAAATAAATAAATAAATAA
The DNA here is from genome assembly GCF_000001405.40 of Homo sapiens. Classification (NCBI taxonomy): domain Eukaryota; kingdom Metazoa; phylum Chordata; class Mammalia; order Primates; family Hominidae; genus Homo; species Homo sapiens. The sequence goes on along the minus strand of NC_000008.11, from coordinate 30,684,966 downwards.
ATAAATAAATAAATAAATAAATAAATAAATAAATAAATGTATGTTAAAAAATTATCCAGGTGTGATGGCACATGCCTCTAGTTCTAGCTACTCGGGAGGCTAAGCAGGAGGATTGCTTAAGCCCAGGAGGTCAAGATTGCAGTGAGCCATGATCACACCACTGCACTCCAGCCTGGGTAACAGAGCGAGACCCTGTCTCTAAAAAAAAACTAAATAAACATAGATATGCTTTTGGTGACTGCTTGAGTCAGTGTTCCTCAGGAGCAGTGCTTCCATGGGACAAGTTGAAAAGCTGGACTCCAGAGGGATTCCAAGTGGCACACCTGATAGTTGAGTGATCCTCTTCATGTCTGCCTGGCCAGTTGAATTGTACATTGCAATGTCAAATCCTGTTAAAACATCTCAAAAGTGGATAAAATACTACCTTTTATGTTAAGCAAGATATGAAACTTGCCAACTTTTTTTTTTCTAATTTCTAACAGAGGCAGGGTCTCACTGTGTTGCCCAAGCTGATCTCAAACTCCTGGGCTTAAGGGATCCTCCCTCTTCGGCTTCTCAAAGTTCTGGGGTTACAGGTGTGGGCCCACTGTACCCAGCTTGAAACTTGCCAGCTGTAAATGCCTTTCGTGTTGCAGCTGAGTCTCATGGTTTCTTGGAGATTCTGGCTGCAGTTCCCATGTGAAATGAGGAAGGGAGATCCAGAGGTTTGATCTACCTTTTTTAGTAGGTGGGCCAAGTGGTTACATGATATCTCTTTGTAATTTTAGGGGATTCAAACCGATGACAAGGGTCATATCATCGTAGACGAATTCCAGAATACCAACGTCAAAGGCATCTATGCAGTTGGGGATGTATGTGGAAAAGCTCTTCTTACTCCAGGTAAGGTCTCTTCCCTTCTTGGTGAGGGAGGGTCTGCGTGTTACATGATCCATCTGGCTCTTCACTGTCAAATCTGCAGTCTGCTTAAGCAAAGTTAAAAGGATGAGTGTCTTTATATTGTCAAAATGGTACAATGTGTTGAAATAGATATTGGTTGGATACCTGACATTATCTGAATAAAAGACTTAAAATGCTTAGCACAGACTGAAGTTTTCATGTAGACAATATGATCACCCGTTGCGGAACTCTCTTAGGAGCAGACTTGTGCTTGGTGGCAGTGGAAGGAAGTGGCATTTGGAAGAAGTAATTTAGATTGGCATTTTTTTTTTTTTTGGAGACACTCTGTTACCCAGGCTGGAGTGCAGTGGCATGATCACGGGCTCACTGCAGTTTCAACCTTCCTGGGCTCAGGTGATCCTCCCACCTCAGACTCCCAAGTAGCTAGGATCACAGGTGCATTTTTTGTAGAGACAGGGTTTTACCATGTTGTCTTGAACCCCTGTGCTTAAGCAGACTGCCTGCCTCAGCCTCCCAGAATGTTAGGATTACAGGCATGAGCCACCACACATGGCCTAGATTGTCATTCTTGTATGACTGGTCTTGATACAACCAAGACTGATTTCCTTCTCTCCGGCATCCCACACCTCAGCCCGCTTCCTAAGCACCATTGCAAGCTCTGTCCCATCTCTATCCATTAATGATCACTTGATCTACTTTCAGTCTGTACCTAGAACCTCATCAGCGATTCCAGCGTGTCCCAGGGCCTTATATCAGGATGAAAACCTACACCAGTCACACACCCAAACCCTTTTAGCTCCTTTAGAAAGTTCTTGCTCTTGGCTAGGTGTGGTGGCTCCCATCACTTTCAGAGGCTGAAGTTGGGGGATCGCTTGAGTCTAGTAGTTTGAGACCAGGCTGGGCAACATAGTGAGATGTTGTCTGTATTAAAAAAATAAAGATTCAGCTGGGCACGGTGGCTCACGCCTGTAATCTCAGCACTTTGTGAGGCCGAGGTGGGCAGATCACGAGGTCCAGAGATCGAGACCTTCCTGACCAACATGGTGAAACCCCATCTCTGCTAAAAATACAAAAATTAGCTGGGCGTGGTGGCACACGCCTGTAGTCCCAGCTACTTGGGAGGCTGAGGCAGGAGAATTGCTTCAACCCGGGAGGCAGAGGTTGCAGCGAGCTGAGATGGCGCCACTGCTCTCCAGCCTGGCAACAAGAGCGAGACTCTGTCTAAAAAAAAAAAATAATAATATAATAATAATGATAATAATAATAAAGATTCTAGGCGCAGTGGCTCATGCCTGTAATTCCAGCACTTTAGGGTTATAAAATAGAACTAAAGATGCTGAAAACTAATATAGCTTGTTCCATAAATATTGTATTAAAAAGCTAATATCTTCATTAAGTAGATTAACTGCCAGGTAAGTGAGAACTTGTGAATGTGTCTTTTGGGAGTGGGGCCAGACAGGTTGAGCATCCCTTATCTGAAATGCTTGGGACCAGAAGTGTTTTCAGTTTCAGATTTTGGAATATTTGCATATATATAATGAGATATTTTGCAGATGCGACCCAAGTCGAAACACGGAATTCATTTGTTTTACATACACCTTATACACATAGTTGGTAGGTAACTTTATACGATATTTTAAATGTGTGCATGAGGCATACTTTTGTCTGCGTTTTTGACTGCAACCCTTCACATGAGGTCAGGTGTGGAATTTTCTGCTTGTGGCATCATGGTGCTCCAACATTTTGGATTTTGGATTTTGAATTTCTGGATTAGGGATGCTCAACCTGTAATAGAATGTATAGGATTCTCATAAGCCAATCATTTTGAGTTGTTCGCTGAGGCATGACATATCTTCGCTGTATTAAACTATCTAGATAGTGTAATGAACAATGGTGTGAAACTGTCAGAACTAGGGCATTAAGGTAGATGGATAAATGGCTAGTGGAACAATTTAGCTATGTTAAAACAGACAGTAAGATAAACACTGATTTTAAAATATCTCCATAGTTGCAATAGCTGCTGGCCGAAAACTTGCCCATCGACTTTTTGAATATAAGGAAGATTCCAAATTAGATTATAACAACATCCCAACTGTGGTCTTCAGCCACCCCCCTATTGGGACAGTGGGACTCACGGAAGGTAGGTATTTAAAAACTGAAGGTCATTTGTGGTTTCCTTCCTCTTTCCCCTGCCCCCAACTTTAAATTAGGTCTCTGTCAGCTGATGAAACCTATCTCAGCCCCAGATTACATTGCTTTTTGGTTACTCTCTTGTCACAGTTCCAGTTTTCTCCCCTGCTACTACTTTGAGTGTACAGTATCTTTCCTTCACACCACCCTATCTCTTTGATCTTTTTTTTTTAGCTTTTTTATTTGAACTAATTTTAAATTTAAAGAAAAGCTCTAAAAATAATACAAAGGACTCCTCTCTAACCTTAATATTTTTGCTTTTTTATTTTTTCACTCTACACACACACATGTCTATCTTTCCTAAGAACTGGCCCTTACATAAACCGAGTATCATTTTCTTTTTTTTTTTCTTTTTGAGACAAGCTCTCCCACTGTCACCCAGGCTGGAGTGCAGTGGCACGATCTCTGCTCACTGCAACCTCCGCCTCTGGGTTCAAGCAATTCTTCTGCCTCAGCCTCCCGAATAGCTGGGACTACCAGGCCTGCACCACCACCATGCCTGGCTAATTTTTTGTAGAGATGGGGTTTCACTGTGTTGCCCAGGCTGGTCTCAATCTCCTGGGCTCAAGCGATCCACCTGCCTCTGCCTCTCAAAGTGCAGGGATTACAGGCATGAGCCACTGTGCCTGGCCTTTCTTTTCATCTAGAGGCAGAATTCCTCAGCCCTTCTTTTGTCTTATATGACACTGACATTTATTTTGTAGAATACTTCTCATTTTGGCGTGGTTTGATATTTCCTCGTGGTTTGATTGAGGTTATGTATTTCTGGTCATCTCCCTCTTTGATAGTTCAGTGTAATTGTTTAGTTTTCTGATAGATGCTTTTTTTAATGTGCATTGTAGATGAAGCCATTCATAAATATGGAATAGAAAATGTGAAGACCTATTCAACGAGCTTTACCCCGATGTATCACGCAGTTACCAAAAGGAAAACAAAATGTGTGATGAAAATGGTCTGTGCTAACAAGGAAGAAAAGGTAAGGAAAAATCCAGCAAACTAAATAGTGCCTTGCAAAATGGACAGGGATGGCAGTATTTTGCAGGGGTGGAAAGGAGGGAGACCAAGCAGTTGAGCCTTCTGATTCAACTGGACAGGCCCACTTTGATCTGTCTTACCTGCATTTTGGGGTTCTTCATAATATTTCATCTAGAAGGAGGTTCCACTCCTTTTAAAAAATAAAGACGATGCCAGGCGTGGTGGCTCACACCTGTAATCCCAGCACGCTGGGAGGCCGAGGCAGGCATATCACCTGAGGTCAGGAGTTTGAGACTAGCCTGACCAACGTGGTGAAACCCTGTCTCTACTAAAAACACAAAAATTAGCCAGGCATGATGGTGCGTGCTTGTAATCCCAGCTACTCGGGAGGCTGAGGCAGGAGAATCACTTGAACCTGGGAGGCGGAGGTTGCAGTGAGCCAAGATCATGCTACTGCCCTCCAGCCTGGGAGACAAAGCGAGACTCCATCTCAAAGCAAAAAAAAAAAAAAAAAAAAAAAAAACAGGAGAGGCCAGGGCCAGGCGCTGTGGCTCACGCCTATAATCCTAACACTTTGGGAGGCCAAGGTAGGCGGATTGCCTGAGCTCAGGAGTTTGAGAGTAGCTTGGGCAGCATGGTGAAACCCCATCTCTACTAAAAATACAAAAATTGGCCGGGCATGGTGGTGCCATGAACATTCCTCAGTAGCCTATGATTTCTGGATATTGAATCATGAAGGCTCCTACTTAGTTATTTCTTCATGCCAGTTATCATTCATTCAGTTGATAAACATTATTTGTCATTCTTCTCAAGACTAAGAACTGCTATATAGAGAGGAATAATATGAAGAGCTGGCCATCACCAGAGGCTCTTTATAAGTTCAATTAAGATCACAATATCAGTCAGACACCGTGGCTCACCCCTGTAATCCCAGCACTTTGGGAGGCTGAGGTGGGTGGATCACTTGAGCCCAGGAGTTCAAGACCAGCCTGGCCAACATGGTGAAACCCTCTCTCTGCTAAAAATACAAAATTAGCCAGGCGTGGTGGTGCGCGCCTGTAATCCCAGCTACTCGGGAGGCTGAGGCAGGAGAATCACTTGAACCCGGGAGGTGGAGGTTGCAGCGAGCCGAGATCATGCCATTGCACTCCAGCCTGGGCAACAAGAGTGAAACTCCGTCTCAAAAAAAAAAAAAAAAGAAGAAAGAAAAGAAAATGTTTCTCTTCTTTTCCCAGGTGGTTGGGATCCATATGCAGGGACTTGGGTGTGATGAAATGCTGCAGGGTTTTGCTGTTGCAGTGAAGATGGGAGCAACGAAGGCAGACTTTGACAACACAGTCGCCATTCACCCTACCTCTTCAGAAGAGCTGGTCACACTTCGTTGAGAACCAGGAGACACGTGTGGCGGGCAGTGGGACCCATAGATCTTCTGAAATGAAACAAATAATCACATTGACTTACTGTTTGAGTTTTATGTATTTCTTTATTTTAATCAGGATCTTCTGATAGTGGAAATTTTTAGTACATAATAGAACTTATTTATGGAGTTAGAAATTTGTAGTGTTATCCAGGATTGATTTTCATTTGATCACATCTCACAGTAATTAATATTTTCAAGTTTTTTTTTTATTAACAGCTCTGTGCTAGTTTTTTTTTTCTGTTTTAGCCTCATCCCAAATATAAAGCTTTGTGAAGTACAATTAACTTAATGTACTTGAATGAATAGAACTTGCTACTTTTTTTTTTTTTTTTTTTGAGACAGAGTTTTGCTCTCATTGCCCAGGCTGGAGTGCGGTGGTGCTATTTCAGCTCACCACAACCTCTGCCTCCTGGGTTCAAGTGATTCTCCTGCCTTAGCCTCCCGAATAGCTGGAATTACAGGCACGCACCACCATGCCTGACTAATTTTGTATTTTTAGTAGACATGGGGTTTCTCCATGTTGGTCAGGCTGGTCTCAAACTCCCACCTTCAGGTGATCCGCCCACCTCGGCCTCCTGAGGTGCTGAGATTACAGGCGTGAGCCACTGTGCCAGCTTGCTAATTTTCACAGAAGTTGATGGCAATTCTTCACATGTAAACAGTGCCAGTGCACAGAACCTTTATATATTTTTTGAAGCCAGTACTGTGCTCTGCATATAACAAAGCTGCTTCAAGGATGAGACCTTTTTCTAAAAGCATGTAATGTGAGAAGCCGGCCTGCCTTATTTTCTTTTTTCTTTTTTAATGATTAAAAATAGTTTGTGGCAAGGCACGGTGGCTCAGGCCTGTAATTCTAGCACTTTGGGAGGCCGAGGCAGGAGGATTACTTGAGCCTACAAGTTTGAGGCCAGCATGCACAGCATAGCAAGACTGCATCTCTACAGAGAGTAAAAAAAATTACCCGAGTGTGGTGATGTGCATCTGTAATCTCAGCTACTTGGGAGGCTGAGGTGAGAGGATCACTTGAGCTTGGGTGAGGTGAGGCTGCAGTGAGTCCTGATCATGCTGCTGCACTCAATCTTGGACAACAGAGCAAGACCCTGTCTCAAAAAAAAAAAAAAAAAATATATATATATATATATATTATTTTTATGAGGTGAAGTGCATCAAACTTGGGAAAGATTTGAGGAGGCTGGGAACCTCCTGGAAAACCACTCCTTGAAGAAAGATATGAGAGACATTTAGAAGTGATTCCTGCTTTCAGAAGGAGGTGGATTCAAATACATCAAAAGTCCCTTCCTCTGCTAAGTGTTTATAGTTCAATGAATAATTTCAATATTTGTATGTGTTCTTGTCATTTTATTTTTTTCTGAAAAACTTCCAAAAATTTGAAAATAAAATTACAGCCTTTTCTTCTTATAAAATTTGTTACTGTGAGCTTTAATTGGTACACAGGAAATTGGTTTATTTTCTAAGGATATTTCACATTGGAGAATCAGTTGCCTGTGCTTACGGGGGTGAAAAGAGAGTTCTCGTATAAAAATAAAGATCGAAGGTATAAAAGAAACATTTAGCAGATTAATGATTGAGTTGGAAGAAAAGCCTAGAAATCACTTAGGTCTTTAACACTTTATTTCTATTAGGTTTTACCAGCTAGTTAAATTTTTCCAGGATTTTCATTAGTCATCCAGTGTTACTGAATACTTTTTTTTTTTTTTTTGAGACAGGGTCTAGCTTTGTCGCCAGGCTGGGGTGCAGTGGTGTGATCTCAGGTCACTGCAGCCTCCCGGGGTCAAGCAGTTCTCCTGCCTCAGCCTCCTGAGTAGCTGGGATCACAGGCACGCGCCACCACACCCAGCTAATTTTTGTATTTTTAGTAGAGATGGGGTTTCACCATGTTGGCCAGGATGGTCTTGATCTGTTGACCTCGTGATCTGCCCGCCTTGGCCTCCCAAAGTGCTGGGATTACAGGCGTGAGCCACTGCACTGGACCCACTGAATTCTTTACTGTGTGTTCTGTTAAGCTTTTACTGACTGTCTTTCTGGTTAGTGATGGCCAGTTACTGAACTGACTTTTTTTTTTTTTTTTGAAACCAAGCCTGGCTCTGTTGCCTAGGCTGGAGTACAGTGGCACGATCTCGGCTCACTGCAGCCTCTGCCTCCCGGGGTCAAGCGATTCTCCTGCCTCAGCCTCCTGAGTAGCTGAGACTACAGGTGCACACCACCACACCTGGCTAATTCTTGTACTTTTAGTAGAGATGGGTTTTCACCGTGTTGGCCAGGCTGGTCTTGAACTCCTGACCTTAGAAGTAATCTGCCCACCTCGGCCTCCCAAAGTGCTGAGATTACAGGCGTGAGCCACCACATCCGGCCTGCACTGACTTCTTAAGTAGGCCCAATGTCAATGAAAGAAAAATATTGTATTAGCAAGGAAGTTATATGTATTGTGGTGGGACAAGAAAATAGGATCCCCAAACTTGGGCATGGACTAATGTAGGCACTTCTCCCCTCTTCCCCTAGCCTAAAAGACAGTGGACCAAGGTTCTAGGCTTCATTCTGCTGGTGGATTTCTCACTGCACAGGCCCCAGCCTTGAGGTGTGCCTCTGTCAGGGAAATGGGAGGCCCTAGTAGCCACATCTATTTTAACATCATGTGTTCTTAATCTCATATTTATCCTGCCTGTGTGCTGGTTCCATAGTAAACCAACAAGAAAGTACAGTACCCTTATCTGAGTTCCTGTCTGCATTCTCATCGGTCCTTGAACTGGCCCAGCCCTTGAGGTGTTGTGGCTTAACAGCCTCTATTACTGAAAGTGCCAAGAAATATATAGCAGCTCACACCTATAATCCCAGCACTTTGGGAGGCCAAGACAGGTGGATCACCTGAGGTCAGGGGTTCGAGACCAGCCTGGCCAACATGATGAAACCCCATCTCTACTAAAAATACAAAAATTAGCTAGGCGTGGTGGCTGGCATCTGTAATCCCAGCTACTCAGGAGGCTGAGATAGGAGAATCGCTTGAACCTAGGAGGCACAGGTCACAGTGAGCCAAGATGGCACCACTGCACTCCAGCCCAGGCAATAGTGTGAGACTCCATCTCAAAAAAAAAAAAAAAAATGCTGGGCGCGGTGGCTCACACCTGCAATCCCAGCACTTTGGGAGGTCGAGGTGGGCAGATCACGAAGTCATGAGATCGAGACCATCCTGGCTAACATGGTGAAACCCTGTCTCTACTAAAAATACAAAAAAATTAGCCGGGCATGGTGGTGGGCGCCTGTAGTCCCAGCTACTTGGGAGACTGAGGCAGGAGAATGGTGTGAACCCAGGAGGCGGAGCTTGCAGTGAGCCAAGATCACACCACTGCACTCCAGCCTGGGTGACAGAGAGAGACTCCGTCTCAAAAAAAAAAAAAAAAAGATATACAAGGCAGCACGTTGTAAAATATGGGCCACATTGTACTTGCACAGTAGATGTTTATTGAAGGAAAGACATGTAACTTGCTTTCAAGTAATCTTATAATCTAGAATGAGAACATTTCTATACAAATAAAGCAATTAAGCACAGGATGACCATATGATTTATTGACTAAAATGGCACACTTTCAAGAGTGAAAGGGGTGTCCTTGACAATTTACACAATTGGTACAGATTAGTACTGTCCTAAACAAATAGGAGATTGCCATCCTCATTACACATTATTAGGTAAAAGGATACAGGTTCAGAGGACCAGAAGTGCACTGTTGCTGGGAAAAGTGAGGAAGGGTTCACAAAGGAGGTTAGGTAGGATTTGAAATGTGGGGGCTGTAGAGGAAAAGGCCAGAGAAGGTAGAAAGTACAGTGAAGGAAGGATTGGATAAATTATTGTATTGCTGGCTGGGCATGGTGGCTCACACCTGTAATCCCAGCACTTTGGGAGGCTGAGGCAGGCAGATCACCTGATGTCAGGAGTTCAAGACCAGCCTGACCAACATGGTGAAATCCCTTCTCTACTAAAAATACAAAAATTAGCCAGGCATGGTGGTGCGTGCCTGTAATCCCAGCTGCTCGGGAAGCTGAGGCATGAGAATCACTTGAATCTGGGAGGTGGAGGTTGCAGTGAGCAGAGAAGGCCCATCGCACTCCAGCCTGGGCTACAAGAGTGAAACTCTGTCTAAAAAAAAAAAAAATTGCTGTATAACAAACTAGCTTAAAATAGAGACTATCTTAAATCTCATGATTTTTGGGTCAGTAACTGGGGTTAGGCTCAGCTGGTTGGTTCTTCTGTTGGTGTTGACAGGGGTCATTTGGTGATATTCAACTGGCAAATGGGCTGGTCTAGAGTCCAAAAGAGAATTATTCATATATCTGACACATAGGCAGAGATGAGGGAAGGCTGTGCCTACACGTTGCCTCTTCACCATGGCAGTCTCAGAGCAGTGGACTTAAGTGGAAGCTTTGGGCTGTCAAAGTGTTCTAAGAATCCCGGGCAGATGCTACAAGCCTTATGACCTAACCTTGGAAGTTCTAGAACATCACTTCTGCTACATAATATTGGTTATGCAAGTCACTAAGGCCAGCTCACATTCAGGAGGAAGTGAATTGAACTTCACCTCTAGGTGGGAAGGAATGGTAAAGAATTTGCCACTGTTGGCTGGGCGCAGTGGCTCACACCTGTAATCCCAGCACTTTAGGAGGCTGAGGTGGGCGGATCACCTGAGGTCAGGAGTTTGAGACCAACCTGGCCGACATGGTGAAACCCTGTCTGTACTAAAAATACACAAAATTAGTCAGGTATGGTGGCAGCCGCCTGTATTCCCAGCTACTCAGGAGGCTGAGGCAAGAGAATTGCTTGAAACCAGGAGGTGGAGGTTGCAGGTTGCAGTGAGCCAAGATCGTGCCACTGTACTCCATCCTGGGCAACAGGGTGAAACTCCGTCAAAAAAAAAAAAAAAAAGGATTGCTTCTGTCTTTAATCTTTAATTGTACCTGGCAATCTCCTACACATTTTATAAGGCTGGACTAAAACAACACCTTTGTGAAGACTTAAGTAGTTTTGTGTGTTCTATTATGTGTTGCCATAACGTCTTGTCACACTGTAGGTCTGCACTACATATTCACTTTGTGTATGACATTTTTCACTTAGGTTACTCATTTCTATCTTCCTGATGTTGTGTTTCACAGTATCATTCCCGGGATGTCAGGCAGCAACTTTGGATGCAAGACAGCAGAGTGTGTTACTATGATTTTTTGACACTAAGATCAAAAGTATCAGAAAAGCCAACATTTTAATCCTTTACCTTTTTGAAAAACGAGTAAGCAGGCATATTTGGATTCTTCAGAATAATAGGATATGTGGGCATACAGAAAGAGAGTTATTATAAGGAATTCACTCATGCTATTATGGAGTTTGGGAAGTCCAAAATGTGCTGTGGAGGCCGGCAGGCTGGAGACCAGGAGAGACGGTGGTTTGGACACAGTCTGAAGGTTGAGGGAGAGTCCCCCCTTGCTTAGAGAAGTGGTCTTTTTGTTTTGTTCAGGCCTTCAACTTACCGGTTAAGCATCCCACACATACACACACACACACGCACACACATTATGGAGGACAATCTGCTTTACCCAAAGTTCACCAATGTATTGTGAGATTAATATCTCATCCAAAAACACCCACCAAGTTGATACCATTGCAACCAACTGTTCCAAGTTTGCCCCAGTCACCTTGGCACCTATATACATTATATATATATATATAAATATATATATAATATATATATATTCCTATGCCTTTAATAATGGCATAGGAATACTAAGAGACATCCGTGTGTGTGTATGTATGTATGTGTGTGTGTGTGTGTGTGTGTGTGTGTGTATATATATATAAAATTTTCTTTTCTTTTTTTTTTTTTGAGACAGCATCTTACTCTGTCATCCAGGCTAGAGTGCAGTGGTGGATCACGGCTCATTAAAGCCTTGGCTTCCTGGATTCAAGCGATTCTCCCACCTCAGCCTCCCAAGTAGCTGGGACTACAGGTGTACACCACCAGGCCTGCCTAGCTACATTTTTTTTTAAGAGAGATGGGGTCTTGCTATGTTGCCCAGACTGACCTCGACTCCTGGGCTCAAGCAGTCCCTCCCCTCTTGGCCTCCCAAAGTGCTGGGATTATAGGCACAGGTGAGCCACTGAGCATAGCCCCTATACACATTTTAAACCATACTTAATATCTGAGTGAGAAATAACAAGGTCATACTTTCACCTAACAGAATACAACTACCTTGTATACAACCACAACACAAACCCTTTCCCCAGAAGAGGATGCAAAGTCCCTGGTTGATGTTTGCTCTTCTCTTTGATATCCCATAATTCAAATTCTGTGATGTAAAGTTAATAACACTTAAATACTATATAACATAAAATTAATACATCTTATGTCACATAGTAGATGCATAAGGGAAAAAACATCTGATACATATGCGTGCATGTGTGTGTGTGTGCGCATGTCTGTGAACAAGCATTCATAATAAAGTAAGGAAATGTAACAGTTACAGTCCTAGTTTCTGTAACTGGACACATGGTCGTGGCTGGTATCCACAACACCTTTCTCCACTACCAATTCCACTTTCCCTTTGCCTTCAGCAAGTGCCTTAGTTGGTTGTGGTTCTTTTTTTTTTTTTTTTTTTTTTTTTGAGACGGAGTTTCGCTCTTGTTGCCCAGGCTGGAGTGCAATGGTGCGATCTTGGTTCAGTGCAACCCCCGCCTTCCAGGTTCAAGCGATTCTCCTTCCTCAACCTTCCGAGTAGCTGGGATTATAGGCATGCGCCACCATGCCCGGGTAATTTCGTATTTTTAGTAGAGACGGGGTTTCTCCATGTTGGTCAGGCTAGTCTCGAACTCCCGACCTCAGGTGATCCACCCACCTTGGCCTCCCGAAGTGCTGGGATTACAGGCGTGAGCCACCGCACCCGACCGGTCGTGGTTCTTTACCTGGTGGGGTGACCCAAATCTTTGCTCCCAAAAGAGTCTGTGCATTAGTGGTGCTGCCTGAATTGGGCTGTTGTAGTTTTCCATGGACTTTAGTAATGGCATAAGAATGCTAAGCGACAACCTAGCGGATCTCCTACAGGATCTCTAGGTTGTCTTCTTGAGCTCCATGGTGGACTAGCAGTCCAATTTCACCTTGGTAGTCATTATCAATTACCCCAACCAGCCGCATGTGGTGGCGCATGCCTGTAGTCCCAGCTACTCAAGAGGCTGAGGCGGGAGGATCGCTTGAATCCAGGAGTTCCAGGCTGCGGAGAGCCAAGATCATGCCACTGAACTCCAGCCTTGGCGGCAGAGTAAGACCGTCTTTGGAAAAAAAAAAAAAAGATCACCCGGCTGATATGGTTTGGCTCTGTGTTCTCACCCAAATCTCATCTTGAATTGTAATTCCCACGTGTGGAGGAAGAGACCTGTAATCACCTGTGGAGGGAGGGAAGTGATTGGATTCTGGGGGTGGTTCCCCTATGCGGTTCTCGTGATAGTGAGTTCTCACAAGATCTGATGATTTTGTAAATGGTAGTTTTTCCTGCACTCTCACCTCCTCTCTCTCTCTCTCTCCTGCCACCTGGTGATAAAGTGTCCACTTCCCCTTCTGCCATGATTCTAAGTTTCCTGAGGCCTCCCCAGCTACGTGGAACTGTGAGTCAATTAAATTTTTTTTTTTTTTTTGAATTGGAGTCTTGCTCTGTGGCCCAAGGCTGGAGTGCAGTGGCACGATCTCGGCTCACTGCAACTTCCGTCTCCCGGGTTCAAGCAATTCTCCTGCCTCAGCCTCCTGAGTAGCTGGGATTACAGGCCCTCACCACCATGCACGACTAATTTTTGTGTTTTTAGTAGAGACGCAGTTTCACCATGTTGGTCGGGTTGGTCTCCAACTCCTGACTTTGTGATCTGCCTGCCTCGGCCTCCCAAAGTGCTGGGATTACAGGTGTGAGCCACCGCACCCAGCCTAGAGCTCTTTTCTTTATAAAAATTACCCAGTCTCAGGTAGTATCTTTATAGCGGCAGATGGCCTGAGGCCAGGAGTTCGAGACCAGCCTGGCCAACATGGTGAAACCCCGTCTCTACTAAAAATACAAAAATTAGCTGGGTGTGGTGGCATGCACCTGTAATCTCAGCTACTTGGGAGGCTGAGACAGGAGAATCACTTGAACTCAGGAGCAGAGGTTGCAGTGAGCCAAGATTGTGCCACTTCATTCCAGCCTGGACGACAGCAAGACTCTGTCTCCAAAATATAAATAAATAAAGACCAGGCACGGTGACTCACGCCTGTAATTTCAGTGCTTTGGGAGGCCAAGGCAAGTGGATCACCAGAGGTCAGGAGTTCAAGACCAGTCTGGCCAACATGGCGAAACCCCGTCTCTATTAAAAATACAAAAATTAGCTGGGCATGGTGGCACATGTCTATAATCCCAGCCACTTGGGAGACTGAGGCAGGAGAATAGCTTGAGCCCGGGAGGCAGAGGTTTCAGTGAGCCGAGATTGCGCCATTGCACTCCAGCCTGGGCGACAGATTAAGACTCCCTCTCAAAAAATAATAACAACAAATTAATAAAATGTATATATATAGTGGAATGGCTAAATCAAGCTCATTAACATAGGCATTATCTCACATAGTTGTCATTCTTTTGTGATGAGAAAATGTCTTTTTTTTCTTTTTTGAGACAGGTTCTCACTTTGTCATCCAGGCTGGTGTGCAGTAGTGCAGTCTTGGTTCACTGCAACCTCTGCTTCTTGTGCTAAAGTGATCCTTCAGCTTCAGCCTTCCCAGTAGCTGGGACTGCAGGCACCTGCCACCATACCTGGCTAATTTTTAATATTTTTTGTAGAGATGGGGTCTCTCTATGTTGCCCAGGCTGGTCTCAAATTCCTGGGCTCAAGGGATCCACCCGCCTCATCCTCCCAAAGTGCTGGAATTACAGGCTTGAGCCACCATGTAGGGCTATTTTAAACAGTGAAATTGGCCAGGCGTGGTGGCTCACACCTGTAATCCCAGCACTTTGAGAGGCTGAGACGGGAAGATCATGAGGTCAGGAGTTAGAGACTAGCCTGACCAATATGGTGAAACCCAGTCTCTACTAAAAATACAAAAATTAGCCGGGCGTGGTGGTGTGCACCTGTAGTCCCAGCTACTTGGGAGGCTGAGGCAGAAGAATTGCTTGAACCTGGGAGTCAGAGGTTGCAGTGAGCCAAGATTGTGCCACTGCACTCCAGCCTGGGCCACAAAGTGAGACTCTGTCTCAAAAAAAAAAAAAAAACAAAAAACCTACAAAAAACAATGAAATCAACAAAAGGCACAAAAATGGGAAAAATGCAGTGCTAAATAAACTTGGAAAAGGACCTTAGTTTACAGTATGAGACTTAAAATAGAAAGGCCGACAGTTGCCTTGTTCTATGTGCATTTTGGGCAACTCAAATTTTTTCCCACTCTGCACATGTCTGCAAGCAACTATGAAGGTGCTGCAAGTATTGATTTCGGGCTTACAAATAAATTTTAATGGGTAGGCAAATTGGCAAATATGGAATCCACAAATAATGAAGATTAAGTCTATTTAAATATACTGAAACAAAGTTTTTTGTTCTGTTTACTTTATGCTGATATGGCCAAAAATGTTATTCTTTTCTTTTGATTAATCTTATTTATCTTGTTTTTTTTTTTTTTTTTTTTTTTTTGAGACAGAGTCTCACTCTGTCACCCAGGCTGGAGTGCAGTGGCGCAATCTTGGCTCACTGCAAGCTCTGCCTCCCGGGTTCATGCCATTCTCCTGCCTCAGCCTCCTGAGTAGCTGGGGCTACAGGCACCTGCCACCACCCCTGGCTAATTTTTTGTATTTTTAGTAGAGACAGGGTTTCACCGTGTTAGCCAGGATGGTCTTGATCTCCTGACCTCATGATCTGCCCGCCTTGGCCTCCCAAACTGCTGGAATTACAGGTGTGAGCCACCACGCCCGGCCTATTTATCTTGATTAAATAACACTGGTATCTAGCAGTACAGTAGGCACTGTGGAGATACAAACAACATGAATCTCCAAAGAGTTTGCCTTTCAATTAATTGCAATATTTTATAGTTGTTAGCTCAGGCTTTACAGACAGGCAGAAGTGGGTTTGGATCTTGACTCCTCCACTTAGAGTTGTATGTCCTTGGAAAAGTTATATAACACTTCTATGCCTCAGCTTCTCCATCTGTAAAGTCAGAACATTTTTACCTACCTCATACCATTTTGGGAGGATTCAATGATAAACCCCTCAAAAAGCTGTTAGTATTAATATTAAATATTAGTGTATTATTATTTTCTTTTAGAGACAGGGCCTCAATCTGTTTTGCACAGGCTGGAGTGCCGTGGTGTGATCATGGCTCACTGCAGCCTCGACCTCCTGGGCTCAAGCAATCCTCCCACTGAAGCCTCCTGAATAACTGGGACTACAGGCATGAACCACCATGCTCAGCTAATTTTTGTATTTTTTTGTAGAGACAGGGTGTCGCTATTTTGCCCAGGTTGGTCTCCAACTCCTGGGCTCAAGAAATCCTCCCACCTCAGCCTTCCAATGTGCTGAGATTACAGGCATGAACCACTGCACCTGGCCCCAAGCTTCCTTTATCTCTCCACTTCACTATCCTTACAAGGTGGCTTTCATGCTTGAGTTTGTCACTTCATGATTGTAAAATAGCTGCTTTATCTCTAGTCTCATGTCTGTGTTCCAGAAAGGGTGAAAAAGGAGAAAGAAGTGGTATCTAAATCAGGAAACAAAAACTTATCCAAAAATTGCCAGGAGATTTCTGCTTATGTGGAAACCATGTGTCTGTCACACAGACAACCTAGCTGCAAGGAACCTGGCAAGGTAAGCATTTAAGCTGAATCCACTACTACCCTGAACAAAGCCTTCAGCAAGAAAGTAGGGGAATGGTTGAGAAGGTAACCAGCAATGTCTGACACTTGTTTTAAAAATATAGGTTTTATTATTATTTAGTATGGCAAGGTCATTAGATGAGGAGACAACTGCCATTGAAAATATAGTCGTGGCTGGGCACGGGGGCTCACACCTGTAATTTCAGCACTTTGGGAGGCTGAGGTTGGAGGATAACTTGGGTCCAGGAGTTCAAGACCAGCCTGGGCAACATGGTGAGATCGTGTCTCTCCCCCAAAAATACAAAACTTAGCCAGTTGTAGTGGCGAGTACCTGTAGTCCCAGCTACTCCGAAGGCTGAGGTGGGAGGATTCCTTGAGGCCAGGATGTGGAGGCTGCAGTAAGCCAGGATCGTACTACTACACCCTAGCCTAGGTGAAGAGGCAGACCCTATCTCAAAAAAGAAAGGAAAGAAAATATAGTTGTTATGCTCACAGATCCTATGAAGGGGTACATCACCCCAGGGGGGATGGGGAGAGACACCCAGGAAGCACAGGGGTTGGTCAGGAGGCAAAGAGAGTGGAAGGAAAATGTGGGCAAGATAATTTACTCTGGTTTCCATAGAAAGAAAGAGGCAAGGCTGGATAAGCAAGTTTAGCATTGGTTTATTTGAATAATTTTCTGTGGGCTCTGGGGGATAAGGGCTGGCCCTGGAGTGATTAGGGCAGGCGGATGGATAGTATGGGCCCAATAAAGAAGGTGGTTGAGGTTGTAGGCCCTGGACTGGTTGGCATATAAAGGGCATACTCCCCTAGTTATTTACTGTCTCTAGAAATTTGCTAGCACTGGCACTGGGACAGGCAACCCTCCAGGATTAGCAAGGCTCCCAAATGTCAAAGCATCGGAATACAGAAAACAAAAGGCATAGCTAATACAACATGGTAGGTCTCATTGCCTAGGGCAGGAGCACAAAAGCACCACCCTTAATTTAAAGCAGGGATATTTCACATTAAAACAATATTTGGCATTGATTCTGAATTGTCCCTCGATAACAAGATGGGAGACTCTTTGTTTGAGTGCACATTTTGTTCTTTATTTTTAATTTTTATTTTTGAGACAGAGTCTTGCTGTGTCACCCAGGCTGGAATGCAATGGTGCGATCTTGGCTCACTGCAACCTCTGCCTCCCAGGTTCAAGCAACTCTCCTGACTCAGCCTCCTGAGTAGCTGGAATTACAGGCATGCACCACTGCACCTGGCTAATTTTTTGTATTTTTAGTAGAGACAGGGTTTCACCATGTTGGCCAGGCTGGTCTCAGACTCCTGACCTCAGGTGATCTGCCCGCCTTGGCCTCCCAAAGTGCTGGGATTACAGGCGTGAGCCACTGCGCCCAGCTGAGTGTACATTTTAATCAAGCACTTTGTTTTTTTATGTGCCAAATTTCTTTTAAAAATATATCAGGCTTTAAAATGTATTAATTTTAAGATATTACATTAAAAGGTATTCCTTCTTGTGTATATGGCAATTGCTTAATCTATATGCTTAATTTTCGGCTTTAATGTTTGGTAAGCAGATCATTTTAGTCACCTAACGCCATCTTGTGGTCATCCATTGGAAATAAAAATGTATCGCCATCGTATATGTGTATCCCTCTTCAAGAAAGTCCGCAATATATGGCTAAAATCACACTGGTTGATCAGAATAGAGTCCAGAAATATATAATTGTAATATAGGACATGATTAAGGCAACATTTAAAATCCTTGTAGCTTCAGAGCTGAGATTGCTGAAAAGCACACCCAGAGTCTTATCCAGCAAGTGGCTGAATTACAATGCAGATCAAATTCCCAACCTCTCAGGGCATCTGCTGTCAAAGTGAGGGCATTGATTGGGAAATAAAAGAATGAGATACTGAAAATTGGAATGGGGATATATGGGAAGATCCTGATGAGGGTGTGGACACTGAACCCGTAAATTCTGCTGAGTCTTCTGCCAGTAGAAGCAGCTATTCCATCCCATCTGAAGAGATGAATCCTGCTTTGCCTGAGGATATTATAATGTCCTCTCCTGAGTTAGTTAACTTGCAAGACTCTGCTGAGTCTACTCAGGACACACCCTCATCACCTTTCTTTGCTTCTAAACCTATGACTAGACTCAAGTCCCCACTGGCCACAAAAGGTGAAGTACAAAACATGACCCTTGAAGAGGTAAGTAAGCTGCATTCCAAAAGGAGTACATAGTTTTTCCAATTTACACATGCAGAAATCCAGGGCGAAATGTGTGGGAATGGATATTAAGACCATGGGATAATGGTGACAGAAAAATAAAGTTGGATCAAGCCAAATTTACTGACATGAGCCCACTAAACAGAGACTGTCAGTTTAATGGTTTGTTTTTTGTTTGAGATAGAGTCTTGCTCTGTCACCCAGGTTAGAGTGCAGTGGTGCAGTCTTGGCTCACTGCAACCTGTAGCTCCAAGGTTCAAGGAATTCTCCTGCCTCAGCCTCCCAAGTAGCTGGGATTACAGGTGCCTGCCACCATGCCCAACTAATTTTTGTATTTTTAGTAGAGAAGGGGTTTCACTGTGTTGCCCAGTCTGATCTCGAACTCTTGACCTCAAGTGATCCACCAATTTAATGTTACAGCTTAGGAGGTTAGAAAGGGCTCTAAAAGTTAGTTTGTTTGGCTAAAACATGGAAGAAGGCCAGGTATGGTGGCTCATACCTATAATCCCAGCAGTTTGGGAGGCCGAGGCTGGGGGGATCACCTGAGGTCAGGAGTTCAAGACCAGCCTGGTCAACATGGCAAAACCCTGTCTCTACTAAAAATACAAAAATTAGCTGGGCATGGTGGCATGCACCTATAATCCCAGGTACTTGGGAGGCCGACGCGGGTGGATCATGAGGTCAGGAGATCAAGCCCATCCTGGCCAACATGGTGAAGCCCTGTCTCTACTAAAATAGAAAAAATTAGCTGGGCTTGGTGGTGTGCGTCTGTAGGCCCAGCTACTCAGGAGGCTGAGGCAGGGGAATCGCTTGAACCCAGTGGGCAGAGGTTGCAGTGAGCTGAGATCATACCACTACACTCCAGCCTGGTGACAGAGCAAGACTCTGTCTCGGAAAAAAAAAAAAATGCCAGTATTGCCTTGGTATACTCTAGACAAAAAGATCTAAAGCCTTAAGGAGTATTATTCTCAACAGCAAAAAGATGGACTCTACCTAAGTGTCCTTCAACAGATGAATGGATAAAGAAAATGTGGCATATACATACAATGGAATACTATGCAACCATAAAAAAGAATGAAATTCTGTCATTTGCAACAACATAGATGTAACTGGTGTTCATTATTGTAAGTAAAATAAACCAGGGACAAAAAGACAAGTACCATATGTTCCCACTTATATAAGAGAGCTAAAAAATTTGATCACATGGAGGTAGAGAGTGGACAGAGAAAACAGAGACTGGGAAGGGTGAGGGTGGAGGAGGAGGAAGGATAAAGAGAGATGGGTTAAAGAATACAAACATGCATTTAGATAGAAGGAATAAATTCAATGTTTGACAGCAGAGTAGGGCGACTATAGTATAACAAAAATGTATTGTTCTCAATTGATGGACGCCCTAAATATCCTGAGTGGATCAGTACACATTATATACATTTAACAAAATTTCACATGTATCCCATATATTTGTTCTAACTGAAAGAGTGGATTTGTCATGTAAGATTTGCTCACCCACCCCAGGAGTACCCAGAGGACATACCCTTCACCATGACTGTGAGAAATAAATTTGTGAAGGGAGCCCCAGCATTCCTGAAGTGTTCAGTGGTTGTCGTTCTTAGTAGGTCAGAAATTAGAGAGGGAACTGCTATCACTGAATTGGAAAACCTAAATGCAGTGGCAGTAGTTGAATCTGAGGGTGGCAGGGACCAAGTGGTACGTGCCACCACACCCAGCTAATTTTTGTATTTTTAGTGGAGACAGGGTTTCACCATATTGGCCAGGCTGGTCTCAAACTCCCGACCTCAGGTGATCCATCTGCCTCGGCCTCCCAAAGTGCTGGGATTACAGGCGTGAGCCACCGCACCCAGCCAATCCATGCAGTTTTAGCATTGATCCATCTCATAGTGGGCTCAGTGGATCCCTGAACCCATCCTGTGGTTATTTCTGCAGCTCAGGAATGCGTAATCAGAATAGACATGCTCAGCAGCTGGCAGAATCTCCAGTGCTTCCCTGGCCTGTGGAGTGAGGGCTATTATGGTGGCAAAGGCCAAGTGGAAGCCACAAGAACTGCCTCTACCTAGAAAAATAGAAAATGAAAAGCGATACCACATCCCTGGAGGGACTGCAGAGATTAGTGCCACCATCAAGGACGTCATTCCCCTAGGTAAAGAGCCATGTGACCAGTTATAGAAATGAGGACTGTAATTGCCATGATTGTGTGTGTGTGTGTGTATAAATTATCTTTGTTTTCTTCCCTCTCTTTTTCCTGTATCATATAACCTAAGATGTATTGACTTGATATTGTAGTATTTAAGAATTGTTTAAAAAGTTATGAGGTTTCCCAAAAGAAAAACAAAGCATTACATCGAAAAGATACTTACACTCATTATGTTTATCACCGCACTATACACAAAAACAAGGATATGGAATCAACCTAAGTATCCATCAGTGGGTGACTGGATAAAGAAAATGTGGTAGGCTACGAGTGGTGGCTCATGCCTGTAATCCCAACCCTTTGGGAGGCCGAGGTGGACAGATCACAAGGTCGGGAGATCGAGGCAATCCTGGCCAACATGGTGAAACCCCATCTCTACTAAAATACAAAAAATTAGCCGGGCATGGTGGTGCACACTTGTAGTCCTGGCTATTGGGGAGGCTGAGGCAGAGGAACCACTTGAACCTGAGAGGCGGAGATTGCAGCGAGCCGAGATCACGCCACTGCACTGCAGCCTGGTGATGGAGCAAGACTCCGTCTCAAAAAAAAAAAAAAAAAAAAGAAGAAGAAAGAAAATGTGTGTGTGTGTATTAGAATACTATTCAGCCATAAAAAAAATGAAATCATGTCTTTTGCAGCAACATGGATGGAACCGAAGGCTATTATCTTAAGTGAAACAACCCAGAAAGTCAAATGCCATGTGTTCTTATCTATAAATGGGATCTAAATAATGTGTCCACATGGACATGGAGTGTGTAGAGTGTGAAAGAACAGGCATTGAAACTTGAATGGGTGGGAGGGTGGGAGGGCAATGAGGGATGAGAGATTGCCTAATAGGTGCAATGTACACTGTTTGGGTGATGCTTACCCAAAAGCCCAGACTTCCCCGCTATGCAAAATATCCATGTGACAAAACTGTATTTGTACCCCTTACTTTTTTTTTTTGAGACGGAGTCTTGCTCTGTCGCCCAGGATGGAGTGCAGTGGCGCGATCTCGGCTCACTGCAAGCTCCGCCTCCGGGGTTCACGCCATTCTCCTGCCTTAGCCTCCTGAGTAGCTGGGACTACAGGTGCCCGCCACCACACCTGGCTAATTTCTTGTATTTTTAGTAGAGACGGGGTTTCACCGTGTTAGCCAGGATGGTCTCGATCTCCTGACCTTGTCATCCGCCCACCTCAGCCTCCCCAAAGTGCTGGGACTACAGGCATGAGCCACCGCGCCCGGCCGTACCCCTCAAATTTATACAAGTAAAAAAAAGTTATGGCATATCAAAGAGAAAACATGACGCAAGGACTTTACCTTCTCTTCTGGGAAAGGGGTTAGTGTGTTTTTGTTTGTATGCAGGATAGTGGTATCATGGTAGGTGGAATTATGACCGTGTTATTGTCTTTATTTGGTTATTAAGTATGGTTTAAGGAGATGTGTCTGGGTGCCAAGTTGCCATGGTTAAGTTTACTTGTCAACTTGACTGAGCCACAGGGTTCCCAGACAGTTGGTCAAGCAGTATTCTTGGTGTGTCTGTGCGGGTGTTTCTGGATGAAATGAACATTTATTTATTTAATTTATTTTTTGAGACTCAGTTTCACTCTGTCACCCAGGCTGGAGTGCAGTGGTGCAATCTCGGCTCACTGCAACCTCTGCCTCCTGGGTTCAAGTGATTCTCCTGCCTCAGCCACCCGAGCAGCTGGGAGTATAGGTACCCGCCACCACAGCCAGCTAATTTTTGCATTATTAGTAGAGATGGGGTTTCACCATGTTGACCAGGCTGATCTCAAACTCCTGACCTCAGGTGATCCACCCGCCTCAGCCTCCCAAAGTGCTGAGATTACAGGTGTGAGCTACTGCAACTGGCCAAAATGAACATTTAAACTGGCAGATGTATCAAGCAGATTCCCCTCCCTAATGTGGCAAGGCCCCATCCAATCAGTTGAATGCCTGAATGGGACAGAAAAGCCGACCCTCCCGTGAATAAGAGGAATGCTCCTCCTGCATGACTGTCTAGAGCTAGGATAGCAGTTTATTTTCTGCCTTTGAACTAGAACTGAAACAGTGGCTCTTCCTGTTTTGAGCCTGCATGGCTTTGAACTGGAAGGACATCTTCAGTCATCTGTGCCTCCAAGTTGGCTGCACATCTTGGGACTTGTCAGCCTCCATAATGACATGAGAAATCCCTCTCTGGCTGGGCGCAGTGGCTCACGCCTGTAATTGCAGCACTTTGGGAGGCCAAGGCAGGCAGATCACTTGAGGTCAGGAGTTCAAGACCAGCCTGGCCAACATGGTGAAACCCCGTCTCTACTAAAAATACAAAAATTAGCCAGGTGTGGTAGTGCGCACCTGTAATTCCAGCTACTCAGGAGGCTGAGACAGGAGAATTGCTTGAACCTGTGAGGTGGAGGTTGCAGAGAGCTGAGAACGTGCTATTGCACTCCAGTCTGGGTGACAGAGTGAGACTGTGTCTTAAATGATAAATAAATACATCCCTCTCTAACTCTGTCTCTATTTCTTTTTTTTCCTCTCTCGGTCTCTCTCTCCTTCTGTCTACACACACGCACACACACATATCCTATTTGCTATTTCTCTGGAAAACTCTAATACACTGATGTAGCAAAAATCATGAAATACATAAATGTTATGAGAAATTATTTTCTTTATTATGATAATTATTATGGAAGTTGATCATAAACACCTAGTATTGCATGCTAAGATATGACGGTTATCAAAGAGAAAACTTGAAAGAAAGTTTGAATTATGGAACGACTTCTTATTTGTTTCTGCAAGGTAAGAAGCTAGTTTGGTCCCAACTTTTTAAAGATGTGAGTTCACTCTTTGCTCACTCATGTGTTCGAGGTAGGCTACTCCCTCCCCATCTCCAGAAAGGTGAATCAAAATTTGTTTCAGGTTGTCACGGTAGTTTCTTTCCCTTTCATGGGGATTGATTGGTTTAGATGAGGTATGTGACTCCATCCTGGCCAATAACTACCTGGGGAAAGTCTACATATGTGTGTGTGTGTGTGTGTGTGTGTGTGAGAGAGAGAGAGAGAGTGTGTGTGTGTGTGTGCAGTGATGGGGTTTGGCTCTCTGTTAGAGGTTTTTTGCTTTCTTTTTTGAGATGGAGTCTTGCTCTGTCACCCAGGCTGGAGTGTAGGGGCACGATCTCGGCTCACTGCAACCTCTGACTCCCCGGTTCAAGTGATTCTCCTGCCTCACCCTCCTGAGTAGCTGGGATTACAGGTGCCCGCCACCACACACTAATTTTTGTATTTTTTAGTAGAGACGGAGTTTCACCATGTTGGCCAGCCTGGTCTTGAACTCCTGACCTCAAGTGATCCGCCTGCCTCGGCCTCCCAAAGTGCTGGGATTACAGGCATGAGCCACCACGGCCGGCCAGAGGTACTTTCAATTTTTCATCTGCCAGGCAGAAAAATGGGGGTGAGGGGTTGCAAAGGGAGCAGCCTCTGGTCCTTTTGTTACTTGGGTGTGGAAAATTAGGGTTTTCCTTTTGATTTAGCTCTTTCTAGGGAGTCAGCGTGAATTGGCCTTAGGTTCTCTGCTTCCAGACCCTATTCTCCTGCCTCAGAATGAATGAAGCCATTGCTTTCAGTGTTAAGACCTAGACACATGCAACAGGCAGTATAAGCAGGAGTTTGTAATGTAATAAGGTTTCCTGGGGTTTGTATGAGAGGGTTTCAATGATATTAATAACAAGAGCTAACTTCTGGGTAAAGGGGACACAATTGAGATTTGAGAGTCTGGATTATAGATAGTACATTCTGATATTATTAGTAGCTTAGCTGTTTCAACTGGCTGAAATGAGTCAAGATATTGACATGAAATTACTCACTGTAAGCGTTTATTGAGCACCTTCTTTGTGAAAGATTTAATTCTGTAAAGATTCTCTAATTGTTAGATTTCTAAGTCTCAAGGGAAGAGATAGTGAATATGTGTCAAAGTTTTATTTAACGCAAGAAATGTAGACCTGCCAAGTGAGAACAGAGACTATTCAGAGCTTGCTATAGCAATAGGGGCAGCGACCACACTTGAGTTTGGCAGAGACTCAAAAGCAATCGGGAAGAGGGGAGACTTTACAGTGGAGGAAAAAAGGGATGCTTCTGATGTGTTCTGATTTAGGGATGTTGGCAGGGGAAGCTGGAAGTTGTCTAACTTGAAGCAGGAAACTTAACAGGATTGGTTTGGGAAGAATATTTGGCTTTCTCTGGCTGATACTGGTGTCTGAGGACAGAGAGGTTAAAATAGAAAAGTTGGCAGCCTTCTTGAGAAAATTCTGACCATTTTGAGCTGATTGCTGTAGAGGTTATGGTTTGGCTTATGTGAGTTAGAGTGTTATTATCATATGCGGTTTAGCCATTGTCCATATGTATAAGTCTCTCACTCATTAATAAGGGAGCCAGCAGAATCATAAAACGGATTTCTACCAGTTCTGAAAAATGATATTTATATAATCGTTGGGGAAAGGAATGCTGAAATAAAACTGCTCAGTTGATACAAAACCGGTTAATTTTTCTCAGAAAAATGCAACCTTAACCTTTGGAATTTTATCTATCTATCTATCTATCTATCTATCTATCTATCTATCTATCTATCTATATACACACTGAATTCCCTGCCCCTTTTTCCCCTAACACCTCATCAGTTTCCTACCAATTGATGTTTGATTTCATCCTTTTGTAAATCTTCTGGGCCCTAATCAATTGTTATTCAAACAAAGTTACATTTCCTGTGGGTGTCAGATGATCAAGTAGGCTTATTACAAAATTCTCTAGAATGAAACTAATAAAAGTCACAAAATATTATCTTTTGACTTTTTTCCAAGTTTTGAATAAAATTTTAGGTATTTTCTCACTTAATTTTCACCACAGTCCAATGCAAGTAACTCATTGTAGTAGTACAATGATTATCCCCATTTCCCCGATGAGAAAACTGAGCCACAGTTTCAGTAACTTGAAGAGTAACCAGTAATTCAACGACAGCCACAGAATGGCTGAGCACTGGCTGTACTGCCGCTTTAGGTTATAAGAGTGAGGGAAGGCCTGCCACGCTGCAGGTTTCGGGCAATGAAATTATTTTTTCCACTGCTTTATTTCCACCCATTTATCTGGCTTCTAAATCCAAAATCCTTTTCTAAGACAGTTCACAGGGGTGGAGGGAAGAGGCTGGGCTGTGCTCCACATCAGGCTGCCTTTGCTAGCTGTGTTGTCTTGAGCAAGTCATTTATTAATTAGCTTCCTGGCCCTCTGTTCTTCGCTTGTAAAAGAGCTGGAACCGCGTTCTCGGTGTGCAGGTGCTGGTGTGTGGCGCTGGGGTAAACTCACAAAATAACCGTTGAGGCCGGGCGCGGTGGCTCACGCCTGTAATCCCAGCACTTTGGGAAGACGAGGCGGGCAAATCGCTTGAATTCAGGAGTTCGAGACCAGCCTGGGCAACATTGTGAGACCCTATTAATACAAACAACAACAACAATAATAACCAAAAATAGTCCGTCGTGGTGGCACTCGCCTGTGATCCCAGCTACTCCGGAGGCTGAGGTGGGAGAATGGCTTGAGCCCAGGAGCGGAGGTTGCAGTGAGCCGAGATCGCGCCACTGCCCTCCAGCCTGGGTGACCGAGTGAGATCACGTCTCTAATAAGAAAAAGACAAAAAACACAAAGTAACCATTGAAAGATAGCGTCGTCGGCTGGGTTCACCACATCCCAGCGCACGCCGGAGCAGGCTGTAGCAGTTTTAATAAAGTGTCTATAAAGAAAGCTGCCTTCCATCTTCAGTGGCGCCGCCTCCCACTTCAGTCCCCTTCTCGGCCCCACCCCAGCCCTTCCCTCGTTGTCATGGAGGCCCCAGGACGCCAGAGCGGGATAGTTCCGCTCCCGCGGCACCAGAGGCGGGGCACGCAATGACGCATGCGCTCGCTTGGCTGCCCTGGCGCCGCGGTGGCTGCCGGGACTGAGCTCCTAGCACCCGATCGGGAAGTGGCGGGCGGAGTCCCGGGTCCAGTCGCCGCCTCAGCTACCGCCGCTGCCGCCGCCGCCGCCGCCACCGCCAGTGGTGAGACCCCGACCTGGCGGGTCAGCGCTGGGCGTGCGTGCGGGCAGGCGGGGGCGCTGACGAGAAGCAGGAAGAGGGTGCAGTGCCGGCGTGGGCGGCCGGCCGAGGCGGAGGCGCAGGAAGGGGGCGGCGAGTCGTGCGAGGCTGCCCTTCTCACTCAGGTAGGGGCTGCGGCCGCCGGGTGTGGGGCGCAGAGCCCCGGCTTGCTGTTCCCTGGGACGCAGGCGCGCCGCCGCCTCCCGGGAGGCTGAGCGTGACCTCCACCTCACGGGAAGCTGGGACCGCCGTTCTCGAAGCGAAACACCCAGCACGCGAACCGTTCCCCGGAGCATTGTCTTTAGGCCAGAGGTTCATTGAGCAAACTTTTGGGTTGGAAAGAGGGAAAATTCGCGGTCTGCCGCCTGACTGTGCCTCTTCCAAGCCTCCAAGTTCACGGGCGCGGTAGCCAAGCGAACCGTGTGTGGAGTTTGAGCAGCCGCGGGGTCCAGCCAGCTCAAGACTGTGATTTAAAATGATGCTCATACGCGGACTGCTTTCTAGGCTACCTTTTGGAGATTTGGTTTGTGATGATCCCTAAACTTTAACGATAGTAGTTGATTTCTGCAGTCTAAACAACGCTGCGGCCCCCTTTTCGCCCACCTCCCCACTTCCGTCATTTAAGGGCGAAGCAGCCTGCTTTTCATAGCCGGGTCCTGAGGTGCCAGGGACACTAACGAGGCTGGGTAAAAGTGAAAGAGAGGGGAAGTAGTAAGGTTGAAAGAGGTCGAATGGTGGCAAGAATCGTGGGCTTGGAGGCAGATTTCAGTTTAATTTTTGGGTTTTCCGTGTCTGCCCACGGAGGAACCAGCCAACTCCTTGAGTTGTGGTTTTGTTTAATTGTAAAATGGACATGGTGATGTAGCCTGTTTACTCCATAGGGGGGTCCAGAGATCTAAAACTTAGTACACATATTGGGTAGTCTTTGAAAAAGGAGGAAAAGTTAGGCGGAGCACGTGATGGTGAAAGACAGACATTGCGAAGCTTTCTGCTCTAGATGCCTTTGAACGTTCCCGAACCTCACAGGTGGCCTTTGTTTTAAAGGCCTTTACCAGCGTTCCAGGTCTGGTGTAAGGAGCACTTGAGTTAGGAGTCAGGAGGTTTGGTTCCTGGCCCTGGCTCTTCCATCTGTGCGACCTTAACCAGACAGCTTCACTTCAGATTTCACGTATTAAAATAGGAATAACACTAATACCTGTTTGCTCCTAGAGTTGCGAGGGTCAAATACTGTAAGCATTTAGTTTGTTGTAAACTGTACGGCTTTATTTACTTTTTTTTTTTTTTTTTTCTGAGACGGAGTCTCGCACTGTCGCCCGGGCTGGAGTGCAGTGGCGCGATCTTGGCTTACTGCAAGCTCCACGTCCCTGGTTCAAGCGATTCTCCTGCCTCAGCCTCCCAAGTAGTTGGGATTACAGGCACCCGCAACGACACCCTGCACATTTTTTAAATTTTTAATGGAGACGGAGTTTCACCATGTTGGCCAGACTCGTCTAGAACTCCTGACCTCGTGATCCGCCCTCCTCGGCCTCCCAAAGTGCTGGGATTACAGGCGTGAGCCGCTGCGCCCGGCCTATTTAAATCTTTTAGAGTAATTTTTTTAAAGTCCAGATTGAGGTCCTGCCTTTGCAACGTGAAATAAGACACAAATGTTTCCTGTTCTAGAAATTTACTTTTTGCTCCCACCTTCTCACTTGACAATTCTCCTTTCTTCTTCTTGGCCCCACGCTTTCCCTCCTCCCAAGGCTGTCTCCTACTTTCCTCAGCCCGGTAAATCATTCCCTTCTTTCAGATCCAACTCAAAATAGTAATACTGAAATAACACGTTTTTATGACTTTACTGTTTAAAAAATAACATACACATTTTCTCATTCTTACAATTGGGCTGGATGTGGACAGCTTTCATAGCGTCCTCATTTCACTTATGAAATTGAATGTAGAGGCCTTGTGGGTTGCCTAGCCAGGTGGCTTTAGGAATTGAAACTGAGGCCGGGTGCGGTGACTCACGCCTGTAATCTAAGCACTTTGGGAGGCTGAGGTGGGCGGATCACTTGAGGTCAGGAGTTCAAGATCAGCTTGGCCAACATGGTGAATGAACCCCGTCTCTACTAAAAATACAGACATTGGCGGGGCGTGGTGCTGCGCGCCTGTAGTCCCAGCTACTCGGGAGGCTGAGCCAGGAGAATCGCTTGAGCCCAGGAGGCGGAGGTTGCATTGAGCCGAGATTGCACCACTGCACTCTGCCAGCCTGGGCGGCAGAGCGAGACTCTGTCTCAAAAAAAAAGAAAAAAAAATTGAAACTGAGAGAAGGCAGGTTTTTGATTCACCGTCCAGTGATTGTTCACGCCTTAATTGAAATTCAGTCTGATTATTTCTTATCAATGCTTATATTTAAAATTTTTAGCTCAATGCTTCCATTTTCTCAAATCTAAGCAGCATGTAGACAAGGATTTATCTTCCGTAACCTTTCAAAGCTTAGAGCACAGTGCCTCACAAACAAGATATTTAATAAAGGCTTGTGAAACCAGTAATAATGGGACCAGAGCAATTTAAAGATGATGTTCCATGTGTTGTTCATTTAACAAATATTTATTGAGCTATCTGTGCTTAAAAGCTTTCAAAGTATGAGTCTTTTTCCTCCCAGCTGACACTAGTCTTAACAGTGTCAAATTCATTTATATAGTCAGCTTGAGGTCTTCATAGACCCTCTGTAGGGTTCTAGCAGAGTTCAGAAGAGAGGTGTGTTTAGAATTCTTGTTGGTTGACCTGTAGCTTCCCTGGTTGTAGTGAAATTGCTTTGAGTTGTAATTTTAGAACTAGACAAACAACAACCACAACATAGAAGTTGCCTCAAACCACCTCCCTCCAAATTGGAAATTTTCTGTAGACTTTTTTTTTTTTTTTGAGACAGAGTTTTGCTGTATCCCCCAGGCTGGAGGGCAGTGGCGGGATCTCAGCTTACTGCAACCTCTGCTGGACTCAAACAGTTCTCGTGTCTCAGCGTTCTGAGTAGCCCGGACTACACGTATGTGTCACTATGACTGGCTAATTTCGTAGAGATAGGGTTTCACTATGTTGCCCAGGCTGGTCTCTCAGCCTCCCAAAGTGCTGGGATTACAGACATGAGCCACTGTGCCCGGCTCTCTGTAGACATTTCTAACAAATAGTATAATAATTCAGCCTCTTCATCACTTAATAATTGAGAGTTCACCAGTTGTAAAAATATGCCATTTTATGTATAAGCAGTTCTGATGGTTCTCTTTTTTTGCAGTGAGCCTAAATCCACCTTCTTCTAATTTCTGCCCTGTAGTCCTCATGTTTCTACAGCAGTGTTGTCCAATAGAAATATAATGGGAGTGGGAAGTGTGAGCCACACGTGTAATTAAAAATATTCTAGGCTGGGTGCAGTGGCTCATGTTTGTAATCCTAGTGCTTTGGGAGACTGAGGTAGGAGGATTGCTTGAGGCCAGGAGTTCAAGACCAGCCTGGGCAACATAGCAAGACCTTGTCTCTAAAAAGTTTTTAAAAAAATTAACTGTGTGTGGTGGCGTGTACCTGTAGTACTAGCTAGTCAGGAGGCTGAGGTGGGAGGATTGCTTGAGCCCAGGAGTTCAAGGCTACATTGAGCTATGATCACACCACTGTACTCCAGCCTGGGCAACACAGTGAGACACTGTCTCTTAATTTTTTTTTAATAGCCATATTTTAAAAGAAAAATTGGTGAAATTAATTTTAACATTTTATTTAACCCAGTATATTCAAAATAGTATCACTTCAACATGTAATTAATGTAAAATATCTCGTTAGTAATTAAATAGTTTTTTTCTTTATACTAAATCTTTGAAATCTTGTGGGTTTTTACACTTGAAAGTCCATCTCAATTTTAACTAGCCACATTTCACATGTTTAATAGGCACATGTGGCTAGTGGCTAATATATTGGACAGCACAGTTCTGGAACTTTAGGGAATAATTCTGTTTCTTTTCTTTCTTTCTTTTTTTTTTTTTTTTTTGAACAAGGGTCTTGGTCTGTCACCCAGGCTAGAGTGCAGTGGCATTATCACAGCTCACTGCAGCCTTGACCTTCCAGGCTGAAGTGATCCTCCCACTTCCGCCTCCCGAGTAGCTGGGACTGTAAGCACACATCACCATGCCTGCCTGATTTTTTGTATTTTTGTAGACAGGAGGTATTACCATGTTGTCCAGGCTGGTCTCCAACTCCTGGGCTCAGGCAGTCTGCCCACCTCGGCTTCCCAAAGTGCTTCAGCCACTATGCCTGGCCTCTTTTTTTCCTATAATGGCTAGTACAGTGCTTGGCGTGTAATAAGCGCTAATGAAATATTTCTTGAGTACTTGAATAAGTGAATAAATGCAAGTGCTAGAGAACTAATAATAAAAGGTAATTTTGTTTGGGAAGTAACTTGTTGAGATCTGTGGATTTGGAGTGCAGGTTTGAGTGACTTGAATTTGTATTAAAGACACTTATTTTTTCTTTGTAGCATTATGGATCCAAGCCTGTTGAGAGAAAGGG
The DNA here is from genome assembly GCF_000001405.40 of Homo sapiens. Classification (NCBI taxonomy): domain Eukaryota; kingdom Metazoa; phylum Chordata; class Mammalia; order Primates; family Hominidae; genus Homo; species Homo sapiens. The sequence goes on along the minus strand of NC_000008.11, from coordinate 30,653,570 downwards.
AGCTGTTCAAAAAACGAGCTCTTTCTACTCCTGTAGTAGAAAAACGTTCAGCATCTTCTGAGTCATCATCATCATCGTCAAAGAAGAAGAAAACAAAGGTAGAACATGGAGGATCGTCAGGCTCTAAACAAAATTCTGGTTAGTAAAATTGTTTAGGACTGTTTGGTTTTTATTCAGATTATTCAGGAGGAAACCGTTTAGTTATGGCTAGTTCATTTTTCAGTTCAGCACTCATGTTGATAGGCACTTTGTTGAATATAAAGGATGGGACAAGAGAATTTAAGCTCTTAGGATGTTAATAGTCTTGTGCTGTAGTTAAAATTTAGGTTATTACCTCTTTAAAAAAACTTTATTTAGGTTTAATTTACATACCATACAGTTCATTCATTTTAAGTTTACAGTTCAAAGATGTTTGGTAAATTTACAGAATTTTGCAGCTGTTATTACAGTCCAATTTTAGAACATTTCCATCACCCCCAGCAGATCTGATGTGCCCATTTGCAGTGACTTTTCCCATCCCTGCCCCGGAAAACCAATAATCTGCTTTCTGGCTCTGTATATTTGCCTTTTCTGGATATTTCCTATAAATGAAATTGTACAGTAAGTGGTCTTTTGTGTGTTGTTTTTTTCACTTGGCATATTTTTGAGTTCCATCCATGTAGTATGCATCAGTACTTCATTCCATTTTTATTGGTAAAGCGTATTCCATAGTATGGATATATGTACCACAGTTTGTTTATCCATTCACCAATAAACGGTTATTTGGATTATTTTCACTTTTTGGCTGTTTTGAATAGTGTTGGTATGAATATTCATGTACAAGTCTTTGTGTAGACATATCTTTTTATCTCTTTTGGATAGAGACCTAGAAGTAGATTTCTGGGTCATATGTCAAATTTATATTTAACTTGTTAAGAAACTGCTAAAATAGCTGTACCATTTTATATTTCCTCCAGCAATGTATCAGGGTTCTAGTTTTTTCTCATCCTTGCTAACGCTTGAAATTCTGTTTTTTTTTTTTTAATCATAGCTATTTCTATAGTTGTGAAGTTCTATCATTGTGGCTTTAATACGCATTTCCTTAATGAGTAATGATGTTGAACATTGTTTCATGTGCTTATTGACCATGTGTATTCCTTGGTGAAATGTCTATTCAATTTTTTTTTGCCCATAAAAAAAACTGAGGTATATTTCCTCTCTCTATTGATTTAATAATTCTTCATATATTCTGGCTACCATTCTTTGATCTGGTATACATTTGCAAATATTTTCTCCAAGCAAGTGCTTGTCATTTTATCTTCTTAATAGTGTCTTTGTATGTACAAAAGTTTTTAATTTTGATGAAGTCCACCTTACCAGTTTTTTTCTTTTATCATTTGTATTCTTGGTGTCATATCTAAGAAATCTTTGCCTGACACAGGTCATGAAAATTTTTTTCTGTGTTTTCCTCTAAGAGTTTTGTAGTTTTAGCTCCTGCATTTAGGTTTGTAGTATATTTGAGTTGATTTTTGTGTATGGATTAGCATAAGAGTCAAAATTTATCTTTTTGCGTGTTCTTATGAAGTTGTCCCAGCATCATTTTTTGAAATGATGATCTTTCCCCTGTTGAATTATATTGCGCCCTTGTTGAATATTAGTAGACCATAAATCAAAGAGTTTATTTCTGGAGTCTTAGTTTGGTTCCATTGACTTCTGTGTTTATCTTTATGCCAGTATCATTTCTCTTGAGTGCTGTAGCATTGTAATTAAGGTTTGAGACTGAGAAATGTAAGTCCATCAACTTAGTTCTTTTTTATTTCAAGAATTGTTTTAGTTTTTCTGCATAAATTTTAGGGTCAATCTATCAACATTTGCAAAAAAGCCTGCTGGGATTTCCATAGGGATTGAATTGAATCTATAAATCAATTTGGGGAAGAACTGCCATCTTAACAATATTAGATCTTCCAGTCAATGAATAGATGGCTTTTTACAAATTTTTTGTAGAGACAGGATCTTGCTCTGTTGCCCAGGCTGGTCTCAAACTCCTGGCCTCAAGCAATCTTCCTACCTCAGCCTCCCAGAGTGTTGGGATTATAGGTGTGAGTCATTACACCCAGCGGTTATTTTATTCTGATTCAATCTCACTTATGAATGAAATTGTTTTCTTTGATTTTTTTTTTTAAATTGTTCATTGCTAGTATATAGAAACAAGAGTTTTTTTTAATACATTGATCTTGTATTCTGTAACCTGACTGAACTTGTTTTTTATTTCTCGTAGTTTTTTGTGTGGTTTCCCTAGGATTTTCTATGTCAAGATTATGTCATCTGTGAATAAGAACAGTTTTCTTTCTTTCTTTCCGGTGTGAACTTTTTAATTTTTATTTATCTTGCCTGTCTGGACTGGCTGTACATTGAATAGTAAAAGTAGCTACCTTTGCCTTGTTCCTGATCTTAGGGGCAAAGCATTCGGTTTTTCACTCTTACGCATGATATTACTGCAGGTTTTTGTACATGCCCTTTCCAGTTGAAGAAGTTCCTTTCTATTTCTAGTTTGTTGAGAGGTGGTTTTTTTTTTTTTGAGACGGAGTCTTGCTCTGTTGCCCAGGCTGGAGTGCAGTGGCGCAATCTCAGCTCAGTGCAAGCTCCACTTCCCGGGTTCATGCTGTTCTCCTGCCTCAGCCTCCCTAGTAGCTGGGACTACAGGCACCCATCGCCATGGCTGGCTAATTTTTTTGTCTTTTTAGTAGAGATGGGGTTACACTGTTAGCCAGGATGGTCTCGATCTCCTGACCTTGTGATCCACCCGCCTTGGCCTCCCAAAGTGCTGGGATTACAGGCGTGAGCCACCGCACCCAGCCTTTTGTTTGTTTTCTTTCGAGACAGCGTCTTACTCTGTTGCCCAGGCTGGAGTACGGGCATGATCATGGCTCACTGCTGGCGTGATCATGGCTCACTGCAGCCTCGAAACTCCCCAGCTCAAGCAAGCCTCAGTCTCCCGGGTAGCTGAGACTACAAGCACATGCCCACCACATTTGGCTAATTAAAACTTTTTTTTTTTTTTTTTGGTAGAGATGGGGTTTTACTTTGTTGCCCAGGTGGGTCTCAAACTCCCCGCTTCAAGGGATCCATCCCCCTTAGCCTCCCAAAGTGCTGGGATTATAGGCATAAGCTACTGCATCTGACTGAGAGTTTTTAGTCATAAATGGGTACTGGATGTTGTCTGATGCTTTTTATGTATCTAATGAGATGAGCATGTTCTCACTCTTTAGTCTATTAATATGATATATTAACATTAATTGATATTTAGATGTTCAAACAACCTTGCATTTATTCCTGAAATAAATCCTACTTGGTTATGGTGTATAATCATTTTTATTTGTTGTGGTACTCAATTTGCTGGTATTTCGGTCAGGATTTTTGCATCTCTATTCCTGAGGGACTTGATGTGTATGTAGTTTCGTTTTTCTCTGGTGCCTCTCAGGGTAATTCTGGCCTCCTTAAACGATTTGTGAAGTGCTCCCTTTTCACCTATTTTCTGAAAGAGTTTGTGAAACTTTGTTATTTTTTAAAATGTTTGATAGAATTCACTGGTGAAGCCATTTGGGCTTCAGCTTTCCTTTGTGGAAAGCTCTTTGTAAGAATTTTTTCTTTTCAGTTTACTCAGATTTTCTATTTCTTTTTGAGTTACTTTTGGTACTTTGTGGCTTTTTAGAAGTTTATTCATTCATCATTTACATTGTCTGAGGTTTTTCAAAGTACTCCCTTATAATCCTTTTGATATCTATAAAGTCAGTAGTGATATCCCCTCTCATTTTTTTTGAGACGGAGTCTTGCTCTGTCTCTCAGGCCCCCCAGAGTAGCCGGGATTACAGGTGTGTGCCACCACGCTCAGCTAATTTTTGTATTTTTAGTAGAGACAGGGTTTTGCCATGTTGGTCAGGCTAGTCTTGAGCTCCTGACCTCAGGTGATCTGCCTGCCTCAGCTTCCCAAAGTGCTGGGATTACAGGCCTGAGCCACCTCACCCAGTGTCCTCTTTCATTTCTGATTTTAGGAATTTGTCTTTTCTCCCTTTTTTCTTGATGAGTCTAGCTAAAGGTTCATCAATTTTGTTGATTTTTTTCAAAGAACCAACCTTTGGTTTCATTGGCTTTTCTGTTTTGGTTTTTGTTTGTTTGTTTGTTTGTTTTTATTTCCACATCAGTATTTATTATTTCCTTCCTTCTGCTTGCTTTGGGTTTAGTTTACTCTTACATTATTATCTTTTAAACAATGTCAGTGGAACTTAATTCACAGCTGAAATTATTTAGCTACTTCAAATTGTAGCAATAATAATTTTTATTGATGTTAATTTTTTACACATCCTACAAGCTGTTTTATAACTGATTTGGAAGCAAAGCTTTTTTAAAAATCAAAGTAGGCCTGTCATTCTTATAATATATATTAGGTTTATATGTCGTTCCAATGAAATGTACATAGAATTAACTCATCATAAACAAAAATGTAAAAACTGTTTTAAACATTAACATAGCCACTCTCAGGCTTAAGCCACTTGAGCCTTTGACCTGCTCAAGAATGTCTTTGCATTTTGTAGTTTAGGCTACAGGTATTGGGTAGCGAATTTCATCTTCCCCACAAACAGGTCCCATTCGACAGCAGGAAGAGCCCTTGTAGGGTTTTACTTCTCTTTGGTTGGCCAGGGTTTTCCCTAACAGTCAGGGTAGGATAAACTGTGTTGTGGTAACAATCCCAAAAATCTCAGTTTCTTAAAACAACAGAAGCTTGTTTCTCCTTCATACTACATGTTTATCATGGATTGGTAGAAGTCTTAGCTAGTTATAGTCACTCAAGGACCCAGGCTGGCAGAGCAGCTGGAAGCTCAAATGTTTGTGAGTTCTGTGCTAGCAGGAAAACTAACTCTGGAAGAGCTTGCACTAGCAGTTAAGTGCTGTGGCCTGAAGGTGACACATGTCACATCCTCTCACAGCTCATTGGCCAGAGTTAGTCACAAGTCACTCATTGGCCAAAGTTATGTTCCCAGCCATAGGGGGCTCTGAAGTGAATGCTTTCCTTAATGAAGAGAGCTGGAAATATTGGGTGTAACAACTAAAGGCTACCATGCCACTCTAGTTCAGGCCACGGTCATTGGATTGCTAGGTTAGCTGTTGACCAGGTCTCCTGGTTTAGCTGCTTTAGTGTTCATTCTTCATACAGCTGTGATTTTTCTCATTAGATCATGTTGCTTTCAGCTCAAGCTGATTGTTACTGTTTTTCAGATAAAGTCCATGTTTTACTGCAGCCTGCGTGCCTGCCTCATCTGGCCTCTAATTATCTCTTAGGTGTGGTATCATACTGTTCTCCTTGTACTCTGTCCTAGTGATACTGACTTGTAGCTCCTCCAACATGCTTTATTCTCTCTTGCCTCTTGGCTTTTATTCGTATTATTTCTTCTTCCTGGAATATTCTTTCTTACCTCCTACCCTCTTTTGGTTCTGTCCTGTTCTTTTAAGTTTCAGCTTAAAAGTCATATTATTCTCATTCTTCAGTGTGAATTCACTGTATAACCTTTGAGTTCCCATATCACTACTCTTTTTGACAGAGCTTCCAATGTGCTCCATTGTAGTGACGTGGTTCCTTGTTTGCCACTCTGCCCTCAGTATCTGGCCTAATTGCTGACATGTAGTAAGCACTCAGTAAATATTTGTTGGATGACTAAATAATTACAGGATAGGGTGGGGGAGAAAGTTGGTAATGTACACTATTAAAAAATCTGATTATTAAAGGACTTGTATACTTACCATCTATTGCCAAGAATCCAACGTTTGTGAAAATGTATATGGTTTTAACAGTGCTCAGTTCCTGGTTTCCAAAGTATTTTATATATCCAAGCTTCACAAATCCTTTTAAAGTTGGTTATATTATTTGTGTTTGTTTCTAATGTGAGAATAAATATAAAAAATACTTTGTGGAAGAGTTATTTCAGACCGGCAGTTAAGATTCTTTTGTTTGTTTGAGACGGAGTTTCACTCTTGTTGTTCAGGCTGGAGTGCGATGGCATGATCTCAGCTCACTGCAACCTCTGCCTCCCAGGTTCAAGTGATTCTGCCTCAGCCTCCCAAGTAGCTGGGATTACAGGGGCCCCATTCCCATGTCTGGCTAATTTTTTTGTATTTTTAGTAGAGATGGGGTTTCACCATGTCAACCAGGCTGGTCTCGAACTCCTGACCTCAGGTGATCCACCTGCCTCGGCCTTGCAAACTGCTAGGATTGCAGGCGTGAGCCACCGCGCCCAGCCGATATTCTTTAAATTGAAAAGAACAGATTTCCTCTCTTCACCACACAGTTATTTATTGCACACAAAAAATTCCATCAGTAATAGAGATTTAAAAAAAGTCTTTTATAATACCTAGTGCTTTTTTTTGTCCCCACAGCCCTCTTAATATACCAGCTATTCTAATTCTCCATATTTGTTTTCAAACCTTACTCATGTGTATATTTATAATATCAATAATTGTATTAAAACTTTTATATGGTGAATTTATTTTTTACTTTTAAATACTTGTCTATCTTGCCAGACTTTTCGGTTGCTTTTTTTTTTTTTTTTTTTTTTTTTTGAGACGGAGTCTTGCTCTGTCACCCAGGCTAGAGTGCATTGGCATCATCTCGGCTCACTGCAACCTCTGCCTCCTGGGTTCAAGCAGTTCTCCTGCCTCAGCCTCCCGAGTAGCTGGGATTATAGGTGCCCACCACCATGCCCGGCTAACTTTTGTATTTTTAGTATAGACGGGGTTTCACCATCTTGGCCAGGCTCGTCTTGAGCTCCTGACCTTGTGATCCATCCGCCTTGGCCTCCCAAAGTGCTGGGATGACAGGCATGAGCCACTGTGCCTGGCCTTCAGTTGCTTTTTAATAATTCATTAAGTTGATGTGCCACATTTAGTTAAAGTCTTAGTTATTTTCAATTTTTTGTTATTTTGAGTAATGCCATTGTAAAAAATCTTTGTACCTTGAGCTTGTACATTTGAACTAAGTGCTTAGGATACATTTCCAGGAGTGGCATTTCTGACTTAGGGGTAGTGTGGTGGTTAAGAGCATGCTTTTGTTTGCTCATGGGTGATAGCAAAATAGTGTTAGGGTCACAAAATATCTATATAGCCCTTGGAATTCCAAGAAATAAAACTGCCATATTTCAACAGGTGTTGAGTGGCCCTATCTTTTGACCTTTTTTGGGGGGATGGGGGGAGGGGCAGTCTTTCTGCCTTGGTTATCTTAGCCTTTGAGAGTATAAATAAGAGAGGTAAAATGAAAGAACAAACTCAGGAAATGAAGGGGTGTAGTAGTAAGTTTTAGTTTGAAAATAGACTAGGCCTTTCCTATATCATGCATTTCTAACTAAACAGTAAGTCAGTTTTGTGAGAATTTTGTGCAAATATACTTGTGGCATTTTTGATTATTTTGAGACTTTTTCATACTAATCCTACATAAAACTCAAGTCATTATATATTTATATAAGTTGTTTTCAGTAAATTAGAAAATACTACTTTTTAATAAATAGGAACTTTATATATATAAGTGGAAGTATTTTACTTCAGACTTAGAAACATGTTTTAAATAGCCTTTTTGTTACCAACACACTATTTTTTGTCTACATGAATTGGTTAGTTATAAAATCATTTTAGCATCATTAGCCTTGCTTGTCTTTTCCAGCTTATCTTTTGCTGCTTAATATTGAACTCTAGGAATCTTTTATCCAGTTTTTGAAGTGTCAGTATTAAACAGATTAGTAAATTCACATTCATGAAGTTTTACTGTATATTTAATGAAATGGCTATACACACAAACAGTGCATGTTTAACTTTTTTTTCCCCTTCTACTAGAAATGTTTTAACCATTCAGTCAGAATTTGTTTTGTAGCAACAGTTGGCCTCAGAATATATTTTTTTTCTCAGAAGAGGTTGAGCTGCTTTCAGAGATTTTGTTCATCTTCTATAGAGTGTTAGACCACTTCAGTTTCACGTTTTCTGATGTTGTCCATCATACTTCTAAGAGGGTTGGGTTCACTTTTCAAGTCTTTCACGGTTTTGTTTTTTACACAGCAGCAGCAGTCAAGCACTTCATAAAGGAAAGCCAGCACCACTAAAGATACCACTGTAAATATAAATAAAAGCAGGATGACAAAGCAGGCAGTGTTCCAGTTGTCATGGAAAGGGTAAATTTTTTGAACTTGAAAACCAAGGTACTGATAAACAGAGGTAGTGGTTTCATTCCAGTGGCTGGAAGCCATTCTTAGAGATTCCACTTGCTCTTTTGAATCTATAAAAAAGGTAGAAAATGAATTTATGTAGCAAACTACAGATCTGTTAATTCAAATCTCAGTACTAAGATTTCTTAGTAAATTTGTATAGGCAACATGAATCTTCCTTAATTAATGCCTAAATGGTAGTTTTGAATTTTTTTGTATATCTGGGCCAACGTCCTTAGTCAACCATACCCTGTTTTTTAACATATATTATTTGCTAGATGAATATGTATATTTAAGATTCAGGCCAGGCATGGTGGCTCACGCCTGTAATCCCAACACTTTGGGAGAGTGATGTGGGCAGATCACTTGAGCCCAGGAGTTCAAGACCAGCCTGGTCAACATGGCGAAACCCGTCTCTACAAAACATACAAAAATTAGCCAGGCATGGTGGTGTGTGCCTATAGTCCCAGCTGCTTGGGAGGCTAAGCCGGGAAGATTGCTTGAGCCAGGGAGGCGCAGGTTGTGGTGAGCTAAGATCGTGCCACTGCATTCTAGCCTGGACAATGGGAATGAAACCGTTTCTCAAAAAAAAAAAAAAAAATTCATATACCGAAATTAACTGCTAATGGAAGGGGAAAAGGCAGCTGAATTGGTTTAAAACTTGATTAAAGCAGTGGTCAGTGAGCTGTTATCTACAAAAAACCTTGGCGTTTTAAGGTTATGTTCTTCAAACTGCCCCTGGAAAAGCTTTTATCATTAGCCTTGTGGATTCTTCTTACCTTTTTGGTTCAGTGTATTTCTGTCTCCTGTTTCCCCTTCTTTAAACTTCGATGACAGGTGATCTGAATCAGAAATAGTGGCTGAGTGAAAAATAGTAGAGAAAGAAAACCAAATAATGCCAATTTTCAGAATGAGGATAATAAAATTTTAGGTTAGAGTGATCTGTGAAGAGACCCTAATCTTGGGGTTATAAATGATAGTCTTAAGTGTTTCGTATACCTGAGTGACCCATAGACATAAATATTTAAAAAAACAGACAAATTCAGCCCTCCCAAAGGTATCAGTTATTATTCCATTTCACAAAAGAAGCTGGTGAGTTCAAGTTTCAGTATTCTTGAATTAAGTTTAGCTCTTGTTGACCTGGTACTTGTTAGCTCTTAAATGGGGACTGTTAGAATCAAAGATTTGTCAGTATGGAACTATAGTAATGAGGAACTAAATTAGTTTTTACTGTCTTGATCTCTAACAAATATTTTAACATTTAGTTTTAAAAATTATAAGATAACCTGTGCACTAAGAACATTTTGGAAATAAGAGAAAAAATGTAGTTCTACTTCATTAATTTATCGGTTGTCATTCTGTATGCTTTTCCTTTACTACATAGTTGTAAACAGGATTTTATTTTTATAACAAATGTTTATTGATTACCTAATGTGTACCAAATATTTTTGTAAATTCTGGAGATACCTTTTGTGTGAGAGTGTTTCATTTAACGAAAACTACAAAGTAGTATGAACCCCATGTACTTTTTTTTTTTTCTTTCTTACTAGCCTTGCAGATGCAGGGCCTCAAAAATTGGGTTAAGACTTAGAATTATTACTCTCTGAAGAAATCTTTAGTAAAAGGTGAGAGATTTGTATGATCTGAAGAGAAACCAGAGTATCCCATGTACTGTCTTTTTTTTTTTTTTTTTAGGCAGAGTCTTGCTCTGTTGCCCAGGCTGGAGTGCAATGAATGATGCAATCTCAGCTCACTGCAACCTCCGCCTCCTGGGTTCAAGTGATTCTCCTGCCTCAGCCTCCTGAGTAGCTGGGATTACAGGCATGTGCCACCACACCTGGCTAATTTTTGTATTTTTAGTAGAAACGGGTTTTACCATGTTGGTCAGGCTGGTCTCAAACTCCTGACCTTGTGATCCACCTTCCTTGGCCTCCTGAAGTGCTGGGATTACAGGCGTGAGCCACTGCGCCTGGCCTCCCATGTACTTATAATGCAACTTCATTCATCAACTCTTGGCCCATCTCTACCTGTACCTGTTTGCTTCCACCCCATTGGTTGTTTTAAAGCAAATTCAAGGCATCGTTCACCTAGAAATATTTCAATATATATCTCCCAATGGTGAGGACTCTATTTTTAAACATAACCACAATATTGTTTTCACACCCCAAACTCAAAGCCATAACAATATAATTCCTTAAATTTTTTTGTTTTCTTAATAAAATCTTTGGGGTTGATAAAATTATGTTTTCTAAGGTTTTTGTTTTCTTAGGTTTGCTTGGTAAGTCACTTCACCTCTCTGGATGGACTTGCCTCCTTTTTTCCTGCATTTTGAAGGAAAATGCACATTGCACTCCAGCGTGGGCAACAAGAGTGAAACTCCCATTTCCAAAAAAGAGATATCTCATCTACTTTTGAGGTATAAGTGAACTGCTTAAAATATTTTCAGGTCCCCTTACCTCAAAAATAAATAGAAAGAGGCAGTCAGGAAGGCAGACAGATACATAACTAAATTCAGTTATTTGAGGTTTAACTTGTATCCATTAATGAGCTATTCTTCTGGTTAAATTAATATAGTTTATTCACACAATTGAATCATAGGTAACTGAGTTTTAGGAAAGATATTTAGGATATGTTCTTAAGTGAAAAGAACAAGGTGTAGGATAGTGTATATAGGAAGAGGGAAAACATATACTCTTATTTGCTTGTATCTGCAGAGAAATCTTAGAAAGACCTACAAGAAATTAATCACAATGATGGTGTGGATGGGGATCCATCGGGAGGAGAGTGAGGCACAGGGATATGTTTGAGGCTTCTTAACCTGTACCTTGTGTTCTTTTGTTTTTTCAACAATTTAAATATATTATTTATTTGAAACCAAAGTAAATCATCTATTTTAAAAAGAGAAATAAAAAGCACTATTCCTTATTCTTGGCTCTCTTAAAAGTCTATTGTTAGCCAACAATATGGATTAGTATGGAGTAACCATTCTTTTATTCCTGCTTATGGAGTAGTATGGAGTAACCATTCTTTTATTCCTTTCCTTTTTTTTTTTTTTGGCTTTTCTCCTTTAATTCAAAAAGATAAAATCCCTTTGTGCTTTCAAAATGTAACACATCTAGTTAAATCAGCTGTCAATATTGACTTATTTAATGCACTGTAATACAAAACGTTAGCCTAATAAAACTTCTAAAGTGCTGCTGAGTATTCCTTTGCTTTCTTAATAAACTTACTTTCACTTAAAAGAGCCTGTTGTTTATGTATCTATTTAATACATTTATTGAGTATTCTGGATTCCAAAAAATTCAAATTGGGATTAGGAAACACTGTCATTTTTGTTAGACTGTATACTTTATTCACACATAAAAATGCTTTTAATAATTATGCTTGGCTGGGTGCTGTGGCCTATGCCTTCACCCCCACACTTTGGGAGGCTGAGGCAGGAGGATCACTTGAGCACAGGAGTTTGTTTTTGGTTTGAGACAGAGTCTCGTTCTGTCACCCAGGCTGGATGGCAGTGGCACAATCTTGACTCACTGCAACCTCTGCATCCTGGTTCAAGTGATTCTCCTGCCTCAGCCTCCCGAATAGTTGGGATTACAGGTATGTACAGTCACACCCAGCTAATTTTTGTCTTTTTAGTAGAGATGGGGTTTCACCATGTTGGCCAGGGTGGTCTTGAACCCCTGACGTCAGGTAATCCACCCACCTTGGCTTCCCAAAAGTGCTGGGATTACGGGCATGAGCCACCGCGCCTGGCCAAGCCCAGGAGTTTGAGACCAGCCTGGGCAATGTGGGGAGGCCCTGTCTCTACAAAAATAAAAATTAGCTGGGCATGATAGCCTGCGCCTGTAGTCTCGGCTACTTGGGAGGCTCAGGTGGGGGGATAGCTTGAGCCTAGGAGGTTGAGGTTGCAGTGAGCTGTGATTTCTCCATTGCACTCCCGCCTGGGTGATAGAGTGAGACCCTGTCTCAAAAAAACCAAACCAAAACAAATTACGCTTTTAATAATAACTATAGGTAACACCATAGGCCACCTCCAAAGGCACTTACATGCTTTGCTGGAAGTGTCTAAGCAGTTTAAGAAAGTGTATAGGTCAGGTTTATGTTGTAAATGATGATGATTTGTCTTGTGAGTGTATTGATAACCGAGCGGCTCAAAACATTCATTGTTTGTTAGCTTCTGGGCATATCTGAAAAAAGTAAACTCTCTAATATGGAGTCATTTTCCACCTTAAATTTAGTGTGGCATGTTCTTTCAAAGTGTGGTAGAGCTCTAGTAACTTTTGATGTTTAATTTAGGGTAAAGGCTAAATCTTACTTTCATGGATTAGGCATAATTAAGCATGCAGAAAGAAATATACCATTAGGCCTGTAATCCTAGCACTCTGGGAGGCTGAGGCAGGCAGATCACCTGAGGTCATAAGTTCAAGACTGGCCTGACCAACATGGCGAAACTCCGTCTCTGCTAAAAACACAAAAATTAGCCAGTTGTGGTGGCGGGTGTGTGTAATCCCAGTTTCTCAGGAAGCCAAGGCAGGAGAATCTCATGAACCTGGGCGGCAGAGGTTGCAGTGAGCCAAGATTGCGCCACTGCACTCTAGCCTGGGCGATAGAGTGAGACTCCGTCCCCCCGCCAAAAAATAGAAATACATCATTAGGATTTTCTCCTATCCTGCGACTTAGTTTTGAAATTAAAATGTAAGTTTATATTAAGCAAATGCTGTAAACATTCTTTATGAAAAGCAAGAGAAAATGGTGTATATAAAAAAAGGTAAAACAATCTTTTTCTGGACTTCCCTACCCATGCCTTAAAATTTGATTACAGGAATGGGGAGCTTTAAAGTAAATCACATAATTTTTTTTTAGCATATGTGTTTTAGTTTTGTTTTATGTTAATTTTGGTATGTTTACTCCCATTTGATATGTTTACTCCCATTTTGATATGTTTACTCCCATTTGATATGTTTACTCCCAAAGGCCCCAGTGCAGTGTTAATGGGGATGGGACTTGGAACTGTTCTGGAACCTTTGGGTTGCCAGATGAGAATAAAGTTATGCTTTTGCTGTATTTATGGTAAAAGCCTTTGAATTGAATTCTCAGGTGCTTTTAAGCATATCACTTTGAAATGTGATCAGTTAATCCTAATAGCCTGTAAATATAGAGCAACTCACTTAATTTAAGCTCTGGAACTTAGGCCATGTCTCCAGTCAGTTTGGTGAAACAGCAATGAGCCTCCATCTGTGCTAACAATAGACATATTCCAAGCAAAATGCAGGCTGATGATAGAGTGTTAAAACAATGTGGGTGGTAGGGGTTTCTGTTGACAGTTTACCTGAAATTTGATTTGTAAGTTAACTGTTTTATTTGACAAAGTTATTTTTATTTTATCTGAGACTTTTGTTTGGTGCTTCTGTACTTTCTGTAGCAAGCACAAATGGTTTCTAGATAATTAACCCCACTGTGCTGAACCTGGACAGATCTAGTATCTTATTACAGCAACCTTTGGGTTTTGCAGGGGATACTTTGCTCAGGCTAGCTGAATGCCGACTAAGAAAAGGAATAGAAATTATGAAGAAAAAAAAAACAAAAACCCTTTAAAGATTAAATAAACTTACCAGCAAGGTAAAAGGACAGAAGCTGGCTCTTTAGGTCCGATATAGTATATAGATGGAGTTCTAACATCTAGTAAATAACTAAATTTTCATGCTTGAATAGTATAAAATTAGAAATTTGGTCAGCAGTTAATATTAATTTTTAATAGACATGAATGATTGCTCTGAGCCACGAAGATAATCTTGTTACCTAGAAAGGTACTTACTCTCCTTTCTTAACCAGTTCTTCTTAGGACATATTTTTATTTTAAAATGCAGTTTATCAAAAGGACTTACTTTGTATTTATTTTGAGGATCAGTTTAAGAATGACTTCAACATTATATTTAAATGGTGTGATAAATTGATATCAAAAATGAAAGGCTATTTAAGAAGGTTTTTGTTTAATAGCATGACTTTATATTACGAGAGAGAAATTTCACAGTGAAGAAATACTTTAATTAAATGTTAAGGAAGTCTGAAGCTGTATAAATTATCTGTTCAGTGTAGTATAATGCAGCCCATATAGTGATACCTTTTATGATCTTTTATATAAAAATTAAAATTGTGATAATTTCTTGGCATTCTCTGCATCTACATTCAAAGCAAAATAAAAATAATTTTGAACTATTTTCTCATATTCTAAAAAATATAACAAACTTTCTTATAAGTAACTATTTTTTAGCAGCCAATATCATTTGCACATAGAATCAGAAAGCTTTAGTCTGGAATTCGCTTTTGATCTGGGTTTTTCTTTAAGAAAAATCCTTTGTTAAGACAGACCAAACTGCAGAAATGAAATCGCTCAGAGAAAATGAAATTAGCAAGTAACCAGTTAAAATAAAAAGCTATGGTTTACTCTGAGGTCTGGATATAGATCAGGTTCATGTAAAATGTAATGAATTTTCCATTAAGGCACAGATGGTAAGGGTGCTTATCAAATAGCACAAGGCAGTCTTCATATTTTCATAATAAAATCCTACCAAGCGGTGAAACGAATACATTGCTTTTTCTTGATATTTAGTAGGAGCAAAGCTTTCTGGTTGATTTTTCAGGGTAAAATATTTTCCTATTGCATCATAAGGACATGTACCACTAAATAAAAAAGATCATATAAACCTACCTCTTGTCTGAGAGGATGCTGCTGAAGCGATGGTATCGTCTGTTTGTAATGCAGTCTAGTGCACAGCCAAGATGGAGCTGTGCTTCTATTGGTTGAACCACAATGGAGCTGACAGTTTCCTCTATGTTCATTTGCATTAAGTCTTGCCACCCTTAAGAGTAAATCATTCATAAACTTGAATAGAGCTGTCTGGGGTATCAACTGTCATCCCTTCTCCTTTATTTTTTTGTTCTTAAGCTAAATTCCTATATAGGAATTTGTGAGTTACTAACAAATTGATGATTCTTTAGTGTTTCATTATAAAATTTCAGATCCTTCAGTGAATACTTCAGTGCTAGGGCTGGAAGATAATGTCGGGAAAGGTAGTAACCTAGGAAACAAACAGTCCAGGTTTGCCAGCCTGATATTTCCTTCAGGAAGTGTGCATAAAATCTTATAAATTTTTCTTGTTCTTCCTTTTCTTTCATTACTTGTTCCGTATATAATTTTTGCACTCTGGAAGTGATTATTTCCATGTGGTGGTTTGATTTAGGAGGAATTATGAAGGAAAATAATTGGCTTTTAGCTCTGCAAGTTGGAAGAGGGCTCATTTAGGTAAATACACTACCTGCATTCAAAAAATAGTCTCTAAAATGTAAATGGCAAAGTGATCTCCAGGTTGGCTCTTTAGAGACAGAGTATTTTTAGTTACTGTGTATTATTTAGAGTTATGGTCTAAGCACAACAGAATGAAGGTTTTTAATTATGGGAGTGGCTGTTAACAACAGCAGCAGACCAGGTACATGCTATGTAGACTTCTTTTTTAAAATTATAGATGAAGGCTGGGAGCGGTGGCCCATGCCTGTAATCCCAGCACTTTGAGAGGCTGAGTTGGGTGGATCACAGGGTCAGGAGTTCAAGACCAGCCTGGCCAAGATGGTGAAACCCCATCTCTACTAAAGTACAAAAATTAGCCAGGCACGGTGGCAGTCTCCTGTAATCCCAGCTATTCAGGAGGTTGAGGCAGGAGAATTGCTTGAACCCGAATGGCAGAGGTTGCAGTGAGTTGAGATCACACCACTGCTCTCCAGCCTGGGCGACAGAGTGAGACTCCATCTCAAATAAAATAAAATAAAATAAATAAAATAAAATTATAGATGAATTGGTACATTAGTTTCTGGGGCCATAAAGGAATGCATAGAAATATCTGTATTATAGTCATTCATTCAACAAATATTTATTGAGTGTTTACTAAGCTTGACATTGAGTTAGTAGTAGATGCCAGAGACATAAGCATCATGTCTCATAAGCACAACTGTTTGTGATTCATAATTGGCCATTTGTGTGGTGTTTGTCCTTAACACATTGTCATCTCTTTTTTCATAGTCTTCCCAGTTGTTTATACAGTTGCGTGGGGTAAGCTTAATATTATTTTACTTAAACAAGCATTAAATGTGCAGTCACAGATTTCTGTACTTTGACAAAATGGCCAGTTTCAGATGGAATAATCTGTGTAAAGGCTGTTTATTACAGGGTTTACACTGGATTTGAATCTATACTCTGCTGCTTACTACCCTCAATTTTATTATATTTAAAAGGGGACAGTAATACTTCTTAAGTTGGATTTTTTGGGAGGGATTACGTATGAATATTTACCATAGTGTTTAGCAGATAATAAATATTGGTTACTTTTATTACAGATGTGCTGAACACCTTGGGAGAATGAACTACGTAGGTAATATTTCATAATTGAAACAGTGAATGGAAAAGCACCTATAAGGCATTCTTTTTTTTTTTTTTTTTAATTTTGAGACGGAGTCTCACTCTGTTGCCAGGCTGGAGTGCAGTGGCACTATCTCGGCTCACTGCAACCTCCAACTCTCTCGTTCAAGTGATTCTCCCAAGTAGCTGAGACTACAGGCACGTGCCATTATGCCCAGCTAATTTTTGTATTTTTGGTAGAGACGGGGTTTCACCATGTTGGCCAGGATGGTCTCGATTTCCTGACCTCATGATCTGCCCACCTGGGCTTCCCAACTGTAAGGCATTCTTAATGTTATTGTTACTTTTGGAAACATGGTAGACTTCAGTGTGCCAATTAATTAAGATTGTAACAAAGTTAGTTTTAAAGGAAAATTGCATATGAAGTTTCATTTTAGTCTCAAAAAAGGATACTCAATAAAGACTTCACTAATCTCAAAGGAGTATGGTATTGCCATCTAGAAGCTGTTCTTTTGGATCTCTGACAGTTGTTACATTTGACTTGTGGTTGTTCTAATGCAATCTTTTGTTTAAATTATTATTACCAACCTGGTGCCAGAGATTGGTTCTCCTCTCCCCTTTTACTTAACCTCTCTCTTTGTGGATCAGCCACATGGGAACTTTATAATATCTGATCTCATGCCTTGCTAATAGAATGTGTACTTCTAAAATGTTTTTCTAGTATTTATGATGGATTTTTTACTGTTCCTGGTTATGACTAATGGAATGCATTTGTGATGCAGTGGTGACATTAGGGTTTCTGCTTGTAAGAATGCAACAAAATGATAGATATTTTGAAACAAATGATCTTTTGTACAGGGTTTTCCACACCAGATAGAGAAGGAGAGGGGGGTGTTTCTCAAAGTGGGTGGGTAGTGCTGTGATGCTTTTTAAAGTAAGCATCCATGTTCATGCAGTGGCAGTGCCTGTGGCTTTTTATTCCTAATTTATCTGTAAAGTTTACTTTAAAATAATTGTGATATCTTTTTTCTATTAGTTTCCATTAATTCCTATTTTTTTGGTCTTAAATTGGTAAGCAGAAATTGATGTAAAAAGTGGTATATTGAACTTTTCTTCCCTCAGAAGTAATCCACTCCTTGTGTTAGCTTTATGGATGGGATTGAGGTTTGTATTGTTTCCTTGTTTAATAAAGTGTACTTCTGATTATGGAGCGAGTCTAATCAGAGTTAAGATAAGAATGAGATAAAGGAGAAAGGGGCCTGGTGCAGTAGCTCACACCTGTAACCCCAGCACTTTGGGAGGCTGAGATGGGTGAATCTCTTGAGTCCAGGAGTTTGAGACCAGCCTGGGCAACATGGCGAAACCCCATCTCTACAAAAAATAAAAAAATTAGCCAGGCATGGTGGTGTGCACCTGTAGTCCCAGCCTCTCAGAAGGCTGAGGTGGGAGAATCACCTGAGCCTGGGAAGTTGAGGGTGTAGTGAGCTGTGATTGTGCCATTGAACTTCAGCCTGGGCAATGGGAATGCGACCCTGTCTCAAAAAATATAATAAAAAATAATGTGATAAAGATATTTATAAAAGAATTGTGGTTTGGTGTTTTAAGTTATTTATACTTTGTTTCTACCCTTAGTGAGAAAATTGGTACTTTAATGTATATACTCAAAGATTGTGTATTTTTCACCAGAATATTACAGGGTAGAATATACTAGATGAAAAACTCAAGAAATATGTTACCAGCATTAAAATTATTTTAGCTGCTCAAGAGTCATAATCACACATAATATGACGATGTTATTTTGAACTTCATTTGCAGATCATAGCAATGGATCATTTAACTTGAAAGCTTTGTCAGGAAGCTCTGGATATAAGTTTGGTGTTCTTGCTAAGATTGTGAATTACATGAAGGTAAGTACTTTTCTCAGATAGCAAAAGTCCTATTTAACTTTTTGGCAAAAGAAGGAGATTAGGGTTTTCAGAAGTTAAATTTCTGTATACATCAAAATTTATCAAAATTGTGCATTTTCAGTATGTGCAGTTTATTGTATGCCAATTATACCTCAAGCCTTTTACATTGTATTAATTTGGCATTGTGGCGAGTTACCAAAGCATATTTAATCTGCATTAACTCAAGGGTACAGTTTAAGCTCACCATTTCACTTAATAAGAGTGTGCCTAGGCAGTAGGTATATCACCTCTTAATGAATACAGGCTGGCAAAACCAATGGGAGGATGTGATTGATTTTTCAGGTTATTACTTCCATTGATGTGAGAAGTAAAAAGTACATAGTTCAGGCAGATGATGGTGATGGCTTCTCTGCATCTTGGAGGAGAAAATTAGACATTTACTGAGAGTCTTAGAAAAACATTGACTCACAAAAGAATTAGAATTTAATGTTTGATGGAAGGTTTAGTATTTTTTGAATACAAAGTTTTGATCATATAAGATTTTGGCTTTACTTTGAATCTTTTTTTTTCCCTTTTCTTTTTTTTTGAGACAGTCTTGCTCCGTTACCCAGGCTGGAGTGCAGTGGCACGATCGTAGCTCACTGCAGCCTTGAACTCCTGTGGTCAAGTGATCCTCCTGCCTCAGCCTCCCAAGTAGCTGGGACTACAGGCATGCACCACCATGCCTGGCTAATTTTCTTATTTTTAGAAGAGACGAAGTCTCACTGTGTTGTCCAGGCTGGTCTCGAACTCCTAAGCTCATGTGATTTTCCCACCTCGGTCTCCCAAAGTGTTTGGCTTTCAGGCATGAGCCACTATGCCTGACCAAGACTTTGAATCTTAACTAAATTTATTAAAGCGGGATTTCATTTTTAGCTAAGATGGCTAAGTAATTTCAAATTTGCTCCCTTCTTTTGCCAAACTCTTATTCACGATTAGTTACTAGTTGCATCTCTTGAAAAAGACAGTACTATATTTGTTATTTTAATTTCATCCATCTATTGGTTAAAATATAAATCAGATTTTTAACTGTGCTAAGGCTTTTCTTTTGTAATTTAATAGACTTAGTGTCTAGCTGAGTCTAAATTCTGTGGTTTGTATTTGGGTTATAGTATAAATATGTTAGTATATAACTCCCCATTATTAAATAATGTATTTTGACACGTAAGTATTCACTGTTGATTCATTTCATCCATTTATTCCCCCACATGGTAAGCAGTTATGAAAATCTATTGGCTGTTTAGGGCACTAATGGTGGGAATACCCAGAAAAAAATGCCACCCTCAGGGCTGTCACTCTGTTGAGGGACACTGACATTTAAGTGTCATGTTTTTGCTACTCTGTTAATATGGTCTTCACTTCCCTATGTGGCTTACTTATAACTTTGTCTGTCTTAGAACAGTGAACTTCAGAATTTTTACTTGTGCTCCCTACAGTTTGAAAAACTGTGTACCCCTTTGTACATATTTAAGTTGATAACTACACTCTGTTAGCAAAGTTTAAATAGTGGCACTATTCAAGCAAAAATTTAAATGATGACCAGAAATACAGAATTTCTGGCATATTGTAGTATTTCAATAAAATATATCACTTTTAAATTTATCTAATGGAATCTAAATGTCATTATTTAAAAGTATAAAAACAAACTCCCTTAATGATTGGGAATTTTAATTATTTTTTCTTTGAATATTTGTGTCCCATCTGTT
This sequence comes from Homo sapiens, assembly GCF_000001405.40. Taxonomy (NCBI): domain Eukaryota; kingdom Metazoa; phylum Chordata; class Mammalia; order Primates; family Hominidae; genus Homo; species Homo sapiens. The sequence goes on along the minus strand of NC_000008.11, from coordinate 30,633,286 downwards.
ACTCCCTTTGAATTTTATCCAAATGTTATGTATTTTTATCTTTCAAATCATTTATTGATCATCTATCAAACTTTTCTGCCACAATAATATGTAAATAAATTGAAATATAAATCAAAATTTAAAATGTTTTTCCTATGACCGTAAAGCTCTAAGTGTTAAAAATAACTTACGGTTTGAGTTATTTTTACAATTATTGGTGCACAGTTGATTAGAATAACATACATAGATTAAAATTTTGATTAAATTCACTTTGTATCAGAAATTTATTCTTAAATGAATGCAGCTGTCTCCTCTCTTCCTTCATTAGTTCTTGTGTTTGGCAAATCTGTTCGTGTTTTGAGATTTTGTAGAATTTAAGTGCTTAGACATAAATGTTCAAATATATAAGTTAATTCTAATGGAAATTTTGTGATATCAGAATCTTCCAAGTTATATGTCAAAAATCACTAGTGATTTTATCATCAAGCATCCATTAGTTAATGCTTCTGTTAGGTCCTCCTTCAGTTTTATTGAAAGCAAAAGAATGGAAACCACCCAACTTGCCAAAGGATTTGTTACCTAGTGCTTAACCATTTATTTTCTTAGCTTCTAGGAAGCATATCAAAAAGGCTTATCAAATGTCTTATATCAGTTCCCCTCCCTCCCTTCATAGGTACTTTCTTTAAAATCTGATATATTCAGAAGCAGTTGAGAAAATAGAAATACTGTTAATTTTAATATAGCTTTGTGAATTTTTATTATAATTGTTTTATGTGTTTAAAATATATTTTTGTGAAAACTTTTAGTATGAAGGTTTAGCTTATTCAATTTTTAGAAAATATCTCCTAGTTAACAAAGCCAGTCTCCATTGTCAAACCAACTAGCCATAACAAACTTGCTTTGAATCATAAAATTTTCCTCTATTTTAAATTTCAAATAAATAGATTACCAGATATTTTGGATAATATGAAAACCACTGAGGAATAAATTATGGAATGCATACTAAAAGATACTGCTAAGGTATTTGAGCTGAAAATTATATGACTGAAAAAGAATTACAGTAATTTGTCAATTTTTGTAATAATTTAAACATTTCTGCGCTGCTTGTCATGTTAGATTAAAAATTAAATCAGTTAAAATATGAAGCAAGGGATATGATAAAAGTTGTGTTATTCCTTTATTTATTTATTTGTTTTTGAGACAGGGTCTTAACTCTGTCACCTAGGCTAGAGTGCATTGGCACCATCCTGGCTCACTGCAGCCTCGATCTCCTAGCCTCAAGTGATCCTCCCACCTCAACCTCCCAAGTAACTGGGACTACAGGCACGTGCCACCATGCCTGGCTAATTTTTGTATTTTTTTTGTAGAGACAGGGTCTCTCAGTGTTGCCCAGCTTGGTCTTGAACTCCTGGGCTCAGGGGATCCCTCAAGTGATCCGCCTGCCTCAGCCTCCTGAAGTGCTGGGATTACAGGCGTGAGCCACTAGACCTGGCCTGTTACTCCTTTTTAAATGTGTGTTCCTGCATCTTCTGATCTCTGATCTCAGCTATTAGGTATAAATAAAAGGGAATGAATCAGAAGTAACCTTACATTTTTATTTGGGTAATTAATGAAAGAGATACCTACTGCTTCAAACTACTCAGTATGACAGCTAGCATATCTTATTTTTTGTCAGTAGAAGGTAGAAATATTAAACTGTTGAAAAACTATAATGAGAATTGACTAATTAGAATAAAACTTTAATGATACGATTTGACAAAATAGATTTTAACTACCATATTGAGTAATGCACACTCAATCTAAAGTAATTTCTATACAGCTTTTATATAGCACAATTTGAATGACTTGGCAGTCCTAGAAAGTATTTCTTTTATATTTAAAGGAATCAGCCTCCCTAATTGATATTGTTCCAGCTCTCTAAATATGCTTTTTCTTCAAGCTAATAAATATTCAGGGAATGAGTTTTGAGAATTACTTATATTTAAATTCTCGGCCCAGCACAGTGGCTCACACCTGTATTCTCAGCGCTTTGGGAGGCTGAGGCAGGTGGATCACTTGAGTTTGAGACCAGCCTGGCCAACATGGTGAAACCCCGTCTCTACTAAAAATACAAAAAGAAATTAACCAGGTGTGTTGGCACATGCCTGTAACCGCAGCTACTTTAGAGGCTGAGAATCACATGAGCCTGGGAGGTGGAAGTTGCAATGAGCCAAGATTGCACCACTGTACTCCAGCCTGGGCGACACATTGAGACCTTGTCGCTAATAAAAAAATAAGAATTCTTGAAAAAAATATTTCTTTTTATCTTTTTTTTAACCAGTGTTCTCTGTGCATTACTTTTATCATACTGTCCCCTAAGAGCAATGCGTTCTTGGACAATACTGAATGGAGGTGGGGGTGTAGGGGGAATGGTTGTTAGAGGAAACTTTAAACAATTGCTCACAGATTATGATAGATTAGAATGTTCCAGCAGGGGCCAAAATATTTTAAACTCTTTGAAAAATATGTGACTGGAAAAGACAAGAAGCCCAGTAATGGATAGTTTACGGCACCTCAGTTACCATTCACGAATGCTTCCCTGAAACCATTTTTTTGGCTTGTCTGTTTGTTTGGGTCCCTGGAGTTTATTATTCCTTCAGGCTCTGCATCACAAATTCTGAATGGAGGTGAGATTACTTTTTCATGGCGGGGGGAGGTGGAAGGTAAAGAGAAGGGCTTATTTTGAAAGGGAAGAAGTACATTTGGAAGGTATCTGTAAACAGATTCTTGGAAAGTCTCCCACTGTCTTTTGTGTACCTTTAGAAAGAAAGCAAAAGAAAGGCAACAGAAATGCTCCTTATAGTTGATTCATTTAATAGGGAAACTGTTTAATTGCTTAATAAGAATGATTTAGAAACTGTGGAAAAAGTTCCAGGGGAGGCATTAGATAGGTACAGTGAGATTTATAGCAGATAGTCATAACTTTGGACAAAGTACTAAATAGAAAGATGAAAGGCAGATACAGGAACTTCAGAGTCATAATACTGAGAACATGCAGTGGAGGGGACAAACTGCCCACCTCATCTCACCAGCTCCTGAGATGGTTACTATCATACCATAGCTCAGTAATTTACGTTGGAACAGTAACTGAGACATCAAAAAAGATTAAATTATGTTCAGTGACCTGGTTAAGATGAAAGAGGAACTTTATGGTTTATTTTAGGAGGATTTTTACAGAAATGGTTAATGTAAAACAAATTTTATTGCTTAAAGGAGTAAGTTTTAAAAGCACTCCAAGTTATCTCGAAAATCCCCTTAGGATGCCTCTTTCTTCATATGAGACAGCACTTTAATTCTCAGATGACAAATTAAGTGTGTACTTTATTTTTGATAAAATGATTTTTCTCTTGATTTCAGCATTATTCCTTATGTCTCGGTTATGTAAAACACTATGTTGAAAAATCTGGGTTAATTTGGCTTATTCTAGCTTAGTGTTTCTCCAGTGTCATTCTCCAGCCAGCAGTATCAGCATCACCTGGGAACTTGTTAGAAATGCAAATTCTTGGGCCCCTTTCCAGACCTATTGAATTTGAAACTCTGGGAGTATAGCTCAACAGTCTTTTTTTTTTTTTTTTTTTTTGAGATGGAATCTTGCTCTGTCACCCAGGCTGGAGTGCAGTGGTGCGATCTTGGCTCATTGCAAGCTCTACCTCCTGGGTTCACGCCATTCTCCTGCCTTAGCCTCCCGAGGAGCTGGGACTACAGGCGCCTGCCACCACGCCTGGCTAATTTTTTTGTATTTTTTTAGTAGAGACGGGGTTTCACCGTGTTAGCCAGGATGGTCTGGATCTCCTGACCTTGTGATCTGCCCGTCTCAGCCTCCCAAAGTGCTGGGATTACAGGCGTGAGCAACAGTCTGTTTTTAAAAAAGCCCTTCAAGTGATTGTGATACATGCTGAAGTTTGAGAATCACTGGCCTAACTTCTGTCTGAATTACTTCTGACAATTATTTTTGAATTTAGAAACTCTGGAGTCCATAGACATTAAATGACTGGCTCATAGACACAGTTCTGGTCCATAGTAGGACTGGGTCAAGAATATGGATCTATTTCCAGTTTTAAATAAAAGTATTTAAATTATATGACAATATCTCTACTAAATACAGGTATAAAAATTTTTTAAAATATATGAACCAATTTAATCTGTTCAAATATAAGATATGAATATATATGTCCATAGATCTGATAATACATTGTGATGGAGTAAAGTTTAGGAATGTATGAGTGGTTAATATTTGAAAATTAATTAGTGTAAGTTATATTAACAGAATAAAGAAAAATCATGATCTCTTAGTGGATATAGAAAAAGTTGCTGGTAAAATTTTTTTTTTTTTTTTTTGAGACGGAGTCTCACTCTCTTGCCCAGGCTGGAGTGCAGTGGCACTGTCTCAGCTTACCGTAACCTCCGCCTCCCGGGTTCAAGCGATTCTCCTGCCTCAGCCTCCTAAGTAGCTGGGATTACAGGCGTGTGCCACCACACCCGGCTAATTTTTTGTATTTTTAGTAGAGATGAGGTTTCACCGTGTTAGCCAGGATGGGCTTGATCTCCTAACTTCGTGATCTGCCTGCCTCGGCCTCTCAAAATGCTGGGATTACAGGCGTGAGCCAACATGCCCAGCCTCTGGTAAAATTTAATACCAATTTATTATAAAAACTTGCAGCAAATTAGTAGAGGCAAAGTTCCTCAATGCAATAGAGCAGCCTTTCTCAATCTTCTTACTCTGGAGGAACCCTTGAAATAATTTTCAGGTCTCAGAGAACCCATGCAAAGAATTGCTATACCTCCGAGTTCACATTTATTAACCTAATCAGTAAGTTGTGGACATGATAAGTTAATAATAATTGTCAGTGCTCTTTTGACAGGAGAATATTTTTGTCTTTGCATTTATTTCGCCCAGCTTATTAGCCTGCTCTTTGTGTGTGTGGTTGCTCCCTACTCCCCAGGAAGGATCTCCACTCTTGTGCAAGTCAGTAGTATAGGCAGAGGAAACCTCAGTTTTTTTCTTTTTTAAAATTTTCTACTTGATTTCTTTTCTCACCTGATCAAAGTAGGCAACTTACTTGTTCTCAGTTGGGCAGAAGCTTGGGATAAGAAAGGAACCTTCACCCAGGTTCACATTTGTGTTGAAAGAGGGAGAAAGTACTGTTTAATTTTGTGTTTTAGTTCTTCCAGGTGGTTTTCGAGAATGCTTCAGAGTTGCTGGTATCCTTCCTCACTTTCAAGCCCAAACAGCATTACAAGATTTCTTTTGCCACATGATTTTTCCAGAGATTCAGTTTTCCTTTGAAATCCAATGTCTTGTCACTTGAAGTCAAAACATTTTTTTCTAAACTTGTTCAACTGGTTCATATTATTTTAAAAAGTCTGCCAAGAGGCTAGCTCCTGCAGTCACTCTTCATCTTCAAAGCACTCAGTAAAGGATGGCCTACTATTTTCTTGAAAGTACTTTGTAATTCAGCTTTCAGCTTCAGTGTTCTGTTGAGAATACCTCCTCTGCTAAGCCACTGGATTTCTGTATGTAGCAAGAGATTTAGGTGCTCAAGTATACTGGTCTATGTTTAATAAAGCAAATCATTTTTAAACATCATTCAAGACTTTTTTTAAATAGTGATGAGGTCTTGCTGTGTTGCCAGGCTGGTCTTAAACTCCTGGCCTCAAGCAATCCTCCTGTGTTGGTCTCCCAAAGTGCTGGGATTATAGGTGTGCGCCACTGCATCTGGCCCATTCAAGACATCTTAAATTTCATTTCCGAGGATTTTTGCTGCTAGTACCTCTCTGAAAAAAGCGATGTCCTGAGTTTTTTTTTTTTTTTTTTTTTTTGCAAGAGAGGTAAAACCTTGCCGTGAGCCAGTCACTAATGGGGAACATCACTGTGGATGCCAACACAGTTTCTCTAAGATGGACTTCTTGTTTCCAGATATGAAGACACCACATTGAAAATGTCATGCCCTTTGTTTATGGTAGTTTTTTTGCAGCACAAAAATTTTTCTTGAAATTCAGCATTGTTTAAAAAAATTTACAAGACATATATAGTGAAATATGTTGGTTTGTCAGCCTGGATAAACAAGCTGTTTGTCAGTTTATTAAACCTCTTAGCATCATGTGACATGTCATCAATTTGTCAACTTACACTGTTTGAGAGTGGAGCCTTTTCAGTTTCTCATGCTGTGCATTTTACTTACTGTCATTTAACATGCTGGCATGATTAGGTTCCCATCAGTGGTGTGATTCTATCCACTATACCCCCTTTTTAGACAATAAATTCTGCTACTAATAACGTGCTTTATGAGCTTTTTCACTGAATGTGATTTAAAAACAAAAAGATGAAGAGCTTTACTCTGAGATTCCAGTAAGTACCTTGACTTGTCCAGTAGCTGTGATTTCTATTTCAGTGATTTTTCACTTTTGCTGGAGTCATAAATTGTTTGCCACAGATGCTGCACAATGGAATAGGACTCTTTGGATTACTAACCTAGTGAAGTTCATTGATAAGTAGTTTTCACTGTAGTGGTAGGCTGTTCTCTCTCTCTTGCTGCACTGGTGCAGTAAAATGACCCAGAAGATTATAGTTCTTTATTACTTGCCTTATTAGAATTGTTCCTGGGCCTAGGTTTGGAATTCTCTTCTCTTGTAAATTGTATCTTCAGAAATCATCACGCTGCACTGTCAGACATGTTTATAAGACATAGATGCTAATATGTTATAAAACTAAAGGGAATAGTAACTGAGAAAGTTGCAAAAAATATGAAAACTTCACAATACATTTTACTTCTTTTTTCTTTTTTGAGACAGAGTCTCGCTCTGTCATCAGGATGGAGTGCAATGGCGTGATCTCGGCTCACTGCAACCTCCACCTCTCGGGTTCAAGCGATTCTCCTGCTTCAGCCTCCCAAGTAGCTGGGACTACAGGCGTGTGCCACCACGCCCGGCTAAATTTTGTATTTTTAGTAGAGATGGGGTTTCACCATGTTGGCCAGGATGGTCTCGATCTCTTGACCTTGTGATCTGCCCACGTTGGCCTCCCAAAGTGGTGGGATTACAGGTGTGAGCCACTACTCCCAGCTACATTTTACTTTTATTGCTACATAATCCATGTTTTGCAACATTTCAGAGTGGTAAGAAGCAGTTGACTCTTGGTGTGTAAAAATTACTTGTTTAGAATGAATGTTTTCCTTAGATTTTCTGTTATACCAGTAGAGTTTGTTTGGTCCTATAAGTCAGTGGCACTGTGTGAAGGAAGGTTGGAGGATGTAATTTGGGAAGGGAGCTGCTGACATTGTCAGCCTACTATGCTTTTGTTTGTGCCATATAGAGCTTACCAATTATCAGTGGCCTAACTGCCCCTATTGCATCAAAAACGGATAGTGGCAGGCTGGGCACGGTGGCTCACGCCTGTAATCCTAGCACTTTGGGAGGCTGAGGCGGGCGGGTGACTTGAGGTCAGGAGTTTGAGACCAGCCTGGCCAACATGGCAAAACCCCGTCTCTAATAAAAATACAAAAATTACCTGGGTGTGATGGCGCATGGCTGTAGTCCCAGCTACTCAGGAGGCTGAGGCACAGGAATCGTCTGAACCCTGGAGGTGGAGGTTGCAGTGAGCCGAGATCGTGCCACTGTACTCCTGCCTGGGTGTCCCTTAAAACAAAAAACAAAAAACAACAGACAGTGCCCTCAGCAAAGTGAACATAGCCCTACTTGCACACTGCCACATGGTGCTAAAAGATTCCTTATGAAACCATTGATTTGGCTGTTCGGTCGTTGCCTGTTACTGTGAGCACCAGCATCACCTGGTGTGAGAAATTTAGAAAATGTTTATTTTTTAAAATCACGATTTCTTGTGGAACCTTAGAGTTTTGTGGAATGCTGGTTGAGAAACCCAGTGGTAAGAGGGTAACTGTGAAAACCTAGATTTCACCCTGGGATGCAAGGCTGGTTCAACATACGCAAGTCAATAAACGTAATCCAGCATATAAACAGAACCAAAGACAAAAACCACATGATTATCTCAGTAGATGCAGAAAAGGCCTTTGACAAAATTCAACAGCGCTTCATACTAAAAAAAAACCCTCAATAAATTAGGTATTGATGGGACGTATCTAAAAATAATAAGAGCTATTTATGACAAACCCACAGCCAGTATCATACTGAATGGGCAAAAACTGGAAGCATTCCCTTTGAAAACTGGCACAAGACAGGGATGCCCTCTCTCACCACTCCTATTCAACATAGTGTTGGAAGTTCTGGCCAGGGCAATCAGGCAGGAGAAAGAAATAAAGGGTATTCATTTAGGAAAGAGGAAGTCAAATTGTCCCTGTTTGCAGATGACATGATTGTATATCTAGAAAACCCCATCATCTCAGCCCAAAATCTCCTTAAGCTGATAAGCAACTTCAGCAAAGTCTCAGGATACAAAATCAATGTGCAAAAACCACAAGCATTCTTACACACCAGTAACAGACAAACAGCCAAATCATGAGTGAACTCCCATTCACAATTGCTTCAAAGAGAATAAAATACCTAGAAATCCAACTTACAAGGGATGTGAAGGACCTCTTCAAGGAGAACTACAAACCACTGCTCAATGAAATAAAAGAGGATACAAACAAATGGAAGAACATTCCATGCTCATGGCTAGGAAGAATCAATATCATGAAAATGGCCATACTGCCCAAGGTAATTTATAGATTCAATGCCATCCCCATCAAGCTACCAATGACTTTCTTCACAGAATTGGAAAAAACTACTTTCAAGTTCATATGGAACCAAAAAAGAGCCCGCATTGTGAAGTCAGTCCTAAGCCAAAAGAACAAAGCTGGAGGCATCATGCTACCTGACTTCAAACTATACTACAAGGCTACAGTAACCAAAACAGCATGGTACTGGTACCAAAACAGAGATACAGACCAATGGAACAGAACAGAGCCCTCGGAAATAATACCACACATCTACAACTATCTGATCTTCGACAAACCTGACAAAAACAAGCAATGAGGAAAGGATTCCCTGTTCAACAAATGGTGCTGGGAATACTGGCTAGCCATATGTAGAAAGCTGAAACTGGATCCCTTCCTTACACCGTATACAAAAATTAATTCAAGATGGATTAAAGACTTAAATGTTAGACCAAAAACCATAAAAACCCTAGAAGAAAACCTAGGCAATACTATTCAGGACATAGGCATGGGCAAGGACTTCATGTCTAAAACACCAAAAGCAATGGCAACGAAAGCCAAAATAGACAAATGGGATCTAATTAAACTAAAGGGCTTCTGCACAGCAAAAGAAACTACCATCTGAGTGAACAGGCAACCTACAGAATGGGAGAAAATTTTTCCAATCTACTCATCTGACAAAGGGCTGATATCCAGAATCTACAAAGAACTCAAACAAATTTTCAAGAAAAAAAAACCCCATCAAAAAGTGGGCAAAGGATACGAACAGATACATCTCAAAAGAAGACATTTATGCAGCCAACAGACACATGAAAAAATGCTCATCATCACTGGCCATCAGAGAAATGCAAATCAAAACCACAATGAGATACCATCTCACACCAGTTAGAATGATGATCATTAAAAAGTCAGGAAACAACAGGTGCTGGAGAGGATGTGGAGAAACAGGAACACTTTTACACTGTTGGTGGGACTGTAAACTAGTTCAACCATTGTAGAAGTCAGTGTGGCGATTCCTCAGGGATCTAGAACTAGAAATACCATTTGACCCAGCCATCCCATTACTGGGTATATACCGAAAGGATTATAAATCATGCTGCTGTAAAGAGACATGCACGCATATGTTTATTGCAGCACTCAAATGTCCAACAATGATAGACTGGATTAAGAAAATGTGGCACATATACACCATGGAATACTATGCAGCCATAAAAAATGATGAGTTCATGTCCTTTGTAGGGACATGGATGAAGCTGGAAACCATCATTCTCAGCAAACTATCGCAAGGACGAAAAACCAAACACTGCATGTTCTCACTCATAGGTGGGAATTGAACAGTGAGAACACTTGTGTTGCGGGAAGTCAGGGACCCCAAATGGAGGGACCGACTGAAACCATGGCAGAAGAACGTGGATTGTGAAGATTTCATGGACATTTATTAGTTCCCCAATTTAATACTTTTATAATTTCTTATGCCTTTCTTTACTCCAGTCTCTAAACATAAATTGTGAAGATTTCATGGGCACTTATCACTTCCCCAGTCAATACCCTTGTGATTTCCTATGCCTGTCTTTACTTTAATCTCTTAATCCTGTCAGCTGAGGAGGATGTATGTCGCTTCAGGACCCTGTGATAATTGCGTTAACTGCACAAATTGTAGAGCATGTGTGTTTGAACAATATGAAATCTGGGCACCTTGAAAAAAGAACAGGGTAACAGCAATGTTCAGGGAATAAGAGAGATAACCTTAAACTCTGACCACCGGTGAGCCGGGTGGAACAGAGCCATATTTCTTTTCTTTCAAAAGCAAATGGGAGAAATATCGCTGAATTCTTTTTCTCAGCAAGGAGCATCCCTGAGAAAGCAAATACGTGCCTGGGGGTAGGTCTGTAGACGGCCCCCCTGGCTGTGGCCATCTTCTATGGTCGAGCTGTAGGGATGAAATAAGCCCCAGTCTCCCATAGTGCTCCCAGGCTTATTAGGACGAGGAAATTCCCGCCCAATAAATTTTGGTCAGACCGGTTGCTCTCAAAACCCTGTCTCCTGATAAGATGTTACCAATGACAATGGTGCCTGAAACTTCATTAGCAATTTTAATTTCACCCTGGTCCTGTGGTCCTGTGATCTCGCCCTGCCTCCATTTGCCTTGTGATACTCTATTATCTTGTGAAGCACATGATCTCTGTGACCCACACCCTATTTGTACACTCCCTCCCCTTTTGAAAGTCCCTAGTAAAAACTTGCTGGTTTTGCAGCTTGTGGGGCATCACGGAACCTACTGACATGTGATGTCTCCCCTGGACGCCCAGCTTTAAAATTTCTCTCTTTTGTACTCTGTCCCTTTATTTTTCAAACTGGCCAACACTTAGGGAAAATAGAAAAGAACCTACATGACTATTGGGGCAGGTTCCCTAATACCCTTGGACACAGGAAGGGGAACATCACACACCGGGGCCTGTTGTGGGTGGGGGGAGGGGGGAGGGATAGCATTAGGAGATATACCTAATGTAAAGGACGAGTTAGTGGGTACAGCACACCAACATGGCACATGTATACATATGTAACAAACCTGCAGGTTGTGCACATGTACCCTAGAACTTTAAAGTATAATAAAAAAATATATATATATATAAGAACCCCCTAGATTTAACATCATACTTAACGATGAGATAGCAAATGTGTTTTCTTTAGGTCAGGAAAAAGACAAGGATACCAAATTGTCACACCTTTTGTTCTGTATTGTACTGGAAGTTCTTCCTGGTGCAGTAAGGCACGAAGGAAGTAGTAACATAAAAATTGGAAAGGAAGAAGTAAAACCACAGATGATGTGATTAAGTATGTAGAAAAGCTAGAAGAATCTGGGAACTACTGGAATTAATAGGTATATTCAGTAAGGTTACCAAATAAAGCTGAATCTACAAAAATCAATTTCTACAAATTTGCAATAAAAAAATAAGAAAGTGAAACAAAGTACGAAAGGCAGCACACCAAAAGTCATCCAATAATTAGGAAGAAATTTAACAAAGATGTTTTCTTTGCTGAAAACTAAATCAAGTCTCTAGTTGTAGGGCATTATGTATGTACTCTCTGTAAGCACTCTTTCATTTTTCTTTTTAATTCCTGATCTATGAGGAAGGGATTTTCAGTTTCTCTTGATCTTTTATTGTTCATCACTCATTTTGATCCAGTAGCTTCCCCTTAGCAACTTGATAGTTGGATTTTTGGCTTCTGTGTTTACAAAGCTCAGTGAAAATGGTTAGGCTTTCATGCATTGATTATTACTTCTGTCATTGATTTTTTTCTGATTCCAATAATTCCATTTATTTTTGATTTAAAAACAATAGTACAAGGCTAGTAATTTTTAAATTTTTCTTGAGGTGTATTCTTATTTTCCAGGTTAGGTTGGCCTTTTGGTAATTTTGTACTTGATTGTAATGGGGAAAAAAACTTTTAATGTAAAGGAAACAAAGGAAAATAGATCAAATTTAATAATGATAATGGAGAATATGGAAAAATATTTTGAAAGGGTTGTATTGGCTCTCCTTAGACAAGTAACCTCCATTATTCCTTCTAGTTTAGGCTATGTGCTTCCAGATCCATATATCCAAAAGTCTACTGCACTGCTCTCCTCTGTTTTTTTCTTAGCTACCTCATTTTTTTTTTTTTCCAAGATGTAATATCACTCTGTTTCCCAGGCTGGAGTGCAGTAGCGCAGTCTTGGCTCATTGCAACCTCCGTCTGCTGGGCTCAAGCGATTCTCCTGCCTCAGCCTCTTCAGCAGCTGGAATTATAGGCATGTGCCACCATGCCTGGCTAATTTTTTTTTTTTTTGTGGAGTCGAGGTTTCATCATGTTGGCCAGGCTGGCCTTGAACTACTTACTGAACTCAGGTGATTCACCCACGTCAGCCTCCCCAAGTGCTGGGATTGCAGACGTGAGCCACCGTGCCCAGCTCGGCTAACTCTTATTAAAATTTTCTTAGCTTACTGTTTGTACATGTGCTAGTGTATTACTCTATCAATACATTGTATATGTTATAAGCTTACACAAAAATAAGAAATGAAAAAGATAGAGATAAAAGGTAAAATACACTATTTTAAAATAATTTTTTTAACAGTATAAGAAGCTCTTTTTCTGACTGAAAGCAGTATGATTGAATGAGTGCTGTGTCAAACATCTTCATTTAACCTTTTCTTACAAAGTGATGAAGGTCTCGTTTTAGGTTTAGTTTGTTTGGAACCTTGGTTTTAATTGATGTCATAGCAATAAAGACCCTTAGCAAAGATTTATAGATCTCAAAGGAATGAATGTGTGTATGTATACGTGTGTGTGTGTGTTTGTGTGTGTGTGTGTGTGTTTGTGTGTGTGTATAAGTTTCCTATTGCTGCTGTAAATTACCACAACTTTAGTGGCTTAAAACAACAGAAATTGGTTATCTTCCAGTTTTGGAAGTCGGAGGTTCAAAAGGCAGACTTGCTGGGCTAAAGTCAGAGTATAGGCAGGTTTGGTTCCTTCTGGAGACATAAAGGGGAGCATCTCTTTACTCTGTCAGTTTCTACAGGCCACCTGCATTCCCTGACTCATAGTCCTTCCTCCATCCTCTTCTGTTGTCACATCTCTTGCTATTCACTCGGACTCTCCTGCCTCCCTCTTTCCCTTTTAAGGGACACCTGGAAATCTGCAATAATGTCTCCTATCTCTGGATCCTTGGTTTAATCATGCCAATGAAGTCCCTTTTGTCATGCAAGGTAACACAGCCACAGGTTGATTTGGATGTGCATGTTTTTGGAGGGAGGGTATGCATTATTCACTCAGCGGCTATAAATCATTGTTAGAAAATTGTGACACTGATTTATTTTAATCCCGACAATTTGGCTAGTAAACTCCCATTTTAAAAAATATGTCAGTTTGGCCAGGCGCAGTGGCTCACACCTGTAATCCCAGCACTATAGGAGGCTGAGGTGGCCAGATCATGAGGTCAGGAGTTCGAGACCAGCCTGACCAACATGGTGAAACCCCGTCTCTACTAAAAATACAAAAATTAGCCAGGTGTTGTGGTGCACGCGTATAGTCCCAGCTACTTGGGAAGCTGAAGCAGGAGAATTGCTTGAACCTGGGAGGTGGCGGTTGCGGTGAGCCGAGATCATGCCATTGCACTCCAGCGTGGGCACCAAGAGCGAAACTCCGTCTCAAAAAAAAAAAAAAAGTCAGTTTATGCAAAATATATCAAAATGGATTATAATTTTTAAATTACTGACAATTTTGATTTTAAACTCATAGAAGGGTTTTGTCTGGAAGACTTTTTAAAAATAAAGATTATAAAACAGCACTCAAAGTACTGTAAAACTATTGAAGTAGACTGGGCACGGTGGCTCATGCCTGTAATCCCAACACTTCGGGAGGCTGAGGCAGGTGGATCATGAAGTCAGGAGATCGAGACCATCCTGGACAACATGGTGAAACCTCGTCTTTACTAAAAATACAAAAATTAGCATGGTGTGGTGGCACATGCCTGTAGTCTCAGCTACTCGGAGGCTGAGGCAGGAGGATCACTTGAACCCGGGAGGTGGAGGTTGCAGTGACCCAAGATTGCACCACTGCACTCTAGCCCGGTGACAAGGCGAGACTACATCTCAAAGAAGATAATAGTGAAGGTTAGAAAATAGTTTATCAAAATTTTAAGATATGCAGATATGACAGTTTTTATTCTTATACCTTTTAAACTCAGAAATCACATAATGATGGAAATATTTCCCAGTCTTTTCAAAATGCTCTTTCCATGGCATGAATTTATTTCAAAAAGCAGCTACTTTTACACATCATTAAATGCCAGCTTTACTTTGAAGGAATAGATGGCTTATTTTAATTATTTTAAAAATAATTGTTAGCAAACTGTAAATAGCTGCTATAATCATAGAATATTGAGCAGATTTGAAACATTTTGCCTTTTTGTAAGGAGAAATTTGTAATTCATTTCTTACAGCTTTGTGAAACCATTGTACAATGTCTACCTTTGAAAGGTCTTTAAAAAAAAATTCTCCACAATCCATCTTATAACAGGCCAGTCTCACTGTGTTGCAGAATCCTGAAAGTGAAGGAATGAGCGAGGCCATGCATGCTGGGCCCTTTGTCATGTGAGATTCCCAGGCCCGCCTCAGGATTCCTACATGCATGTCACGATTGGAAATGTGGATGTCCTGACATGAAGCGAAGGAGCCACTTTACTACTAGTGATGAAGGAGCCACTTTACTAATAGTATTTGTCAGTCCACATATTCACTATTAGTAAAGCGTAACTCCCCCCCGCCCCCCGAGACAGAGTGTTGCGCTGGAGTGCAATAGTGCAACCTCGGCTCACCGCAACCTCTGCCTCCTCAGTTGAAGCGATTCTCCTTCCTCAGCCTCCTGAGTAGCTGGGATTACGGGCATGTGCCACCATGTTCGGCTAATTTTTTGTATTTTTAATAGAGACAGATTTCACTATGTTGGTCAGGCTGGTCTTGAACTCCTGGCCTCAAGATCCATCTGCCTCGGCCTCCCAAAGTGCTGGGATTACAGGCATGAGCCACTGTGCCCAGCCTAAGTAAAGCATAACTTTTAAATGGAAATTAAAGACAATTTTAATAAATGTTCTAAAGAATCATCACGAGGTACCCACTTTTGTGTCCCTGGGGTGTGTACACCCCACGTAGGAGACCACTGCTGTACTATAGCTGCCCGGCGTTTCCCCGTATTCTAGTTAATCATGTCGTCATTCAAGGTCTGTCCAGTTTTCTCTTTCATTTCTTCTGATTGAAGATGCCTTCCTGACAGATAGTTGTTTACCTAGCTTTTTTTTTTTTTTTGAGACAAGATCTGGTTCTGTCACCCAGGCTGGATGGAGTGCAGTGGCATGACCACAGCTCACTTGCAGCATCTGCCTCCTGGGCTCAAGCAGTCGTTACAGCCTGCCAAGGAACTGGGACTATAGGCGTGTGCCACCATACCTGATTAATTTTTGTATATATGCAATTTTTTGGTAGAGTCAGAGTTTTGCCATGTTGTCCAGGCTGGCCTCAATCTCCTGGGTTCAAGCAACCTGCCCACTTTGACCTTCCAATTTGCTGGGATTCAGGTGTGAGCCACTATGCCCGGCCATATCTAACTTTTGTAGCTTGTATGTTTAGCTTCTCCCCTCTATTGGGAGCTCTTCTGCTCTAAAGGCAGAAGTAGTTTGCATTTTATTGTGTGTCTCATTGCAGTACTCTCAGCACATAGTAGTTACCACTAAATATTTGAATGAATAAGTGAATGAATTAACAGCAAACGCTCAATGAATGGTTCTTTTGTGTGGTGTGTTAAGCTTATGTCTCTATCTGCTGTCTGTACCTTCTAGTTTGGCGAAGTGGCTATTTAGTTTTCCAGGGCCTGACTGAAGCCCAATGAGGTTCAGTAACCTGCTCAATGTGAGGGAACTTGGAGCTTGGGTTTTTTTTTCTTTTGAAGAGTTATTTTTGTTTTGGATAAATAACATATCTCTTTGTACAAAAAGTAAAGTTGTATAATAAGGTACAATGAAGGAGTCTTGTTCTCACCTGTCATCCTACTCATTTTCTCCCCTCTTGTGCTTTCTACAGGTAACCTCTTTTATTAGTTTCTTGTGATTTTTTTTCCAGTGGTTCTTTATGCAGAAACAAAGTTCAAATGTATACTTATTTCTACCCTTCCCTATATACAAGGGTTCATAGTGCATATGTTTTTTAACATACATACTTTTTTCTTATTTACTTTAAAAAACACTTTTTTTTTTAGAGCAGTTTTAGGTTCACAGCAAAATTGATTGGAAAATACAGAATTCTCATCCATTCCCTGCCCATCCCCCCACAGCTTCCTCCACTATCAACATCCTGCACCAGAAGAGTACATTTGTGACAGTCAATGAACCTACGTTGACAAATTACCACTCAAAGTCCATAGTTTACATGAGTTCACCCTTAGTGGTGTTCTTTCTGTGGGTTTGGACAAGTGTATAATGACCTATGTCCACCACTCTAGTATCCTCCTGAGTATTTTCACTGCCCTAAAAATTCTCAGGGCTCTGCTTGTTCATCCTCTCCCCTCAACCCTTGGCAGCCACTAAACTTTTTTTAATTTTTAATTTTTAAAATTATTTATTTATTTTTAAAACAGAGTCTTGCTCTGTTGCCAGGCTGGAATGCAATGGCTTGATCTTGGCTCACTGCAACCTCCGCCTCCCAGGTTCAAGTGATTCCCCTGCCTCAGCCTCCCGAGTAGCTGAGACTACAGGCACCCGCTACCACGCCTGGCTAATTTTTTGTATTTTAGTAGAGATGGGATTTCACCATGTTGGCCAGGATGGTCTCGATCTCCTTACCTTGTGGCCTGCTTCGTTTTCCCAAAGTGCTGGGATTACAGGTGTGAACCACTGCATCTGGCCTGCAGCCACTAAACTTTTTATTGTCTCCATGGTTTTTGCCTTTTCCGGAATGTCAACAGTTGGAGCCATACAGTATGTATCCTTTTCAGATTGGCTTCTTTCCCTTAGTAATATGTATTTAAGGTTTCTCCATGTTTTTTTCATAGCTTGATAGCTCATTTCGTTTTAGCACTGGATAGTATTCCATCGTCTGGATATACCACGGTTTATTTACCCACTCACCTACTGAAGGACATCTTGGTTGCTTCCAGCTTTTGGCAATTATGGATAAAGCTGTAATAAGCATCCTTAGTGGATTTTTGTATGTACATAATTTTTTGGCTCATTTGGGTAAATACCAAGGATCGTGATTGCTAGATTGATCAAATGGTAAGAGTGTGTTTAGTGTTGTAAGAAACTGCTGAACTGTCTTCCACAGTAGCTGTACCATTTAGCATACTCACCAGTAATGAATGACAGCTCCTGTTCCTTTGCATCCTCTCTAGCTTTTGGTATCTACGTGTGTGTGTGTGTTTTCTTTGGATAGGCATGATACATATGTTTTTTAACTTATTAATTTGTCTTGGACATCTTTTCAAATTAGCACATAGAGAACTTTTACATTTACTTTGTGAACATCTGTGTAGTGGAATGGATGTGCTGTAGTTAATCTGTCTTCTAATATGGACGCTTGGGTTATTTCTAATATTTTCCTTTTATGAACAATGCTACAGTGACCATAAGTCACTTTTCTGTGTGGTACTGGTATTTCTGTAGGATAAGTTTCTAGAAATAGGATTGTTTGGTGAAAGTTGAGTGTCTTTTCCTATGTTTAAGGTCATTTTTTGCAATCTGCGCGTTTCTGTCTTTGGGTCATTTTCTGTTAGTTTTGTGTTTTTTCAAGACAGAGTCTTGCTCTTGCCTCCCAGGCTGGAGTGCAGTGGCATGATCTCAGCTCACTGCAGCCTCCTCTTCCCAGGTTCAAGCGATTCTCCTGCCTCAGCCTCCCAAGTAGCTGGGATTACAAGCATGCACCACCATGCACGGCTGATTTTTATATTTTTAGTAGACATGGGGTTTCACCATGTTGGCCAGGCTGGTCTCGAACACCTGACCTGAAGTGATCCCACCTGCCTTAGTCCCCCAGAGTGCTGGGATTACAGCCATGAGCCACTGTGCCTGGTCTATTTTGTTAGTTTTTTGAAGCTCTTGAAATGTTAGGAAGAATATAGCTCTTGGTGATACGAGTTGCATATATTTTTTTGTCAGTTTGTCTTTTGATTTTATAGAGCAATGAGTTTCAACCCCATTCTGATTTCATGGTCTATGGCTCTTCGTCACTATAATTATGCTACCTGGAATAATACATGTTTTTCATTCCTGAAGGTTTGTTTACATGTAACTATGATTTAATGCATCTAGCATTTTGAAACTGTCTTCTAATAACAATTTCTTCACTTGATAGACACGGCATCAGCGAGGAGATACGCATCCTCTAACCTTAGATGAAATTTTGGATGAAACACAACATTTAGATATTGGACTCAAGCAGAAACAATGGCTAATGACTGAGGTAAGAATTTAGTTGATTATCAAGAGAGATTTCCTGTAACTAGAATTTTCTTTTTTTTTTAAGACAGAGTCTTGCTCTGTTGCACAGGCTAGAGTGCAGTGGCATGATCTCAGCCCACTGCTGACTCAGCCTCCCGAGTAGTTGGGACTACAGGCATGTGCCACGATACCAGGCTAATTTTTGTGTTTTTAGTAGAGACGGGGTTTCACCATGTTGGCCAGGCTGGTGTTGAACTCCTGACCTCAAGTGATCCGCCCACCTCGGCCTCCCAGAGTGCTGGGGTTATAGGCATGAGCCACTGCGCCTTGCCTAGAATGTTTTAATATGGTGAAATCTGATAATGCTTTTTACTTTTTCTTAAAAGAAATGGTGTAGGGTCTTTGTTTTTTGAATGTACACATTTATAAGATTGATTTGTTGGTTTTCATATAATTTTATGTTATCTGTTTCAAAATGTTAAAGGTAAGACTTTGTGTAATAGTTGTAAAGAAGTCATTGTACCAATTCGACTTAATGTTTTTACAGATTAATGCTTATTTTGTATTGCCAGATTTATAGTTTGTGTGCTTGTAAATTGAATTGTTTTTGTTTTAGGAAATTTAAAGCATAAGGTACTGCAGGGATAGGAAGATATTTTGTTGCACAATTACTGCTATTATGGCTTGATGTGGAAAAAAAGTCGCGAATGCTGTGTATGAACACACATCATTTGAAGAAACCCCAACGCAGTCAGTGACCATGCTAATTTGGAAATGAATAGCATTTAAAAATTCAAATGTTTACCGCTTTAAAATATGAAGTGAAAACTAAGAAGACTACTTTCTAGGACCAGAGATAGATTCTAGAAACCAAATGTAAAATTCCTAACATACAATTCATTTATTTTTTTACCAAGCAAAATACAGGTCTTGACTTTTATAATGTAACATGACCATTAATCAGTATAATTGTAGTTCATTGTATTAGTGATACACAAACAATGGTAATCCACATTTAAATTTGCTGGTTTAGCTAACCTTGAGAATTCATAGACTACCAACATTTAGTTAACAATGACTTTGATCATTTTACTATTCTATTCTCCCTTTTTTCTTCTTTCTGTGTTTCTTCTCTTTCTCCTTTCAGGGTCAGGCTGGCAGCTGCAGAAGAAAATATATAGGGTTGCTCTTTTTGAAGAGCTTTCCTTCTGATACTAACTGTACAACAGAACTGACTAGAAACATAATTATATTCAGTAATTCCTGCATTCCTACTCAGTTTCATTCTCAAGCTGACATTATAGGTAAAGTTCTTGTATGCACTAGTCTGGTCCTTTTCAGTTCCTTCCACAGCTGCCATTGCCAGTTGATAGCAGATGGGGAAGACCATTGACTAGTAAGGGTTATGTTCCTTACTTTATAATGCCAGTATGTGATAAGCTGTACTTTGCAGATGGAGTGGGCACTACTCAGTTCACTTTGTCTATTAATATTTGTAGGTGTTTTATTGATTCCTACACATTTTGACTACTAGAAGAATATGGGTTCAGCTTTTTTCAAAGTAGTTGTGATAAAATGGTTTATTTCTCTTCAAAGAATTTATGTAAATAAAACACAGTTTCTTTTATAAAAAGTGAGCACCGTGCTGATCTACTGTTCTGGAATTCTGGATGTCCAGGATTTTAGGCCTGCCAGTTTGTATTCATAAGGTACTTTTAATTTGCCACTGTATTGGCTAGTGTTGTATTTTAAAATAATTAGTAGAATTAAGAATGTGTATATGGGCTGGGCACAGTGGCTCACGCCTATAATCCCAGTACTTTGGGAGGCTGAGGTGGGTGGATCACCTGAGGTCAGAAGTTCAAGACCAGCCTGGCCAATGTGGTGAAACCCCGTCTCTACTAAAAATACAAAAATTCGCTGGGTGTGGTGGTGCGCACCTGCAGTCCCAGGTGCTGAGAGGGAGGGAGGCAGGAGAGGGAGGCTGAGGCAGGAGAATCGCTTGAACCCAGGAGGCGGAGGTTGCAGTGAGCTGAGATCACGCCACTGCACTCCAGCCTGGGCGACAGAGCAAGATTACGTTTCAAAAATATATATATATATTTATGTTCCATTTGTTAATATATTCCAATTGTATCACTGTTACAGGCTTTAGTCAACAATCCCAAAATTGAAGTAATAGATGGGAAGTATGCTTTCAAGCCCAAGTACAACGTGAGAGATAAGAAGGCCCTACTTAGGCTCTTAGATCAGCATGACCAGCGAGGATTAGGAGGAATTCTTTTAGAAGACATAGAAGAAGCACTGCCCAATTCCCAGAAAGCTGTCAAGGTAATCTCTCTTTTCTTTCTATGTCTTAATATAATTTGAATGAATAATGACTTCTTGGTTTTAAAAATATCAAACATTTTACAATTGTTTTTAAAGCTTCTATTATATACACATGGGTTACAGTGAGCCACTTGAAGGTTTGAAATTTGTCTTGTGCCACCTAGCAGGAAAGGGAGCAGCCATCTCTGTGTAACTTTGACGGGTTCTTGTTGCTGTTACTATATGATTGTTTGATTGTTCAGGCTATTTCTGGAAAATTTTCCTCAAAGGCAATAGAGTTTCTCTTGTAAGCTCTGTTTGTAAATAAGAGTGTCTTCTATAATACTAGTAGATGTTCCTTACCTGAGGAACTAGAGGCATTAAAACATGAAAGCATTGGTTAATAACCTGGCTGTTTTGAAGTCCTAAAGGGGCTATCTATGAAAGTCCTACTGATACAGATGACATTTCCAGTTTAAATTTGAAACTCACTGGGGAAAGCTGCTTGTTTCCATTTGTCACAGTTGCTCATTATTAATGTTAACTTGTTAAGCAGGTTCATTCATTTTGCTGCCTGTAGAAGAAAACTTGCCCCTTTGTCTCTTCTTCTTGGTAATGGAATTATACATGTCAGATCTTCTGGTATTGTACTACAAGTCCCTGAGGCTCTGTTTATTTATTTCAATTTTTTTTCTGTTCTATTAATCCATTGTCAAGTTCACTCACTTTTCTTCTTCACTTCCAACTTGTTAAGCCCAGTTGGTGAATTTTTTAATTGTATTTTTCAGTTCTAGTCTTTCTTTGTAAATTTTTCTTCTGGTTTCTGTTTCTTTGCTGAATTTTGTTTTCTTTTTTTTCCATTCGTGACAAGTATCTTTTGTTACACCCTTAAGTATGATTTCTTATAGCTGCTTTAAAATTCTTCTTATTCTAACAGCCGAGTCATCTCAGAGCTGGTCTGCATTGACTGTCTCTTTTATGGGTCATATTTTCCTGTTTCTTCATATATCTAATACATTTCTGTTGGGTCTTAGACCTTGTGGATTATATTAATATGTGTAAAGACTCAGGATTCTGTTACATTCCTCCCAAGAGTGTTTCTATTTGTTTTGTTTTGTGGTTAAGTGGGCAGTTACTCCAAACCTTGTCTGCCCTACAGCAGGTAGCATATGATATGTCTCTTCTGTTCTTCTAGCCTTAGCCCGTTTGCTTGGAATCTTGGAATCTTTTTCCAAGACTGGCTTATTTCACTTAGCATAATATTCTCAAGGTTCATCCATGTTGTACTTGCAACAGGATTTTCTTCCTTTTTAAAGCTGAATAATATTCCATTGTGTTTTTGTTGTTGAATTGTGGGAGTTTTAAAAAATATATTCTGGATATTAATTCCTTAACAGATACATGATTTGCAAATATTTTCTCCCATTCTGTAGGTTGCCATTTTACTCTGTTGATTGTGCTCTTTAATTTGCCAGTTTCTGAGTTTGCTGCACTCTTGTCTATTTTTGATTTTGTTGCCTGTGCCTTTAGTATCATGTTTAAATCACTGCCAAATCTAATGTCATGAAGCTTTTGTCCTATGTTTTCTTCTAGGAGTTTTATAGTTTTGGGTCTTAGGTATTTAGAGTTAATTTTTGTATATGGTGTAAGAGTCCAACTTTATTCCTTTTCATGTGGATATCCAGTTTTCTCAGTGTCTTGATGAAGAGACCGTCCTTTGCCCATTGAATAGTCTTAGTCTTGGTACTCATGTGGAAGATCATTTGACCATATATGTGAAGGTTTATTTCTGGGCCCTCTATTCTGCCTGTATGTCTTTCTTCATGCCAGCACTACAATGTTTTGATTAATGTAGCCTTTTTTTTTTTTTTTTTTTGAGACAGAGTCACACTGTCACCCATGCTGGAGTGCAGTGATGCAATCTTGGGTCACTGCAACCTCTGCCTCCCAGGTTCAAGCAGTAGTCCTGCCTCAGCCTCCTGATTAGCTGGGATTATAGGCACACACCACCACACCCAACTAATTTTTTTATTTTTGGTAGAGATGTGGTTTTACCATGTTGGCCAGTCTGGTCTCGAACTCCTGACCTCAAGTGATCTGCCCACCCTCGGCTTCCCAAAGTGGTGGCATTCCAGGTGTGAGCCACTGCACCTGGCCTGATTAATGTAGCTCTGTAATATATTTTGAAATCAGTAAGAGTGAGATCACCAATTTTGTTCTTTTTCAAGATTGTTTTGGCTATGTATTAGTCTATTCTTGCAATGCTATAAAGGAATGCTTGAGACTGGATAATTTATAAAGAAAAGAGATTGATTTGGCTCACAGTTCTGCAGGCTCTCCAGGAAGCATGATGCTGGTGTCTACTCAGCTTATGGGGAGGTCTCAGGAAACTTATAATCATGGCAGAAGGTGAAGGGGAAACAGGCTCATCTTACATGGCCGGAGCAGGAGCAAGAGAGAGTGGGGAAGGTGCCACACACTTTTAAATGACCAGATCTCATGAGAACTCATTATCAGGAGAACAGCACCAAGAGGGAAATCCACCTTCATACCAGTCACCGCCCACCAGGCCCCACCTCCAACATTGGGGATTACAGTTTGACATGAGATTTGATGGGGACACAGATCTAAACCATTTCAGGCTTTTTGAGGTCCCTTGAGATTTGATATAAATTTTTGGATGGATTTTTCCATTTCTGCAAAAAATGCCATTGGGATTTTGATAGGGATTACCTTGAATAGGTAACTTTGGGTAGTATTGCCATCGTAACTGTATTAAGTTTTTTAATACATGAGCACAGAATTCATTTATTCATGTCTTTAATTTTTTTTAGCAATGCCTTCAGGTTCTTTCATTTATTTTATGTATGTACAATTTGACTGTCCCTTATCTGTAATGCTTGGGACCAGAACTGTTTCAGATTTTGGGATTTTTTTCAAATTTTGGGATATTTTCATTATACCAGTTTAAACATTCCAGAGTTGAAAATCTGAAATCCAAAATGCTCCAGTGAGTATTTCTTTCTTTCTTTCTTTCTCTTTTTTTTTTTTTTTGAGGCGGAGTCTCTTTCTGTTGCCCTGGCTGGTGTGCAGTGGGGTGATCTCAGCTCACTGCAACCTCTGTCTCCTTGGTTTAAGAGATTCTCCTGTCTCAGCCTCCCAAGTAGCTGGGATTACAGACACCTGCCACCGTGTTCAGCTAATTTTTCTATTTTTAGTAGAGATGGGGTTTCACCATGTTGACCAGGCTGGTCTCAAAACTCCTGACCTCGGCCGAGTGCAGTGGCTCACGCCTGTAATCCCAGCACTTTGGGAGGCCGAGGCGGGTGGATCACGAGGTCAGGAGATTGAGACCGTCCTGGCTAACATGGTGAAACGCTGTCTCTACTAAAAAGTACAAAAAATTAGCCGGGCGTGGTGGCGGGCACCTGTAGTCCCAGCTACTCGGGAGGCTGAGGCAGGAGAATGGCGTGAGCCACCGTGCGGAGCTTGCAGTGAGCCAAGATCGCGTCACTGCACTCCAGCCTGGTTGACAGAGTGAGACTCCGTCTCAAAACAAACAAACTCCTGACCCCAAATGATCCTCCTGCCTCCCAAAGTGCTGGGATTATAGGTGTGAGCCATCACACCTGGCCCCCAGTAAGTATTTCTTTGGCATGTCATGTCAGCACTTAAAAAGTTTTGGATTTTGGATTCGAGATTTTGGGATTTGGGTTGCTCATCCTGTAGTTATCACCTTTTACCACCTTGATCTAGTGGACTATTATTTTTAAGCTACTTTAAGTCATTTTATGAATAATTTACATAAGTAAGAATAATGGGATGATGAAAACAGCTTTATTAGAGATTTTAGTAAGAATTTAACACAGCAAACTTCTGTATCAAGTAATTTTTGGAAAACACATCAAAAAGAAGAATACTGTCATATATCCTTTTAGCAAAGTGAGATGATAAAGATTCTTTTCACAAAATACTGTGTGATAATCTTCTGGTGAATAACGGGATGAGAATATTGTTTCCATTTTGTATTGAGAAGCATTTTGTTCGCTTGTTGATTCTTAAGCTTGAGAATCTTCACTTGAGTTATTGTCATCTAAAGACTCCATAGCTTGAGACTTTATTCCTATGATGAATTTTTGCCAGATAGTCTAGAGTGCTGCTATTTGGCTTTTTGCATTCATATTTTGATTCATCTAATAATTGTGAAATGTCTTTGGTCAGTTTTCTTGTCTTTGCTCTCAAGGGTAGAAAATACAAAATTTTTTTTGTCAGGTGTACTCAATGAAAGTTAAAAGACAACAAGAAGACTCTTCCAATCTTTTATATCTCTTGAAAAGGAGTAATGTAATCCTTTGGGCAATGCAGTAAGAAAACTGAAGGATGCCCATGTATTTCACTATTGCATCACATTTCTAGGTGATTTAATCATTCTTCTATTTTCTTATTATTTTAGCGTTTTAAAAGCACAATTGGAAATAATTGATGGGTAATGATGAGTAAGGAGCGAAATATCTCAAGGTAGAGGAAAAGTAAGAACACCAAGATTCTATTATGTGTCTTAGATTAGTGAAAGAGCCCCATGGACCCAAATAGTAATTGCAGCAAAGATTGAATTTTCCGTTTTAAGTGAAACACGTTTTATTTTTGTTCTTTGGAAGACCTCTAAGAATACAAGTCTGGAAATATCAATTTTTAAAAAATTGAACTACTCAAGAAAGAAACTCAAAAACTAAAATTGGGGCTGAGTGCAGTGGCTCACACCTATAGTCCCTGTACTTTCTGATGCTGAGGTGGGAAGATCGCTTGAGCCCAGGAGTTCAAGACCAGCCCTGGCAACATAGTGAGACCCTTTGTCTACAAAAAATTGAAAACATTAGCTAGACGTGGTGGCAATGCACCAGTGGTCCCAGTTACTCCAGAGGCTGAGGTGGGAGGATTGCTTGAGCCTGGGAGGTTGAGGCTGCAGTGAGCTGCACTCCAGTCTGGGTGGAGTCTCTTAAAAACAAAACTAAAACTAAAATTGGGTCCAGTGGACCTATGGTGGAGGACCCTATGGTGGTATACTGAGTGTGTTAAGGAAATGAAACTCCTTTATTGTTTAAATTTTTTTTTTTTTTGGTGAGGTAATTTGGAGTTAACTGAAAAATCTTTATTTTATCTATCTTTAAGGCTTTGGGGGACCAGATACTATTTGTAAATCGTCCCGATAAGAAGAAAATACTTTTCTTCAATGATAAGAGCTGTCAGTTTTCTGTGGATGAAGGTGAGCTTTTCTGTATTATACTTTAGTTTGCAAGTATATTACAATTTTAGGGTGGTAAAATTAATATTTATAATACAATTATAATTTAAATCTTATATTGCTTTTTTAGCATTATCATTTCTTAGAACACAGCCAGTGGCCCCTGTGTCTAACATATTGTTGCTTAGAATGCAATTTGAAATATGTGATTTGAAAGATTTTAGGTTAATTATACTTACAATCGCAGTTCAGGATTTCTTAATGTTTATAGCTCAACTGAACCAAACGGGTTTATTTCTTTATCTTTAGACTTTTACAAATGTAAGTTCATATCCTGATACAAAAGCTTGATACAGGATGGGAAAAAGAATAAACTTTTATTGGTGAATAGTGTTCTCTTATCTTATGAATCTTTCAGTTATCAAATTGAATAAGGAAGGAGATGATGTTTTTCTTTCTGGAAATTGTGGAGTTGGATGCTAAGCTGTATATTGAATCTCTTACTAAGTATATGATACGTATGTTTGGACTTTAGTTTTAAATTTTTGTCAATAATTTGTCATTAAACAAGGGTTTAGTGATGAAAAATGTATTATTCAAGTTTACCAATTGCCATTTTAGCAAGTGTTGGTGGTATTTTACTGTAAATTTGTATTACTTTTGAAGTTTTATAAAATGGCAGGAAAATAATTGGACATCAATTTAATTGATTTTGTGATTTGTGCAGTAACCTTAAGTTTTCCTTTTGTTATCTGTCTATAGATATCCAGGCTTGTGGTTCTGGTAGATAGGGCTTTAGTTTCCCTGAACTTGTTTTAGGAAATTGTATTTTTGTGAAAATCCCAATTGAGTATCTTACATGTAATTGGTTCACAATAAATGTTAATTAAATAAAAATGTGCAGAATATTCCAGTTCTTTGATGTTGTTGTTTCTAATAAGCTTTTATATAACAAAGCAAGTATGTAGTGAACTTATGCTATCCATTGTAGTGATAGGTGCCTGTTGAACAAAGACTTCAGTACTGCCTGGCGATTTTTATATTGCTTTCAGTCTTCGTTACTTGCAATGTTGCCTTTATGCTAATTTTTATATTTCTTGCTTTTGAAAACATTTAAGGCTGGGCATGGTGGCTCATGCCTCTAATCCTAGCACTTTCAGAGGCCAAGGTGGGAGGATCGCTTCAGGCTAGGAGTTCAAGACCAGCCTGGGCAAAAAAGTGAGACCCTATCTCTATTAAAAACTGAAAAATTAGCCAGGCTTGGTGGCGCATGCCTGTGGTCTCAGCTACTCACAAGGCTGAGACAAGAGTATAGCTTGAACTCAGGAGTTAGAGGTTACGGTGAGCTGATTGTGCCACCGCACTCCAGCCTGGGTGACAGAGTGAGACTCTGCCTTTAAAAAAGAAAGTTAAAAACCATTTAAGATATTTCTGAGCTCAAAAAAAAAAAAATCTAAGAAATAACCGATTCCTTTATTCTTAGGTATAATAACAATCATTTTGAAAAATATTTGCAGTACTTAAAAAAACCTATCACAAGTATTACAAGTTCAGATAGAGAGTAAGAGCCTATACTAAAAGGCAGATGTGCCTTTCCCTTCTCTAGCTGCAGTCCCTTTCTTTTGTGGCAGCTGCTTAACTAGTTTTATTTTGGATTCTTCAGTTTTTTCCCAATTGCTAATAATATGCTTATGCTATTGTTTCTTGATTTTTTTTCAACTTTAAACATTGTGTGACTTACTGTCATTTCTCTTTCCTATACCTATCTCTCTCCTCCCAATATAGTTGTATCTCTAGTTAAGTTTTAGTTTCTCCGTCATTTACTTTGATGCCTTCAACAAACATATTTAAATGTTCTCAGTGGGAATTTTAGTGTTAAGTCTGCTCTGCAGATGGCAGCATAGTGTAGCATGTCTGTTGTGTAAGCAGATGTTTAACTTGAGGCGGGTGGTTGATAGGAAAGAGATTGCAGTAGCTCTGTAAGAGTGTACATGAAGCTCTAGAATTTCTTAATAGCATTTCTTTGGGGTTATTTTAGGAGTACACTGTGTGTTTAGCAGTGGGAAGCCCAGATGTTCTTGTAATCTGCACGCTAAGCTGTCACTTTCTGGCCCTTGTGTGCTCTTTCTGTGGATACTATTGTTTTAACTTTGCTTTTTCCTGTTTGTGTATCTTTTATCTATACTTCCTTAATATTACCCGTTTTCATTTGTCATTTTATATGGCCTTTGTTGGCCTAAACTCTTTTCTATTTCCTTATTGCATAGCTTATAGGGGTAAAATGAGAATTTTCACTTTCCCCCCTAGAAAACATTAACAATCTAGAAATACATAGAGTAAAATAGTAATATTAAACTCTAGCATATGTGATGCAGAAATTAAACATGCATCATGGATATGTGTTCCGTGTCTTGTGATAACATATGCTTGGTAGTTAAATCTTACATAATCAGGAACAAGTTCTGTAAATAATTTGATGTTTATTCTTTTAGTTTGCTTTCTCAGCATTACAAATATTCCATAACGATGTATGGCTGGTTAGTATTCCACTGTGTGTACCTGATTAATGAGTTTTAAAATAGTTAACAATGCTGAAGCAAATGTCTTTACATATCTTACACATTGGCTATGTATTTTTTATTTTAATGAAGTAGTCATAGAAATCAGGAAGATAATGCAGAAGTAAATTGAGAAAATATTTTTGCATCTTTTCAGATCTTTGTTGTTGCTAACTTATTTAATATATGGTGAAATGTACTGCTAGGTTTCTTAATATTTAACCACCCTTACACTCCTAGATAACCTTTCTTTGGCTTCATGTATTTCTAAATTTTTAATATTAATGTATTTAGGACAATTGTTTCAGTATGGTCACTTTTCTTTTTTGTGTGCTTTGTCAGATTTTGGTTATGGTTATTATGCTGGGTTCATAAAAAGAAAAGTAGTTTTTCTTCCTCTCCCCCCCTCATTCCTTATGAGAATAGTAGATTCTTTAAAAATGTGAAGGCATATACCCATGAATGTATCTGGCTAATTGCTTTCTTGGCAACATTCTTAATGTTTTATTTGCTTATGTCCTTAAGTTTTCTATCTTGCAAGTCAATTTTGATAATTCTGTGTTTTTCTACAAAACCATTCTTTTTAAAATTTCAAATTTAATAGTGTGCGGTTTTTCAGAGCGTGGCCCTCGGACTTAATTTTCTCACTGTTATTTTCTCTATGGTGCACTTTTGTATTTGTTCTTTCCTTATTTCTTTGTGAACTACTTATTTTATCTCTGTTGTTTGTTGTGTTTTCATTTTAACAGAAAATATTCTTATCAGATCATCATCTACATACATATTTATTTTTTGACTACTTGATCTAAGCAGTGACTGAGCAAACATCAGAATCTCTCACAACTTTTATGTTTTTGTTTATTTTTCCTGTAGTTACTGCTTTTTATATTTTCATGCAGAGTTTTTAGTTTATAAACGTTCTTGGCAGTCGTAGTTTATTTTAAGAATTGTGTTCAAAATCATTATAATGTGTCCCCCTTTGTTGTATTTAATGTTCTTTTCCTTGATGTCTGGCTTTATTCCCATCTGACTGTCATAACCTCTGGCTTTTTAAAAATTTTATATATTTTTTCCCATCTTTTACTTTCTGTCTGTATTTTTTTGTTGTTGTTTTAAGTATTTCCTTTCTAGATGGCATATGGCTGGCTTTAACTTTTGAATCAGTTCTGACTGTCATTTTACATTTACCGTCTTTATTATATGTTGTAATCTCCCCATCATTTACTTGGAAATGGTATAATTTATTTTCATTCTCTTATCCTCTGTTGTCTTTTTATTCCCTTGTTGACAATTTCTGGGATTTTTGTTACAGTTTATTAATGTTTATTCGTAAGCCTGTTTATTCAAGAAATATTTAATGGTCTCCTCCTAAGTGCCCTAGTCATTTTGCTAAATATAGAGGTAAGATAGACCAGTCCCTGTCTTTATGGAGCTTCCATTCTGAAGTGGAGGACAATATACAAAATTTGAAAATACTGCGGATTGTATGAAATGCTAGGAAGAAAATAAATGAGCTCTATGGTAAGGTGTGGGTGGTGAAGTTCAGATACAACCTTTGAAAAAAGGTGAAATAAGCCAAAACAGGAAAAATGGGGTGGAGCTAGCCTTGCCAAGGGTCAGAATAGTGTCCACGTGTGGGACTGTAAGGCGAGTATCCAGGCAGAGGGAATAGCAAAGACAAAGATTGTGGGAAGGACTTTAGTTTTTTTCCTAGAGTGGCTTTTGTTTCACCAGATTCAGTGAACACCTTTTTTTTTTTTTTTTTGAGACGGAGTTTCGCTCTTGTTGCCCAGGCTGGAGTGCAATGGTGCAGTCTTGGCTCACAACAACCTCTGCCTCCCGGGTTCAAGCAATTCTCCTGCCTCAGCCTCCCGAGTAGCTGGGATTATAGGCATGCCACCACGCCTGGCTAATTTTGTATTTTTAGTAGAGACCAGGTTTCTCCATGTTGGTCAGTCTGGTCTCAGACTCCCGACCTCAGGTGATCTGTTTGCCTTGGCCTCCCAAAGTCAGTGAACACTCTTATAACAAATGATTTGTAACGTCATCTTTGCTTTTGTGAAATTAAGTTCATAGATAATATAACCTACTGATACACATACTTTCTTAAAAAGTCAGTGTAATACCCTAAGTGTAATGTAAAGAATGAAAATATATTTTTATTCTTTAAAATATATTTTTTATGGTTTAAAAATTTACTTCAGCCAGGTGCTGTGACCCATGACTGTAATCCCAGCACTTTGGGAGGCCTGCCTTAGGCGATCACTTGAGGTCAGGATTTCAAGACCAGCCTGGTCAACATGGTGAAATCCCATTTCTCCTAAAAGTACAAAAATTAGCCGGACATGCTGGTGCGTGTCTGTAATCCCAGCTACCTGGGAGGCTGAAACACAAGAATCGCATGAACCTGGGAGGTGGAGGTTGTAGTGAGCCTAGATTGTGCCACTGCACTCCAACCTGGACAACAGAGCAAGGCTCTGTCTCAAAAAAAAAAAAAAAGATTAAAAAATGTATAAGTGCTCAGGCAGTTACCCTAGAATGTAAATGGAATGGAATTGAAACAGTTGTATATCTTTCTATTGTAGAGTCACCATGAAGATGATAGCCACCAATGGGCCAATATAGTTACGATGTATTGGCAACTTAGATGTCATAACTGGTCTCTTCCTTAAGTGGTAAAGGATTCTTGGTAAAGTTCTGAAAATACAAAGTACATTTCTTCTGTGATTTATCAAGGTTAATAATGCTATATTCTGTGTACAGTATACATTGTATATTCCTAGAAAAGTTTATTAAAAGTGCCAAAAATACTTTGTTTATATATGTTAAATAGAATTGGGTTTGTAGGCTCAGCTTATTGTTATAAACTGGTATTTTTCACTGATCTGTGTCCCTCTTAAGAAGGATGGTGGGGGTTAAGCAGGGCTTTCGACCTTGGCAGTGTTAACATTTGGGGTTGGTTGAGTAGTTTTTTTTTGGTGTGGGGAGTGTCCTGAGCCTTGTAGGGCATTGATCAGCATCCTTGGCTTGTTTAGATACCAGTAGCTTAGCTTCCCTGCAGTGTGACAACCAAAACTTTCTTTAGACATTATCAAATGTCACCTGGAGAACAAATTCCCCTTGTTGGGAACTTGGTTAAAGGTCCAGTTTATGTTGATAGAATAGAGGAAGATTGAGACCCACTGTTTTCAGATTCCTTTTCCTGGCTCCTGTCATTCCGCACACTTGGTGGTGGAAGAAGATCACAGTGAATGAGGTTGCTGTCCTTGACCTTCCAGGCTGAGCGGGTAGAATGGCATAGGAAGCATAGTTCAGCTGTTTGCATTTTGTCATTTTGGTGTTCACACGGTGCTGTAGAGACACCAGAGGGAACAGCCATTTACAGGAACCTTGGGTAAGGTACCACCAGTCTTTTAGTTGAAAGTGCCAGTATTACGTAAATCAGTAACAAAAACAAAACAAAACAAGTTTTTGTTAATGATATAAGGAATGTGTGTTTCCAGGGAAGACCCATTGAAAACGGACACGTTTTAACATTCATCTCTAGCCTCAGAATGCTTTATGCTTTGTGTGAAGATTTTCGTTTCGTTCCACTAGGTGGCAACCTTAGCCATAGAGAGGAACTCTGAGTGCGCACACTTCAGGCACACAGAGGGTTCTGTCTGTAATAGAAGCACTTGTCCTAAAATGAGAATTAGCTCAAGGAGAGAGTTGATGGTGTAGTAATTTTTTAATCCAGTGTAGAAGTGAACACAGAGTAGTTGGACCTAGGCAGGCAACTTATTTTTCAAAGGCATTTCTTTCCTTAAGTCAGAAGCTTATTCATTTAAAGGTAGTATAAATGTGATGGGGAAGAGGCTGGTGCTGAGGAGTTAGATTGTAGGTTTTATCTTTTTTTAATTTATTTTTTATTATTATTTTTTACTCTAAAAAAAGATTTATTCATTCCATGTAGGTTTTATCTTAGCTCAGTCCCTTACTAGCCTAGGCAAGACACTTAACCTCTCTCTGAGATTCCTCATCTGTAAAATAGAAATAATAGTATTGTTACCTCATTGTCTTTGAGGATTAAATGAGTGAATATAAATAAAAGTGCTTGGAACTTGGAACAGAATCTGGTGGAAAGTAAGAACATGGTAATGTTAACTATTATTAGTATCGGAAAAATAAAATAGTACCCATGGTGCTAGTCATTTTAATCCTACTTAACCTGGTTATTTATTTATCCATCTGTCACTGACTCACTGGTTTTATAGTTTTGTGTTTGGTTAAACAGATAGCAAAGAAAGCCAATTTAGCAGTCTCAGGCCACATTTGTGCTGATTTTTTGCAGTTACGTTATGGTTTTTGGTGTTTCTGATGAGAATTCTAATGGACAATCTTTTTCCTCATTGCTGGCAACTTTTTTACTTACTGGAAGCTTAAACAGTTTCACCTTTATCTTAAGAATTCAGGATTCTTATAGTAGCTACCACTTTTGAGTCTGTGCTCTGGGGCTCTCATACTGTTTTAGATCATTATTTATTTATTTATTTTTTGAGACAGAGTCTCGCTTTGTCACCAGGCTGGGGTGCAGTGGCGTGATCTCCGCTCACTGCAACCTCTGCCCCCTGGGTTCAAGCGATTCTTCTGCCTCAGCCTCCCTAGTAGCTGGGACTGCAGGTGGGTGCCACCACGCCCAGCTAATTTTTGTATTTTTAGTAGAGATGGGGTTTCACAGTGTTGGCCAGGATGGTCTCGATCTCTTGACCTAGTGATCTGCCCACCTTGGCCTCCCAAAGTACTGGGATTACAGGTGTGAGCCACCGTGCCCTGCCTGATCGTTATTTTTTAAATGGCTACATGGTATTCTATTTTGTTGATATACTCTAAAACAATTTTTTCTGGCCCATTTCCAGGTATACAAACTCCACAGATGGGAAGTTTTTTTTTTTTTTTTGTGAGACAAACTCTCGCTCTGTTGCCCAGGCTGGAGTGCAATGGCACAGTCTCGGCTTACTGCAACCTCTGCCTCCCAGGTTGAAGCGATTCTCCTGTCTCAGACTCCCGAGTAGCTGGGATTAGAAGTACGTACCACCATGCCTGGCTAATTTTTTGTGTTTTTAGTAGAGACAGGGTTTCACCATGTTGGCCAGGCTAGTTCTTGAACTCCTGACCTCAAGTGATTTGCCTGCCTCAGCCGCCCAAAGTGCTGGGATAACAGGCGTGAGCCACTGTGCCCAGCCAGTTATTTATTTATTTTTTTGGTTTTATTTTTTTGCTCTATGCTGTTACAGATAGTGCTGTGTGTACATTTTCTTGAGGTTGAATTGCTGGATCAAAAGATAGACATATTTTTGAAAATACTAATGCCTTACCAAATGTCTGTTGTAAAATTGGGCCAATTTATACCTCCACAGTAATAAATGAGAAGGAATCTTATTTCTTCATGTCCTCATAAATACTGATTGGGTGTTTTTAGTTGACTTTGCCAACCTCATAGAACATAAAGAGTATCTTGTTTTTTATTTTATTAATTTTTATAAATAGAGACAGGGTCTCGCTTTGTTGCCCAGACTGGTCTTGAACTCCTGGGCCAAACGATCCTCCTGCCTTGGCTTCCCAAAGTGCAGGGATTACTGGTGTGAGCCACCATGCCCAGCCAAAGATTGTCTTGTTTTAAAAATTCATTTTCTTTCACGCATTTTATAAAATTAAAGAAAACCAGGTTATTTCTCTTTGTCAACTGAACATTTTGTCCCCACATGTTTTAAAAAGTAATTAAATTTGAGATTCTGTGAGATTGTACCTCTAAAATACCCGTGTTCCAGTATTCATCTTAAGTATTTATGCAGCTGTAATACATTTACGTAGATGTCATATTTAAATGATTTACATAGTAGATGTCATATATTTACATTTACATAGTAGATGTCATGTTTAAATATTGCAACAGCATTGAGCTAAGGAAAGGCAGGGATTAAGTATAAATGTTTTATTGAAAAAAATTGAAGAGTTTTTATTCAGGGTTTTTCTCTGAAAATAGCTCAAGTGACTTTAAACAAAAGGAACTAGTTAAATTAAAAATTTTAAAGTGTACTTTCAGTTCTATTGTGCCATGAAAATTTATAGTGTTGTGTGTTCTTTCTATACAGTAATATACAGATCAGCTTTCCAGACCATTGCTGCCACTATTTAAGTAGGTAATATTACCTCTGCGATTGTGTCATAAGAGGTCCGCAGTATGTAAGCTTCTTTGCATATCAGGTAGAAAGGCAAAGAAATTTCTGTTTTCAAGGAACTGAAATTTTGCAGTGGTAGAAAGTGTATTGAATGAAATTAACCAGTGAGTAAAAGGTATGTTTTTCCTATGTACTTCTTTCCCATTTTGCCTTTATTGTTATACAAAGAGAAGTACACAGTTGACTTGTTGGACAGATATGTAATACATATTCTAAAGAAATGGATACAGTTTTCACATGTTGATAAATTAGAACTTAACAAATTGATGATCAAAATACCAGAACTATTCTTTGGTAGGATATAGTTTCTTTAACAGCTATAATAATAAGTTTGACATGTAAAATTCTGGCTATTGCCTACATTTTAAAACAGTAATTTTGCATGCTTTATTGGGATTACAGAGATATTTTTGTTGCTGAGTTGGAAGTTTGACCTGAAATTATTTTCTTTCATATATGCCTATAGTGAGCAAAGCTAGCCACATTCATTAAACAGCCTTTAAAGTTTGGCTGAAAAGCAGATAGTTGGGGACTTTTAGCTTCTACTTAGAATGGAGAAAGCTAGAGAGAGCATCGTTCCTACCTTGACAGCAACAACAAACCCCAGAAGTCTGCATGCTGATATCTTCTTGAATTCATCAGTGAGCTGAGGTTGCAGGACAACCTCCCAACCCAAACTGTAAGGAGAGACAGGCACCCCCTTGGAAAGGTAAGACCTGAGCACTTGTTTACCTGAGACAGACAAAGTGAACATCCCGCAGGAGAATTCAGTTAAAATTTAATGAACTTAGTGTGGACCAGCAAGAAAACAGAGATCGCCTGGGGGGCTGCAGACACAGGGGGAGTTTGTATCCACTCACAGGCTCTTCTCCACAGATTTCATTGGATGCTTACAAAAAAGATTGAGGCAAGGGTGTGGGTACTGAGAAAGTGTCCCTTACTGTTCCCCCTGGAGGAGAGGGACAGTAGATCCTTTTGGAAAGACACGAAGCCCTGTCTGAGTCCTTCTTCCCTTCTTTGCTCCTATGAGATAAGAGCCTTAAACCACTGTGGAAAGAGAACAGAAAAAAAGTCTTTCGTCCTTGGCGAGGGACAGGAATATGTGCTAGGCCCAGAACTTTAGTGGAGGAGAAAGGGCAGGAGCACTGAGAAGGCCACACCCCAGTCACCAAGGAAGACAGTGTTTGCCCAAGACCAAGGCTTAATCCTAATGTCAGAGAATCTTCCCACCCATACGAGGCTAACAGCTGTGGACTGACAGGTGACACTGGAGATCGGTGTAAGGCGCAAGAACGTGGAGGCAGACCAGCTCAGATGCAGCGTAAAAGGAAGACCAAAAAAGCTGAAGGTCGAACAGACACTGAGGAAAACATCCTCTGGCAAACCAGCCACTACCCTAACACAGTTCGAAGCTGGTGGTACATTGTGGGTAACCATGGCAGCAACAAATTCCAAACCACGCTTCTGTTCTGACAATAGATTGACTCAACCTCCACACACTAAAGATCTGGCAGAAGGAAAGGCGGGCCCATTTCCCAGGCATAAAAACTATTTACCTCAGTCTTAGCTGTCTTACAAAGGATATCCTGCTTTCAAAAAAGTTTTTGAGGCATAAAAAGAAGGAAGGAAGAACAACACACTATTGAGACAGGACACTTTTAAGACCAAATTCTTTGGAACTACGAGACATGGAATTGAGACAGGACATTTTTAAGACCAAATTCTTTGGAACTACCAGACATGGAATCTAAAATAACTGTTCAGTATGTTAAAATCTCTAGTAGAAAAGGCAGGCAACTTGTATGGTCAGGTAGGATATTTCAGCAGAGAGATAGACACTGTAAGAAAATAAAATAAATGCTAAAAATGAAAATGACAGTAACATAGGTGAAAAATGTCTTCAACAAGCTCATTATTAAACTTGGTGTAGCCAAAGAAGGAGTCTGTGAACTTGAATACAGCTGAAGTGTGAAAAAAATAGGGCAGAGAACCCATAAGCTGTGAGACAATATCAAGTGGTCTGAATTTGTAAAGTCTGAGAAGGAAAAGAAAGAAAACGGGGCAGAAGAAATACTTGAAGATGTAATGACCAAGAATTTTCTAAAATTAATGATGGACACCAAAGATCTGTGAAGCTCAGAGAACACCAATAGATCATCCCCCAAACCAGGCAAATGACAGAAAAACACCGAGGCATATCATATTCAAATTGCAGAATATGAAAGATGGAAAATATTGAAGGCAGTCAGAGGAAAGAGACTAATTCCAGAGGAAAAAAAGAATGCAGAGTTCTTATTAGAACCCATGCAGACCGAAAGATAATGCAGCACATCTTTAAATGGCCAAAAGGGAGAAAATCCTTTCAACCCAGAATTCCGTACACAGCAAAAATAATCTTTTCTTTTCTTTTCTCTTCTTTTCTTTTTTCTTTTCCTTCCCCTTCCCCTTTTCCTTTCCTTTCTTTTCTTTTTTCTTGTCTGACTCTGTGGCCCAGGCGAGAGTGCAGTGGTGCAATCTTGGCTCACTACAACCTCTGCCTCCAGGGCTCAATTCATCCTCCCATCTCAGCCTCCTGAGTAGCTAGGACTGCAGGTACATGCCACTACATCTAGCTAATTTTTTTGTATTTCTAGTAGAGATGGGGTTTCACCATGTTGCCAAGGCTGGTTTTGAACTCTTGGGCTCAAGCAGTCTGCCCTTCTCAGCCTCCCAAAGTGTTAGGATTACGGGTGTGAGCAACTGCATCCGGCAAAAATAATCTTTCAGAAATGAAGGACAAATGCTCTCTCAGAGAAACAGAAATGGAGAGAATTCATTGCCATCAGACCTGCACTACTGGAAATATTAAAGGAAGTTGTTCAGGAAGAAGAGGTATGACATTAGACATTTGGATCTATACAAATACGTTTCTAGGAGATAGAGTTTTTATTATTTAAAAATATTTTTCTAATTTCTCTGAAAGATGACCATAAATCAAAAATATTAACAATATATTTTGTGTTTAGGGCGTGTTATGGGAAATAAAATTTATGACAAATTAGCTTAAAGGTCAGAAGGGATCAATAATTGGTCTAGTATACTGTTCTAATGTCTTTACATGACATATGAAATGCTATGACTTACTCTAAGCTAGGCTCTGATTAATTAAATATGTATGTTGTAAACCTAGGTCAACCACTAAAAACATTTTTTGAAAAAAATGTAATAAGCCAATAGTGGAGATAAAATGGAATCATACAAATGTATCCAGCTAATCTAAATGAACACGGAGACAGAAGGAAAACACAAGGAGCAGATGGAACAGATAGAAACAGTGGTGAAGATTATAGCCTTTATTCCAACTACATTAATCATTGTGTTAAATGTAAATGGTCTAAACACACTATTTTTCAGCTTGGGTGCAAAAGCAAGACTCTAGTATATACTTTTTTTTTTTTTTTTGAGATGAAGTTTTGCTCTTGTTGCCCAGGCTGGAGTGCAGTGGTGTGATCTCGGCTCACCGCAACCTCCACCTACTGGGTTCAAGTGATTCTCCTGCCTCACCTCCCCAGTAGCTGGGATTACAGGCATACACCACCACGCCCGTCTAATTTAGTATTTTTTAGTAGAGACAGGATTTCTTCATGTTGGTTGGGCTGGTCTCGAACTTCTGACCTCAGGCGATCTTCCCACCTCGGCCTCCCAAAGTGCTGGGATTATAGGCATGAGCCACCGTGCCTGGCCACTTTTTTTTTTTTTTTTTTTAAAGATCCATTCCTGCAGCTGTCTAGTATATACTGTCTATAAGAAACCCACTGTAGGCCACTTTAGGTCAGAAGTTCAAGACCAGCCTGACCAACATGGTGAAACCCTATCTCTACTAAAAATACCAAAATTAGCCAGGCGTGGTGGTGCGTGCCAGTAAGCCCAGCTACTCAGGAGGCTGAGGCAGTAGAATTGCTTCAGCTGGGGAGGTGGAGGTTGCAGTGAGCTGAGATCGCGCCATTGCATTCCAGCCTGGGTGACAGAGGGAGACTCTGTCTAAAAAAAGAAAAAAAAAGAAACTCACTTTAAATATAGATGGGTTAGGCCAGGTGTGGTGGCTCATAGCTGTAATCCCAGCATTTTGGGAGGCCGAGGTGGGCAGATCACCTGAGGTCAGGAATTCAAGACCAGCCTAGCCAACATGGTGAAACCCTCATCTCTACTAAAAATACAAAAGTTAGCTGAGTGTGGTGGCATGCGCCTGTAATCCCAGCTACTTGGGGGGCTGAGGCAGGAGAATGTCTTGATCCCAAGAGGCGGAGGCTGCAGTGAGCCAAGATTGCTCCACTGCACTCCAGCCTGGGTGACAGAGCAAGACTCCATCTCGAAAGAAAGATAAAAAAATAAAAAATAAATATAGACAGGTTAAAAGTAAAAGCATGTAAAATGATATACTGTGCAAACACTATCAGGAAAGCTAGGGTGGCTATATTAATATCAGACAGAGTAGATTTCAGAGCCAGGAAAATTACCAAGGATTAAAGAAGGACATGGGCCGGGCATGGTGGCTAACACCTGTGATCCCAGCACTTTGGGAAGCTGAGGCAGGAGGATCGCTTGAGGCCAGCCTGGGCAACGTGGCGAAACCTCGTCTCTACAAAAAATAAAAACTCAGCCTGGTGTGGTGGTGTGCACCTGTAGTCTCGTAGTGCTACTCAGGAAGCTGAGGTGGGAGGATCACCTGAACCCAGGAGTTGGAGGTTGCAATAAGCCATGACTGTGCCACTGCACTCCAGTTTGGGTGACGGAGCCACAGCCTGTCTCAAAAAGAAAAAGGACGTTACATAATGGTAAAAGTATCAATTCTCCAAGAGTACATAATAGTCCTAAATACCTATATATCTAACAACAGGCCTTCCAAATACATGAATTAAAAATGGATGAAACTAAAAGGAGAAATACATACATCCACAGTTAGACTACAGCATTCCTCTTTCAGTAGTTGATTGAACAGATAGATGGAAAATTATGATATAGAAGTCCGGAAGAGCACCATCAACTAATTTGACCTAATTGGGATTTATAGAACAGACTGTCCTGCAGCAGCAGAATACTGTGCATGTATTTTCCTTTTTTTCTCTTTTGAGACAGGTTTCACTCTTGTTGCCCTGGTTGGAGTGCAATGGTGTGATCTCAGCTCACTGCAACCTCCTCCCGGGTTCAAGTGATTCTCCTGCCTCAGCCTCCTGAGTAGCTGGGACTACAGGCACGTGCCACCACACCTGGCTAATTTTTGTATTTTTAGTAGAGACGGGGTTTCAGGTCAGGCTGGTCTCAAACTCCTGGCTTCAAGTGACCCGCCTGCCTCAGCCTCCCAAAGTGCTGGGATTACATGCGTGAGCCACTGTGCCTGGCCCTGTGTGTATGTTTTCAAGTTCATCTGGAATATTCACCAAGATGGATGGTATTCTGGCCCACAAAACAAGCTTTAATTGTATTTGAAAGAATTGAAAGTATCATTGGCCCTCCATGTCTTTTGGTTCTGCATCTGTGGATTCAACCAACTATAGACTGAAAATATTTGGAAAAAAATTTTGTCTTTATTAAACACATACAGACGTTTTCCTTGTCATTATTCCCTAAACAATACAGTATAACTATTTACATGGTGTTTAAATTGTACCAGGCATTGTAAGTAATCCAGAGATTATTTAAAGTGCATGGGAGGATAGGCATAGGTTATATGTAGATACTATACCATTTGATATCAGAGACTTGAGCATCTGTAGATTTTGGTATCTGTATGAGTCCTGGAACCAATCCCCCATGGATACCAAAGGCTGACTATACGTGAACGATGTGTGTGAGCCGTAATGGAATTAGGCTAGAAATCAATAACAGAGCTAGTAGCTATATTTGGAGACTGTCCATTTGGAAATTATTTTATTTATGTATTTTTTGAGACAGAGTCTCACTGTATAGGCTGGAGTGCAGTGGCATGATCACAGCTCACTGCAGCCTTGACCTCCCTGGGCACAGGCGATCCTCCTATCTCAGCCTCCCCAGTAGCTAGGACTACAGGTGTGTGTCACCATGCCTGGCTAATGTTTGTATTTTTTTGTAGAGATGGGATTTTGCAGTGTTGCCCAGTCTGGTCTTGAACCCCTAGGCTCAAGTGATCTGCCTACCTCAGCTTCCCAGAGTGCTAGGATTACAGATGTGAGCCACCACACCCAGCCTGAAATTAAATACCTTTAAGTAACCTATGGTTCAAGGAGGAAATCACAGGGAGGTAAAAACATTGTTGCATTAAATGAAAGTGAAAGCACAGTGTATCAAAATTCATGGGATGCAGCTATAGCAGTGCTTATAGGGAAATAAAGAGCATTAAGTGCTTATAGTAAAAAAAAAAATTCTATTGTATGGCCATACACTTTTCATGTATCAGTTGATGGATATTTGGGTTTTTCCACTTTTTGGCTGTTGTGAATAATACTGCTATTAACATACCTATACAAGTTTTTGTGTGGACATGTGTTTTCATTTCTCTTAGGTATATACCTAGGAGTAGAATTGCTACATCATATGGTAGTTCTGTGGTTAACTTTTTGAGGAATTGTCATACTATTTTGCAAAGCAGCTACATTAATTTACATTCTCACCAGCAACTTAGGAAGGTTCTGCTTTCCCCACACCCTTGCCAACACTGATTTTAGCCATTCTGGTGGATGTGAAGTGTTACTGTGATTTTGATTTGCATTTCCCTAATGACTAATGATGTTGAACATCTTTTTATGTGCTGATTGGCCATTTTATATTTTATTTTATTTTTATTTTATTTTTTTACTGTAGAAACAGGGTCTCACTCTGTTTCCTGGGCTTGAGTGCAGTGATGCTATCATAACTCATTGCAGCCTCAAGCTCTTAGGGTCATGCAATCCTCCCTTCTCAGCCTCCTGAGTAGCTAGGGCAACAGGTGTGCCACGGTACCTGGGTAATATTTTAATTTTTTATAGAGGCAGGGTCTTACTCTGTTGCCCAGGCTGACCTTGAACTCCTGGCCTCAAGTAATCCTCCTGCCGTGGCCTTTCAAAGTGCTGGAATTATAGGTGTGAACCACCACATCCGGTCCATCTGTATATTTCATTTGGCAAAATGTGTATTGAAATCCTTTGTCCATTTAAAAAATTGTTTTGTGCTTTTATTACAGAGCTGTAAGAATTCTTTATTCTGGATACAAGGCCATTGTGAGATACATGCTTTACAGATATTTTTTTCCATTCTGTGGGTTGTCTTTTCACTTTCTTGATGGTGTCTTATGAGGTATAAAAGTTTTTAATTTTGGGCCAGGCGCAGTGGCTCACACCTGTAATCCCAGCACTTTGAGAGGCCGAGGCAGGTGGATCATCCGAGGTTAGGAGTTCGAGACCAGCTTGGCCAACATGGCAAAACCCTGTCTCTACTAAAAATACAAAAATCAGCTGGGCATGGTGGTCCCCATCTGTAATCCCAGCTACTCGGGAGGCTGAGGCAGGAGGATCACTTGAACCTGGGAGGGTGAGGTTGTAGTGAGCTGAGATTGCGCCACTGCACTCCAGCCTGGGTGACAGAGTGCAACTCTGTCTCAAAAAAAAAAAAAAGTTTTTGATTTCAATCAAGTCCTTTATCTTTATTTCTTTTGCTGCTTGTGCTTTTGGTGTCATGTCTAAACCATTGCCTAATCCAAGGTCATGAAGATTTACCTCTGTTTTTTCCTCTAGGAGTTAGGGGTTTTTCCTCTAGGAGTTAGAGTTTTTGTTTATGGTGTGAGACGTGGGTCCAGTGTCCTTTAGAAAGCTAAATAGTAGGTATAGATCTCTACATTGTAATATATACTACTGTATAA
Organism: Homo sapiens; assembly: GCF_000001405.40. Taxonomy (NCBI): domain Eukaryota; kingdom Metazoa; phylum Chordata; class Mammalia; order Primates; family Hominidae; genus Homo; species Homo sapiens. The sequence goes on along the minus strand of NC_000008.11, from coordinate 30,590,449 downwards.
CCCAGCCATCCCACTCTTGGGTGTTAACCCAAATTCACATTAAATTAATGGGTATTTATACTGGCTTTCTTCATAACCACCAACAATTGGAAACAACTCACATCCTTTAACTGTCCCTTAACTTCCCCTTAACTGTGGCACATACTTAGAGTGGAATACAACTCAGCAATGAAAAGGAACAAAGGACTGACATTCCAACAACATGGATGAATCTCAGAGGCATCGTGCCTCATGAGGGAAGCCAGATTCGAAAGGGACATGCTGTGTGATTTTATTTATATGTTTATGATATTCCTGGGAAACAGAACCATAGAAACAGATCAGGGGCTGCCCGTGGAGAGAGTGACTGCAGAGGAGCATAGGGTGATTTGCGGTTGTGGAACTGTCTATATCATTATCATGGTGGTGTTAGCATGACCATATGCTTGTCAAAACTTCAGGAATTGTACAGTAAAATGTGCAGGATTTTAATTTTCATAAATTATACCTTAGTAAAATAAAAGGACAATTTAAAGTAGTTGTTCAAAAGAATATGGTGTTTCTCCCATTGTAAAGCAGTTTTCAAGGTAAAGAGTTACCCCACGGCTTCTCCCCTTCTTGTTTTGGTGTCTGGTGTTTATCCCGAGTAAAAAGTGCAATTGCTCAGTGTAGATTTCAGCAGGATCACCAAGAACAGCAAGTGCTGCCAAGTTCTTCTCATTCTGTCCAGCCTCTGCTGCACAGATTTGGGCAGACGATGCCTGTTCTTTACAGATGTCCAGATAGCAGGTCATACTGTGGTAGTGACAGAATTCTCAAGAAATACTTGTTGAAATGTTGAGGATGAAGTGGCACTTGTCTTTATAATCCTGCCTGCTTAAGTTATACTTAAAATTTATTTTTTATTTTTAAGACAGCGTCTTGCTCTGTTGCTCAGGCTGGAATGTAATGGCACAGTCATAGGTCACTGCAGCCTTGAACTCCCCTGGACTCAAGCCATCCTCCCACCTCAGTCTCTTAGCTGGGACTACAGGCATATGCCTCCATGTCTGGCCAATTTATTATTTTAAAAATTTTGGTAGAGATGGAGGTCTCGCTTTTGCCCAGACTGGTCTTGAACTTCTGGCTTCAAGTGATCCTCCCACCTTGGCCTCCCAAAGTACTGGGATTACAGGTGTGAGTCATTGCACCATGCCAATACTTTTTTCTTTTTTTTGAGGTGGAGTCTCGCTTTGTCAGCAGGCTTGAGTGCAGTAGTGCGATCTTGGTTACTGCAACCTCTGCTTCCTGGATTCAAGTGATTCTCCTGCCTCAGCCTCCTGAGTAGCTGTGATTACAGGCGTGTGCCACCACGCCCGGATAATTTTTTTTTTGCATTTTTAGTAGAGATGGGGTTTCACCATGTTGGTCAGGCTGGTCTCAAACTCCTGACCTCGTGATCCGCCTCCCTCAGCCTCCAAAAGTGCTGGGATTACAGGCGTGAGCCACTGTGCCCGGCCAGGCCAGTACTTTTTTAAAAAGAAAATTTTCAAGCAGTGTGTATTAGTTTCCTGTTGCTGCTGTAAGATGTTACTACAAACTTCATGGCTTAAAACAACACAAACGTATTATCTTACTGTTCTGGAGGTCAGAAGTCTTAAATGGGTAAAAAGGGCTGCACTTCTGGATACTCATGGGAAGAATTCGTTTTCTTGCCTTTTCAGCTTCCAGAGGCTACCCGAATTTCTTGGCTTGTGTCCCAGCATCACTCTGACCTCTGCTTCCACCTTGACTCAGGCTCTCTTGCCTGCCTCTTTCCTTTATAAGGACCCTTGTGATTACATTAGGTCTGCTCAAATAATCCAGGATAACCTGCCTTTCAAGATTCCTTTTTCTTTGGACCAACACCTCCTCATTCCCCTTCTCCTAGCCTCTAGTAGCCATCATTCTACTCTCTGCTTCTGTTGAGTTCTGATTGTTTTAGATTCCACGTAGAGGTGAAAACATGCGGTTTTTGTCATTCGGTGCCTGGCTTATTTCATTTAACAATGTCCTCCAGGTTTATTCATGTTGCAAATGACAGAATTCCTTTCTTTTTTAAGGCTAATAGAATTCCATTGTGTGTATATATATTATATTTTTGTTATCCGTTCATCTGTTGATAGACACTTAGACTGAGTCTTTATCTCGACTGTTGTAAGTAATGCTGCAGTGAACATGGGAGTGCAAGCATCTCCTCAACATACTAAGTTCAAGTCCTTAGAATAAATATCCAGAAGTGGGATTGCTGGATCAAATGATAATCTAGTTATTAGTTTTCTGGGGGGACTCCATACAGTTTTCCATAATGGCTACACCAATTTACATTTCCACCAACAGTGTACAGGTGTTCCCTCTGCTACATCCTCATCAGTGCATGTTATCTTTCCTCTTTTTGAGGATAACCATTCTCACAGGTGTGAAGTGATGGCTCATTGTACTTCTCTTTCTCCTTTTTCCTTTAAGTCTCTGCCCCAGTTGGAAATCATTGTGGTTTTGATTTGTATTTCCCTAATGATTAGCAATGATGAGCAATATATCTGTTGGTCATTTGTGTGGTTTTTTTTTTTTTTTTTTTTTTAAGACGGAGTCTTGCTCTGTTGCCCAGGCTGGAGTGCAGTGGTGCGGTCTTGGCTCATTGCAACCTCCGTATCTTGGGTTCAAGCAATTCTCCTGCCTCAGCCTCCCAAGTAGCTGGAATTACAGGTGCCCGCCACCATGCCCAGCTGAGTTTGTATTTTTAGTAGAGATGGGGTTTTGCCATGGTGGCCAGGCTGGTCTCGAACTCCTGACCTTAGGTGATCCACATGCCTTGGCCTCCCAAAGTGCTGGGATTATAGGCATGAGCCACTGTGCCTGGCCTCATTTGTATATCTTCTTTTGAGAAATGTCTGAATATTTCTGACATTTCAGGATTTCTGAATTTTCAGACAATATTCAGATCTTTTGCCAATTTTTAAATCAGGTTATTTTTTTTTTTTTGCTATTATTTTGAGTTCCATATATATGGAAAATATATATAATTTTTTTTTCTTTTTTAGAGGCAGCGTCTCATTTTGTTGCCCAGATTGTAATGCAGCGGCATGATCTCAGCTAACTGCAGCCTCCACCTCCCAGGCTGAAGTGATCCTGTCATCTTAGCCTCCTAAGTAGCTGGGACTGCAGATATGTACTGCCAAACTTGGCTAATCTTAAAACATTTTTTGTAGAGACGAGGTCTCACTATATTGCCCAGGCTGGTCTCAAACTCCTAGGCTCAAGCAATCTTCCTGCCTCGCCCTCCCAAAGTGCTGGGATTATAGGCATGAGTTGTGGCACCTGCCCTATATTTTGTATATTAAACCCATATTAGATGTATTGCTTGCAAATATATTCTCCCAGTTTGTAGGTTGTCTCTTCAGTCTGTTTACTTTGCCATGCTGCAGCTTTTTGGTTTGTTGTAATCCCAGTTGTCTATGTTTGCTTTTGTTGCCTGAACTTTTGGGGTCAAATCCAAAAAATGATTGCCCTGACCAGTGTTGTGTTGTTTTCCCTGTGTTTTCTTGTAGTATTTTCACAGGTTCAGGTCTTATGTTTAAGTCTTCAATCCATTTTGAGTTGATTTTTCTATATGGTGTGAGACAGTGGCCTCATTTCATTCTCCTGCATGTGGATATTCAGTTTTCCCGACACCCTTTATTGAAGAGACTGTCCTTTTCCCATTGTGTGTTCTTGGCACCTTTGTCAAAGATCAGCGGATTGTAAATGCATGGGTTCATTACTGGGCTTTTGTTTATGCCAGTCCCATGCTGTTTTGATTACCGTAGCATTGTAATATAGTTTGAAGTAGTGTGGTACCTCTAGTTTTGTTTGTTTCGCTCAAGATTGCCTTGGCTATTCAGTTTTTTTGTGTGTTTCCATTAGACTTTTAGAATTATTTTTTCTATTTATGTGAAAAATGACATTGGAATTTTTATAGGGATTGCATTGAATCTGTGGATCACTTTGGATAGTATGGACATTTTAACAGTATTAATTCTTCCAATTCAGAATCCAAATCTTGAGATCTCCTCATCTCAAGATTCTTAGTCACCAAAGTCTCTTTTATGGTAACGTATTCACAGGTTCTGGGGATTACGTTGTGGACATCTTGGGTGGGGGTGCATTTTTCTGTGTAGCACACAAGAAATTATTTTGATAGGTCTCAAATGTAAGATCACTAGAAGATGAGGTAAATTGAGAAATGTCCTATTTTCTGGAACTGCAAAGTGGATATAATGACACTTTTGAGGATAAAAAGTCACGTTAATAACACGTGTTGTTAAAGGAAAAGGGAGGAAGGCATGGCGTGTTGCTCGTTGAGATTCTGCATTTGGTTTTGTTGTTGTTGTTGTTTTAGAGACAGGGTCTCTCTTTGTCTCCCAGGCTGGAGTGCAGTGGCACAATTGTAGCTCACAACGTCAAACTGGGTTCAAGCTCTCTTCCCACCTCAGTCTCCTGAGTAGCTGGGACTACAAGTGAACACCACCATGCCCGGCTTGTTTTTTAAATTTTTGAGATGGTGTCTCTATATATTGCCCAGGCTGGCCTTGAGCTCCTGGGTTCAAGCAGTCCTCCCACCTCCATCTCCCTAAGCTCTGGAATTACAGGCATGAGCCACTGGGCCTGGCCTTTTTTTTTTTTTTTTTTTTTTTTTTTTTTAAAGGGCAAAGATGTACCTTAATGCTAACACTAGAACACCATAGCCTAATGTGGGGCTGAGAAAAAGTGGCAAGTGCGTGAATTATTAGTAAGTATGATCCTCCTTATTTTTAGGTTATTTCTTTAAAATTTTACACTAGCAATACACAAATATTTCTGCATATTATTAATAAAACCTTTGTCAAGTCTGCAGAACAAAAAAATGAAAATTCTCTAAGCAAACTGTATTCTTTTCTCTGGGGATACCTATTGGTGTGTATTTTCCACATCTTTACGATGTATTTAATATGTATGTGTTTTTGCTTTTTAAGAAATTTTTAGAAGTTTTGTTTCTTCTGCTTTACATAAATGAGATCACTTTGTGTCTAGTAGCTGATCCTCTTCTTAAATGTTTTATATTGCCTTTATTAAAGACACCAGCACACAGAAAATTATGATGGGTGTTAGATGGTGATGATAACAGTAATAGGTGTAGATAATGCTGTTTCATTTGCAGGCATTATTTTCGGTGCTTTATTAACTCCTCTAATCCTCACTATTCTATGAGGCAGGTATTATTATTACTATTATCGTTATTATTATTATTGAGACGGAGTTTCGCTCTTGTTGCCCAGGCTGGAGTGCAATGGCGTGATCTCGGCTCACCGCAACCTCTGCCTTCCGGACTCAAGCGATTCTCCTTCCTCAGCCTCCCAAGTAGCTGGGACTACAGGCATGTGCCACCACGCCTGGCTAATTTTGTATTTTTAATAGAGATGGGGTTTCTCCATGTTGGTCAGGCTGGTCTCGAACTCCCGACCTCAGGTGATCCGCCTGCCTTGGCCTCCTAAAGTGCTTGGATTACAGAGCCACCACGCTCGGCGAGGCAGGTATTATTATTATCCTCACTTTACAGATGAAGAAATGGAGGCAGAAAAATTAAGATGTTTGCACCACTTTGTGCAGGAAATGTGGTAACTGAGGTCACAGCCAGGCCATCTGGCTCTGAGGCCTGCACCACACTGTTGTGCTACTTTTGCATTTACGGGAAAGGGCTAAGCACAGACAAAATGTGAGTGCGTTATTTGGGAATTTTAAGCAAAGCCTCATTGGTAAGTTGGCTCATTTTCTTCCCTTCTATGGCAGTTACACAGTTTTTTATTCTTAACTCATGTGGGACAAGGAAGGGTCTTTTGAAATGAAAGGATCAAATCTGAGCTTTTAAATTCTAGTCTGTTTTCTCCTCTTTTCTGCTAAGAGAGTAGATTTCTAAATCAGTTCTGATTTTATTTACCCTTACGGTTTAGAGTGTGCCTGACTTTCATGATACTTGGCTGTCTTCTGCCATAATAAAGTGTCTGCCTTTAAATTTGATGTCCCTTGATCATTTTGTTTTCAAAAAAGAGATTGCTATTTTTAAAAACCCAAAATATGTAGATCTTGGTTTTTAAATACCATTCTATAATAAAACAAGTCAGGAATCCTTGAAGAAATCATTGATTCCAAATGAGGGGAAATACAAGATGAGCCTGGAACATCTTTTAGTACCGCCAGAAAGTGAGAGAAAGAAGAAAAACTGGAGGAAAAAAAAAAAAAGGGAAGCAAGTCAGGGACATAGGAACCAACATGAAGGAAATCTTAGTGATTAGAGCTGGGATGTTTGAACCACAAAATAAATACTGATCGTCGGCTGGGCACGGTGGCTCACGCCTGTAATCCCAGCACTTTGGGAGGCTGAGGCGGGCAGATCACAAGATCAGGAGATCGAGACCATCCTGGATAACACGGTGAAACCCTGTCTCTACTAAAAAATACAAAAAGTTAACTGGGCGTGGTGGCTGGCGCCTGTAGTCCCAGCTACTCGGGAGGCTGAGACAGGAGAATGGCGTGAACCCGGGAGGTGGAGCTTGCAGTGAGCCGAGATCGCACCACTGCACTCCAGCCTGGGTGACAGTGCGAGACTCCATCTCAAAATAAATAAAATAAATAAATAAAATAAATAAATAAATAAATACTGATCGTCATGGATTATCTGTGTAATAAATATGTAGATATAAATCTGTACAGTAATATCCATGAGTCTGCTAAATTAAATAATTGAAAAACAAGTTGGAGGTTGGGCACAGTGGCTCAGGCTGGTAATCCCAGTACTTTGGGAGGCCAAGGCAGGTGGATCGCTTGAGTCTAGACGTTCGAGACCAGCCTTGGCAACATGATGAAACCCTGTCTCTACTAAAAATACAAAAGTTAGCCTGGTGTGGTGGTATGTGCCTGTAGTCCCAGCCACTTGGGAGGCTGAGGGAGGAAGATTGATTGAGCCCAGGAAGTTGAGGCTTCAGTGAGCCAAGATTGTGCCACTGCACTCCAGCCTAGGTGACAAAGTGAGACCCTGTCTCAACAAACAAACAGTGAACTGAAGGAAGAGCAGCTCTTTGTGTTTTTTGTTATGTTTTGTTTTTTGAGATGGAGTCTCGCTGTGTTACCCAGGCTGGAGTACAGTGGCACAGTCTCAGCTCACTGCACCCTCCGCCTCCCAGGTTCAAGTGATTTTCCTGCCTCAGCCTTCTGAGTAGCTGGGATTACAGGTACCCACTGCCATGCCCAGCTAATTTTTGTATTTTTAGTAGAGACACAGTTTCACCATGTTGGCCAGGCTGGTCTTGAACTCCTGACCTTGAATGATCCACCCTCCTCGGCCTCCCAAAGTGCTGGGATTACAGGCATGAGCCACCGTGCCCAGCCTATTATAGTAGAATTCTAATTAGTACATATGGAAGGAATGATGGAAATAATTTGTCAGTAGTTACTTACAAGTAGTCATTTTTGTAGGTAAGCACTACCAATGGATGCTATTATAAAATTAGTGATAATATGAGAAACGGTATTTATATAGTCTGAAAATATCTCTCCATTAATTATTAACTACAAAGGAAAAACTGATAGCTTCATGACAGAGAAACCTGAGAGATAACACCTTGCCTGATGGTCAGCGTTTACCGGGTCCATGTTGACACTATGTAGCTTGCTACTGTGCCCCAAGAAGGGCACAAGCTCGTTACTGTGTTGTTCTTGCCAGAATTGCATAACCTCAATCTAGTAATGAGGAAATACTAGACAAACCCAAATGGAAGTTTCTGTAAAACAACTGACCAGTGGGGAAACAAAGACTGGCCACACTTAGAGAATGGAGGAGACCAAAGAGATGTGACAGGCAGGATCCTGGGCCAAGAAAAGAGCATCGGTGAAGTTGAAGTTTCACTTCAAACTTGTGAAGTTTCAGTAAGGCCTGTTGATGAATTAATAGTAATATGTCCATGTTAGTTTCAATAATTATACAGTTATGTAAGGTGTTAACATTAGGGGAAGCTGGATAAAGGGCATATAGGAACTCTGTGTACTCATTTTGTAACCCTTTTGTTAGTGTAAAATTATTTTTTAAAAGTCTAAAAAATGTAAAAAGAAAAATATAGGCCAGACATGGTGGCTCGACACCTGTAATCCCAGCACTTCGGGAGGCCAAGGCAGATGGATTGCCTGAGCTCAGGAGTTTGAGCCCAGCCTAGGCAACATGGTAAAACCTCATCTCTACACAACCCCCCACCCCCCCAGAAACAACTTAGCTGGGCATGGTGGTGTGTACCTTGGTCCCAGCTCCTCAGGAGGCTGAGGTGGGAGGATTGCTTAAGCCCAGGAGGTGGAGGTTACAGTGAGCTGAGATTGCGCCACTGCTTTCCAGTTTGGGCAACAGAACTAGACCCTGTCTCAAAAATAAATAAATTTTAAAAAAAGAAAACAGTCTGTCTTGTCTAGGGTGTAGTAGACAATGATGGTATTTCATACATTCGGTAGTCAAATCGTTGAAGTCTTGTCTAGGCTGTAGTAGACAGTGATGGTGTTTCATACATTCAGTAGTCAAATCACTGAGGACCTGTCATGTGCTAGGTACAGTGCCGACTGTCATGGAAACGAGATGGAAATACGCCGACTATCATGGAAACAAGATGGAAATAGAGCTCCCTGCTCTCAAGGAGCTTAGAGAGGCCGAGACAATCATGCACACAGTTGTTATCAGTTAGGTCATGTCCATAATGTGTGCAGATGAACGTTCAGTGGGTGTGTAGTAGAAAGAACCCCTAATGTATCTATGGAAATTAAAAAATCTTATTTAGAGACATTTTGGATTTAAATAACTTTATGCTCAGGTTGAATTCTTTGTAGTAGATTTTGCCACTTTTGCCATTGGTCACCTGCAATGAAAAGCTTCAGGGTAGGTGGCAGTAAACCGATTTCCATGGTATCACCAGAGTCCTGCCTATGTGGGCATCATTTGCTTTATGCAGCGTGTACTGAAATGAGAGAGAAAGGGGGAAGGAAGGAAAAGGGGAAAAGGAAAGAAATCTGGCCTAGCACAGTATCAGATGCCTACTTCATTTATCATTTGTAAACGGACCGTGGGAAGTTCTTGGCTCTGGAAGAAAAGGAGGGCGGCGCTGGGTGAGGGTCTGGGGTGGGAAGAAAGGAAGGGAAGGTGCATCCCCTCAGTGCGTGGGGCAGTTGTGAGTGTGAGGCTCTGTGAAGCCTCGGGGCTCAGAGAGCTTTTCCTTTTTTCGTTCCTGAGCGTGTAAGTCTTAGGATTTTGTGTCTGAAAGTAGCTTCTGATAATTAAGTGAAACCAGTGATCAGAACCTGTCTTCAGGAGCAGAATGTAAGATGTAAATAATGTTCATTTGGAATGCTTCCCAATTGTGGTCTCTCTTGGTTGCAAAAATAGTGATGTGGCAGAGGGACTACAGGTTTCTGAAGACAAGCTGCAGGCAGGACTGTCGCCTTTCTCCTTGTATTACAGAGAGGAGGTGAGACAGTGTTTCTATTTCAGCCATCCCCCCTTTCCCTTTCATGCCTCCTTAGTCACCAGTTACCAGGTTATTTGATTTCAAAAGTCTTTTTTGCAGATAAATTGTTGAATAACCTCATTTCCATGTGAAACTTCGGTTCCCGTCTCCCTACACGTTTCTTATTTTCTATTATCAATGAGAGAGGAATGAGTATATCATGCTTAGGGGAGCTGAGCAGGAAATAAGCTGTTAGCCCTAAATAGAGGAATTAAAGGAGGGTGTTGACGGCCCAGGAAAGCAGGGCGGCTTCATTGTGGCAGCCCTCATTTGCTGGCCTCAAGAAACAGCCCCACTGTCGGGGCTGTGTGGGTGCAGTTCTGTCTCCAGGCCTTTCCCTGCACCGTGTCCCACATGTGGATGTTCTGCCCTGACTTGTTTCATGATGACATATCAGATGTGCTCATTTGGATCCAGAGGAGATAACACTGAAACCTGGATTTTGATCAAGATGCTATAGTTTGTAAAAATGGATTGTAAAATAACTAGTGTCTGTTTGATACAGAATTTCAGAAACTGTGGAGGAGTGTCACTGTAGATTCCATGGACGAGGAGAAAATTGAAGAATATCTGAAGCGACAGGGTATTTCTTCCATGCAGGAATCTGGACCAAAGAAAGTGGTGCGTAATCTCTAGCAAAGCAGCTTAATCCCCTGCCCTGGGAACTGTTAGCCTGCTCCGCTTTCTGCCCTCTGAAGAGCTGGGAGTTGTTCCCCCGCCATTGTTTCTCAGTGTCCGCAGCCCAGGTCACATCTGAGGTATTGCAGGCCTGCAGACCCGCCCTCGGTGCTGCTCCAGGCCTGTGAGTGCCTTTCTACACCCAGCTCCTCCCAAGCAGTCCTGCTCTTGAGGTATAGCCATATGGAACCTTCCAGGGCCTGTGTGTTCCCCACTCTCCCACTCTAAGCTGCTACAAGCCCTTCTCCCTATTCTTAAAGGGATGCTGTGCCTTGATCTGCACAACCTTTCAGACTTGAACGGGGCCCTCCCCTGCTCCGTGAGCCTCGCCGTCCTGGTGCCTGGTTCTGCCATAGTAACTTTCAGGTCCTCTAGGAACCAGATATTTTTGTCCGTATAGTCTCTAAATCCTGCTCACAGGGGATGTTAGTAATTAAATGATGACTTTTACATTGCCTTGCACCAGCAAATAAAATCTGTAGTCTAAGAACAAAGCCCGGGGGGATGATTCACCAGCACCCTTGTTAGCAGTGCTGTGCTCCTCCCCCCTTTCCTTATCCACCGTCATGCTTCATAGCTTGTCACCTGTGTCTTTCTGGGGTGTGGGGTGGGCATGTGTGTTTGGTGAATTTTTAGGACTCACCTAAAGGGAAGCTTTATTGTCAATCTCTTTCCACAAATGAGTGTAATTGCAGCCCTTCATGATTTCCTATTATTGTCTCATTTGTTAATTTTTTTCATCATGTGATGCTAATATTTCAAGTATATAGAAAAGAATAGAGAATATTACAGACCTTCATGTGCTCCTCCTTTCTCAGGATTTTGCCATATTTTCTTCAGATCTTTTTAAAATCGGTAATGGTGGATACGTTTTTAAACCTGATGACAGAGACAGAGCTGAAGGGCTTCATCGTCCCTTTTGTTTGACTTAGTGCCTAGAACCATTTTGGCAGGTTTTTGTGCCTGCTCCTTCATTCCCGATGGCATCTGCATCTCAGGGGAACAAAGGCCCGGGGTCTGGTCAGGGCGTGTGCTGTGCCCCATGTGTGCTGCTGGGTGGCAGAGCAGGAGAAGGGTCCGAACCTGGCATCCTCAGCCACTGGCATCTGGGCATGCTCAGAACATCCTGGCCACACCACCCCTCAGAGCAGCTGTTGTTTCTAATTGTTTTTACCTTTTCCTTTAGGCCCCTATTCAGAGAAGGAAAAAGCCTGCTTCACAGAAAAAGCGACGCTTTAAGACTCATAACGAACACTTGGCTGGAGTGCTGAAGGATTACTCTGACATTACTTCCAGCAAATAGGGAACAGTTTTGCCCTGGAACAGAGTTACAGATACACAATCAAGAGTGTTCTTGCTGATGCTCGGGGTCTGAAGACTGTCTTCCTATCTGCTTCTTGCGGCTGAGGAGAGGAGCAGTTCAGTTTACAAAACAAGTGCAAATTACCAAACTCAAAGCTTATTTGAGTAGAATGGGCTCATGGGCAATGTGATGTTCCCTGTTAACCTTCTGTTACTCCCTGGGAGAAAGGCGCTGAGCGTGGCATGCAGGTGTCTTTGCTGTGTTTTTCTCCACTTCTAAATGGTTCCTGGTTCCTTTCTTCCTCGTTTGTTACTTTAGAGCAAGTTTGCCCATAGTCTTGAATGCAATATTTGTTTATTCCAAAAGAACATATTTATAATAAAATCACTGTAGAAGGATTTTTAAGATGTTAGTGAATTCTGTTTCTTTTCATTCTCGGAAATGGCAGGAAGCAGCTCCAGTCTCTGATTTCCATGGGTCACGTGCTGGGGATGTGATGAAGCCTGCAGTCTGCACTGTGTTGCTGAGCACATGGATTTCACCACTGGAACACAGGTGTGCTGCTTGTTAGCAAGCAGAGCAATAAAGATGTGCTGGATGTCATTGTTAATGTTTTCTTTTAAAAAGAAGCGTCAGTGTCAGCCGGGCAAGCTGGCTCACGCCTGTAATCCCAGCACTTTGGGAGGCTGAGGCAGGTGGATCACGAGGTTAAAAGATCGAGACCATCCCGGCCAACATGGTGAAACCCTGTCTCTACTAAAAATATAAAAATTAGCTGGGCGTTGGGGCATGTGCCTGTACTCCTAGCTACTTGGGAGGCTGAGGCAGGAGAATCACTTGAACCCGGGAGGCGGAGGTTGCAGTGAGCTGAGATCGTGCCACTGCACTCCAGCCTGGTGACAGAACGAGACTCCGTCTTAAAAAAAAAAAAAAAGTATCAGTGTCCAGCTTCTTGGGTTTGGTAAATTCCAGGATGGCAAGCCTTTGTAGTGTCTCCTCGTCAACCTGAACGTCAGCTATACCATGCCTCCACCCTCATGTGGCCTGACCGGAGATGGTTCTGGTGGAGATGCCCTCTGTCACCGGCCCAGCTCATGAGAGCCATTACCAAATATGTGAGTGTTCTTTAGAGTGAGGGTGACTCACGGGAAATTCACATGGTTCTGCTTTCTACGGCAAAGTTTGCATTTTCCTCACCTGCACTGTTTATGTTCTGCTGTGGTCCTTTGTGCTGGTGGTCATGGTCCTCCCGTCACAGCATGGGATAGTAGTGGATTAGGAAACGAGGTGTTGGTTCTCAGAAAAGGCATGATGGAAACCCAGAGCAGGAAGTGCTTTGTGCAGACGACAAAGAACCTTTTTTTGCTTTTTCAGTTGTTTTCTCTTTTCTACTTACCTCTCATCCCTTTACAGTGTTATCTGTTTGCTTTACCTCTTTCTTACCTCCAAGCCCCAAAACATGGCAGGAGAGGATGTAACTGAGGTTCCCACGATAATTTAGAACACAGGAAATACAGCCTGTCTTGCTTTGTATAAGGTTTTTTTCTGGTAAGGAAGAGCTTTAATATCTTATGGCATGAAACTAGCTTTCCTGTAAAAAATCTAGAGTTAGCTTATCTCCAGGTAGGTACCTACTTTTGTGATCTCCACACTCCATCTTATTTTATGGGCCAGGTCTGGAAGTACAGTTTGGACATCTCATCTGCTTTGCAGGGAGATGGGCATCAGGGCCTCCGTCGTGGGCTCTGTGATCAGGTTCTCCATCTCTGTGATAAGGCGCTTACTGCCAGTTGTGTTATTGGTTGTGACTTCTAGCAATGCCTGTGCTCAGCAGTACTTCGTGGGCTGGCCTGATAATTGATTTCAGTTATTTTGTCTAAAATTCATTTCAGAAATGAAGATCTAGCAAAATGAAGTGACTCACTAAATTGCTGTACTCAACAAAATTCCGTAGCTTTATCTCATTCACTTGCAGTTTCTTTTGTTAAGCCTCGACCCACTCAGTCTACTACATGTAAGAGCAAATCCTCCATATACCCCATCTCAAGGTACTGGGGTTGCATCATCGGGTGACATGTTGAGGATACAGTGTTTGTGGGAACACTGATGGAAGGTTACTTGTGTTGGACGGTCATATTACAGGCACACCTCATTTTATTGTACTTGCTTTATGTGTTTTCACAGATACAGTGGAGTTTCTTTTCCATATTGAAGGTTTGTGGGAACCCTGCTTCAAGCAGATCTGTTGGTGCCGTTTTTCCAACAGCATGTGCTCACTTTTTGGCAATAATATATTTTAAATTAAAGTATATAATTGGATTCTTTAAGACATAATGCTATTGCTCACTTTCTACTATCATGTAGCATAAACATTTTAATATGCACTGGGAAACCAAAACATTTGTGTGACCCACTTTACTGTGATATTTGCTTTATTGCGATGGCCTGGAACCAAGTCTGCAGCATCTCCGAGGGATGCTATACAGAGAAGCTGTCTCTTCGCAGTTCTTCTGGGTGTCTGAAAACATATCCACCAGAAACACCAAGTTGAAGTCATGTTCTCGCCTCTGCCCGTTTCTGGTGGCTCTGCTGGCCATTTAGAAGCACGTGGGAATGGCACGGCTCGGTGAGTTAAGAGGGTATGACAGTCGGGAGTGCATTTGATCTATAATTCATCACCATGATGTGAGGCTTTTAGGGGATAGCTAAGGGAAATGTAGTCAAGCCTGGACAGAGTGTAAAAACCGAACATTTGGCTGCTGCTGTCACAGCCTGTAAATGTGGCCAGATGATGGTGGGACCCAGGGGACAGAGTGGCACTTGACACCTGTTGAGCAGAGGCTTAGTGGAAAGGCAGCGCAGGACATCCCGTTCCTTCCAGCCCCAGCGTTCAAGGGACTGCGAGTGGACAGCCCTGTCTTTATCTGTGAGCCGTTTGAAATCTGTAGCAGTAGAATGGGATTGTCAGTGTGGACGGTTTTGTGGGATGAGGGCATTTGGTTTATCAGTTCCCTGATTCTTAGTTAATAGTGATTTTCTGAGGCATAGAGGATGAGACTCAGTGTCTCTTCCCTGTAGCCACGGGTTTTACTTTCAGATGACTCATTTGTGGGGAGGATTTGGGGTTTTCTAAGGTTTGGTTGACTGTTGACAAGCTCAGCCTGGTGCCGCGCCTTCTGCAGCGAGGCGGAGCAGCCCTCCTGGACCTTCCTGCAGGTTCGAGGTCTCTCAGGGTGGTTTTTGTGGGCTTGTCCTGAGAGATGAGAAGGTGTTCTGTGGGAGTTGTGGTGGGATGGTCCAAGGACCTCTTGGAAACCATTTTTCAGACTAACTGGACCGTAGAACACCCATCCCTGTCCTGTCTGGAGTGTTGGGGGAAGCACCGCTGGAAACTCAAAGAGCTAGACGGCCCTGGCTGGCGCTGTACGGTTGGCCCCCCTCTGGCTGCAGTGTAAAGAACGACAGTGCATTTTGCTTCCCTGGATTTCCATTAGAAATAAATGTGGATCCTGCTCTTCAGCAGATGGGGAGGGGACTAATCCAACTCCACTGGTTGGGGATGGGACCAGCACATTTGTGTGACTTAACCATGTGGTTCTGAGACCCTGGTGAAAGCCCAGTGACTTTTCATCTGGCCACAACTTCGTGGGGCTTGCATGTCAAGGGAGAAAAGGCAAAGACTTTCCTTTAAAGAAAACACAGAAGGGTGCCAGCAGGGGATAACTGAGTGAACCATATCCTGATTTAGGCGGGACCAGCTCTAGAAGCGCCAAGAGCAGGTTTGTCCCGTGGGTGGTGATTGTGAGGTTTTGAAGTGCCTGCTAAGCCCCCACGCCAAAGCTTATGTTGTAGTTTTAAAAAGTGCTCTTTTGTCCAGGTAAATCTTTTATTTAACTCGTGCATCATTTCTCATTGCATTTAGGCCTTCCTTTTTGCTCAGAAGAGAAGTTTGGGTTGACTTTAAGCATTTGGCCCAAGTTCCTAACTTGGAATTAACGACCATGGGCAGAGTTCCACGTGAATTTCTCAACTGGACAAGTGGAACACAAGGACCCGAATTTTCTCTTCCCCTCAGATCGTCCATAGGTGAGATGTATGTGAACAGTGGTGGAGAATGGAAGCCTTCACTGTTTTGTTTATGTTTACCAGCAAATTATTACGGTTTGTAGGAAGAGCTCCCTCCTCCCTCGCCCCCCAAATAGGAATGAGTTTGAACTGAGGGTCAGGAAGAGGTAAGTGGCAGGTTCGTTGGAGAGCTGCAGAGGGGCCTAGTTCTCACAGCACACTGGCATCTCTCAGGATTGGGTAGCTATGGAGCCAGGCCAGTTCACACAAGAGTTAATATTAGTTCCATCTGGGATGTTCTACAGCAGGGACAGATAGCTTTACAGTGGCAGTTATTGAAATTTCCTAATTTAGTGCTCTTGATCAAATTGCTGACAACATACAGTTTTTCATTATCATAGTTATTAGAGTTTTAGGAGAGGCATTTATTGAGGATGAGTGTTTTAAATAACACCTCACTGGTAATGAATATTCTTAGGTTTTCTATGCAGGCTGTAAAGTTGTTTTATGCCATGAGGTTTTATGCCATGAGGGTGTGGAGAGAATGGTTTAAGAGTTGGAGAGGAGAGCAACTGTGTGCCAGAACCTTCCATCTGGGTGGGTGAGAGTGCTTTTGGGAACCTGTCCATATTCTTAGCACAGATCATGTCTTGCCCAAAGCGCTCAGAAACAACTAGTTGAATTTGGACATGGTGGCACGCGCCTATAGTCCCAGCTACTCAGGAGGCTGAGGCAGGAGGATGGCTTGAGTCCAGGAGTTCGAGGCTGCAAGTGAGCTGTGAATCTGCCACTGCACTCCAGTCTGGAGACCCCGTCCCTTAAAAAAAACCTTACTTCTTTATGTCATCTTGACAGACACCAAGAATTCTTGTGTATTGGAACGCAGAATTCAGGGATGGGGCAATAACAATTGCAAGCTAGTCCATGAAAGTAGGGTGGAGACATGTGCATGCCCTGGGTCCAGCTGAGTCTGAAGCCCAGGTGTGATTAATTGGCAATGTAGCGTTCACTTTGTGAACTGCAAGGTTCTTTTCACATTCCTTTAATTTGTAATTTTGTTATAGACGTGGAAAGCATGGTATTTAATTTCAGATGCCACTTTTATAGTTATATCAGTTCGACATTAACAAGGGTTCATTTGGTAATCACACAAAAAGATGGGCTTAGTTACCATCTTTCTGGAGCCTACAAATTGGGACATTTTGCATGGGAGCAAGAGCAAACAGCCTGCCTTTTTCGTATTCCAAGTTCTTGATTCCAGAAGACATACTGCATTCCTTCCTGTTCAATAGAGTGACAAAAAGGGTAACTTCGCACAGACCCTAATGAAGCTGGTATCTGGCTGGTGAGTGGAAATATATCTGGAGGTCACACTAGATTAGTAAATACCATCCAGACTTGTCACTTGCACATCATGAATGACTATCATCAGCATGGGGAAGATTGGGGTGCTCATCCATCCCAGGGCCCCCTGTAAAAAATCATAGGTGACTGTGTTCAGCCAGTGACTGGCTGGGATGGAGTCCGGGCAGTCCCGAGGCAGCAAAACCCCTTAAGAGCTCACTAGCCTCCATTCCTTAGCTGTTTGGCCAATCTCTGGTGCCTATGAGTTGGAGCTCACAGGTGGACCAAAGGCAGATCAGGCGGGCCTGAGAGCCATGCTGGCGTGGCCTTCTAAGCCTGGGCCCAGGAAAGCGTTTGGCCTCTACAGTTACGTAAGTTGGAAGGCAGTGGACACAACCTACGTTTGGTGGCTAGGCTCTTCTGCAGGCAGGCTGTGAGAGCTTCACTGCGGGTCATCTCAGTACCCAGCAAGACTCAGTAGTGGTTGTTGCCACTGCTTGGATGTTTTTTTTTTTTTTTTGCTTTCTTTCTCCTTTGGGGGGAAAAAAGAGTAGGTGAGAGTATATATAAAACACGATTCTCTTGGCAATTGGTGCCTGGTTTTCCACTTTTTTTTTTTTTTTAATTTTTTATGGTTTTGGAGTCAGGGTCTTGCCCTGTTGCCGAGGCTTCAGTGCAGTGGAGCAGTCATGGCTCACTGCAGCCTCGACCTCTTGGGCTCAAGTTGTCTTTCCTCTGTGGTCCCCCGAGTAGCTAGGACCACAGGTGCTAGTACTCCTGGCTAATGTTAAAATTGAGGGTCTTGCTGTGTTGTCCAGGCTGGTCTCAAACTCCTGGGATCAAGCAAGCCTCCTGCCTCAGTTTCCCAGTGTTGGGATTACAGGTGTGAGCCACCATGCCTGGCGTAAGATATATTTAAGTCAGCAGAAAACCCAAGTGACATTTTAATATAATTCAGATAATCCTGAGTCAAGCTTTGTAGGCTGAGGTAGATGAGGGGCCTCCCTTGAGGTCCCTCTGCCTCTGGTGTCATTGTGGGTCACCAGCCACTGTGGTTGTGCGTTTGCAGACTTACTCTCTGGCTTTCCCCGGTATCTGCTTCCTCCTTTAATCTCTTTGTGCCTAAGCTCAATGGCCAATGCTTGCTTAGCTCTGCCGAAGCCTGACAATGGGAATGAAATCTGCTGGCGTCTTGTCTGCAGTGTGGGATACATGTAGTTGGTCTTGCTAAAAAAGAATTTGTCAAGCAATGGTGTGACAGCTGGAATAAGCACTTTATTTTTTAAAAATGACAATAGAAAAGTACCTTTAAACAGTTATAAAAGCATAATAGACTGCAGAAGTGGCTATTTTCCTTAGGAGTACAGTCATCTCACCAAGAGCCGATTGGCACTGAGGGCATAAGCAGGTCCTTGAACACCAAAGTGGATCCGTCACAAGTCCTTGAGCTAACTGCCTTTTCCCCTTATTTACGGTAAGAAAGAGCCCCTCACTCCTGGCCTTGGTTTTTTGTGTTGACCTTTAAAAGCTTCTTGACATCTTTATATTTCTAATGGAAAATAACAAAACAAAAACCCAAACCAACCAGGTAATCATGACATTGAAATTTTCAACATAAGCCGAGCGGATCAATAGGAAAGACTGTGTTTGGCAGCTGAATTTAGGTCAGTGTGGTTTTACAAAAATGGCTTCTGTACAAGGGGAGAGGTTGAGCTGTCATGAACTCTGGAGATGTGTCAACTGACAACACCAGACTGACTTTGGCTTTGACGAAGTCTGAATAGAATTGGTTCCAAATGCCCACTGCCTCCGTCTCCTGTGGGGTGTGGCAGGACGTCTCACAGTGAGCACACGCCATTTGGGAGCTCATGGTATGTGGTCGGTTTGGCCCAGTGCTGCCAAGAGTTGGCAACACCAGCTCAGTTCAGCCGGTGTTTTGCAAACAAACATCACTTTGGAGATACAGACATGAGCTGCCCACTGCAGCCAGGTGGGCTGGGCACAGCCAACCCCTTCAAGGGCCAGGGCTGGCCTCCCAAGCCAAGGTTTTCCCTTACCAGTGAGGCAGGCTCTGCACTTACACTGCGGGAGCAGGGATGCGGGGCTGGCTTGTGGAAGGTAGGTTAGGCATCGAGTGGCTACACATACAGGAGAGTGGAAACATAAAACTGTACAAAGTCACACTTGGCACACAGTTGATATAGTCACAGCTGGAGCTACTAGGGCTTTCTAAGGGCACACTCAGCAGTTCTTACCAATGATGTTTTCTTGCCCAGTTGTGAATAAGCCATAGGTAGAAGCTCCTGGAGGCTTCTGGTTGATTGTCTTGCAGGGCTGTCCTACTAGAACTGGGATCCTAGACCTAACACTGCAAATAACAGTTCTGTTTCTAACATCTAACACCATGCTACTAATTTACCCTGGACTCCGGCCAGGCACAGATTTCTATATATTCACAATACAATTCAGGATATTTTGATAATATTTGGAAACATGCCTCAAACATGCAACTTACTTCAGAGGAAAAAAATAGATATTTTTAATTACAAGCATTCAAAAGTCAAGAACAAAAACTGTGATCCAAACCAGTGTAAGATCGTCCATCCCAGCATACTTAAAATGTTTGGTATAAAAATACTCACTTTTCTTGGTTTTATTGTTGACTTCTCTTACGTTTCGTTTGAAAATATCTCCAAACTGTACAGAAATTTCAGACCATGCATTCACAAATAATACGCTATTTCTTACAATTATACAGTGTAAAAGAGTAAAACATTTTTATTAATTATATTTTTTTCTTCGAGAAAAACAGATGTGTGATAGAGGCTGTGACAAAGTCTTGAAGGGATCAAAACTGGGCAAGGGTTTTTCAAGCCTGAAACAGAAAGAAAACATGTTAGGAGAGCAGGTGTCAACCCCTCCCTAGTTGCGATGGCTTTGTCCTGGAGATGCTGTGGATGGGAGAACGGATGGGTTAGATGACAGTGTGCGGATGTGTGTATAGAACATATTTGCTGACCACATGTGTCAGTGGTCTCACCTTGATTAGAAACATGGGGCAAGTCCTTGGCTCCCGCTCACAAACCCCTACCCTGGCCCAGAGGTTTTCTTGAAACACATCTCAGCTATATTGTATTATTCAGTCACTCCTTTTCCTGCCATCTTACCAGCATGTCACACACGTTTGAGAAGTTGTAGAAAAGGTGTATGCAGAAGGCAATCAATCAGCTCAGCATACACTAGAATTTTGTACAGGGAGATGCTTATTTGTGTGCCGAAAGAGGCCATAAACAGATAATTATTGATAACCTATTTAAATGTCCCAAGTTAGATTTTGTCCCAAGTTAGATTTGGGAAAATGTGTTTTAAAAAGTCCTGAAATGAGAATATTTAGGTGACCACTGAAACATAGCGTACGGGATGAGCTTGTAAATGTTCACACCAAATCTGTCCAATTTGTATCTGACCTGTGACTTTTCACTGCCCAGTTTTTGGACGACAGTATGAGTGGGTAGCGGGTAACGGCCGGCGGAGCAGGGGCAAGCCAGGCAGAGCTTTCCACAGTGGGCCCTGGACACCCTGGACCTTCTCTGTGACGGGCGACTAATACTTGCCTGTCTCTTTAGGTTGTGGCAAATAAATAATGACATTAGTTCTAGCACATCCGCTTAAGTATGCTTACTGTAGACAGCCCTCAAGGCAGCCAAATCCAGACTCATCCCTGTGCACCCCTGGCCTGTCCCTGCCCTTTACACCGACCTCATTTCCTGTCCTCTTGGCTCATCTGCTCCTTCCACTCCACCATCACCATCTTAGGGCCACCTGTGCAGAAGTGTGCTTCTACCTCGAATCTTCATCTACTTTGCTTTGGGCAGCATGACAACAACATTCCTAAATCACTCTCCACCCCTGCTCATCTTTCCAGTGGCTTCCAAATCCCTAACACATCCTTCAAGGCCTTCAAAAGCCTGGCCGCAGTCTACTTTCAGCAGAGCGTGCCGTGCCTGTTCTTACTTCCTCTCTTCTGTTACTAGTCCCCTCAGCATATACAGGCCACACTGTCTTTCAGAACTCATGCCTCTGGAGATCTTAAGGGCTTCCTCCTCTGAGCTCCTCACAGGGGTTCTCACTGACCAGGCCACTTTAGCTTTGACAGGGATCATCCTGCATTATTTTCCTGAGACCTTTTCCTTCTCCTCAAACCCCAGTCACTTGCAGGTGGCCCAAATGCAAACCCTCCATTCAGACACTTAGACTGTAGGACACACAAAACAGGAGTGGTGGGTCATTTATGGCATGTGGCACTGAGACATGGGCCCCTGGGGTTGATGGTGTCTGGCCTGGGAGCAGGCCAGGGGACCAACTTTGGGTTCTGTACACCAGCCCAGGGGCACCCTGAGCCTCCATGGGTAGCTGCAGCCCTGATGAGGGGGATATGGTGGCTCCAGCTTTCCTGGGTAATGAACCACGCAGCTTCCCAATGCCCCAGCCCCTGAGCAGGCGGAATGGCTGCCTAGGAGGGCTAATCTGAAGGGAGAAGGAACATAGGCAGGAGGAGGGCGGGAGCAAGTCTGGTTTTCTGGGCCTTCCATAACTGCCATGTAAATGGGATCCTTGCATGGGAAAGGAATGTAGTCACACTACCACAGATGATCCCAGACTGAACAGAAGGTCAAAATGTGGCTATTTCAGTCCCTGTAAACAAGGAGGAGGTTTAGCTAGGAGCGGAGTTCAAACCTTGGAATGTCTTAACAAGGACATTTTAAACAGAATCCAAAGACATCTGGGAACACAGCCCCACGGAGGGATGGATGGCGGGGTCAGGGTTGGGAACGCATAAGGCTCTGATTAGGAGCAGGTTCTCCTCGCGGGGCCTTCCTGGAAGGGGCCGACTATGACATACAGGTGATGGGACGTCAAGACAGGGAACAAATCTCCTTATCTCAGGTAAGTGGGAACAGTCCCAGTTTGAAGACACTGGAGGATGTCTCTTGGTCTCTTAAGGAATATTACACAATTCTAAAACACTGCATTTTGGGTCTTTGGTGGAACTCAGAACGTGGGGACAGATGGGCCTGGGGTCAGGATGCCCGCTGCCTGCCCCTCACTCTGCGGTCTCTTCGTACCCAGTCAGGGTCTCGGTCCGATGCCTTGGGAGATTTTTCTCCCAGAGGAAAGCCTCCCTTGATCCATCTGCAGCTCCTTGACCTAATTCCTGAGGATTCCTTCCCCAAGAGTTTCTAAGGCTTCCTGGTTACCAAGTCAGATAAGGAATGTTCTCCCCCCAACTCCAAATAAACATGGGCCATCATGTGGCAAAGGTTCCTAATTAAGAGTGCTTCCGTTTTCATTTAATACCTGTCAGCTTCATCTTCAAAAAATCAGGTACTGATATTAATTTGTAATAGATTTTCAAACGTGTCATTGAAAAAGTTCACGGTCTCTGGAGCCTCTAGGGGCATGGTCTTCTGCAGTTTGGAACTCCATTCCAGCCCTGGGGGCCCATGGAGAATGGCCCATCTCTGCCCTCCAAGGGTAGGTCACATAAGCACTGTTGTCTGACCTCAGATTTGGGAAGAGAAAAGCCCCCTCCAAACTCGCTGCTGTAACCCAGGGAAGGCCCCAAGAAATTGTGAGCCCCACCTTAACACACTGGTGCTGAGAACGCCACTGCTCCCCTCCATGCTGGCTGCTGCCGCTCTCTCAGGCACATCTGGGGCATTTGCAACCTGATCCTCAGCTGCCCCCAGGACCGTGACCCAAACCTGTCCCCTCTTTTCTGTCTCCTGCCACTAGGCCCTTCCGTGGCCTACCAGGAAAACTCCTGCTCCTTGCATTGTTGATACTTTGGTTGACTTGCTGCATTTAAAATCATGTCTAACCAGCATTCAAAAATTGCATAAGTGGAAAAAAATGTGCAAGTGGCTTAACTGGTTTTTAAATATCCCCAGGAGGAAGAACAAAATCATGTCTTTTAAAAAAGTTTGAGTGAGTGATGACCATTAAGAGCTTTGACAAAAGGAAAAGCTAGAAGGCCGTGGGCCTAGTGGGATAGACCCAGCTGCCCTATGTGATGTGAAAAAAGCTTGGGTTAGTGCAAGAAACAGGCACCCTGGGAAAAATGCCCAAAGTGCAGGGTCCGGCTTCCTGTGGGAAAGCTCTCTGGGGTGGTGGGAGGTGGGTCGCCCAGTGTGGCACACACCTGATGCCTGCTCCTGGGTCGGCACTGAGAGGTATCGTCGGAGTATGAAGTGACTTAAGCCCCTCAAATGCGACCCCACCTCCTTGGCCAGAAGCGCTTGGTTCTCTGTAGCAGGAATCTTGTTCCTTTCAGACTCCTCTTTTTTCATAGGCCCCTCAGAGGGATGCAGCCTGCCGCTTTATTTAGGCTGAGACATAAACCACCATAGACTCGCCCCTGGCATTCCTGCCGCTCTAAGCCAGGCTTTCCAGAGACCCAACAGCAAGGTCACCTCTGGGAATGCTACAGGAGGATTTTTTTTAGACTACATTTCCTGCTAGTAGCTAACGAACTGAGGAGTGACAGGTGATACCGACTGAAAAGACAGATCACTAAAACCATGAACTACTAAGCTAAAACCATGAACTACTAAGAGGCCCACAGTCTGGAGAAATTAATTGTGAATTCTGATTCAGTCATGCTCCAGGGTAATTATCCTATGTCCCTAAGTCATCAAATGGCTGATCATATGCAGTATAACTGGATTAATAAGATGGGGGGATATACACATTACATCTGAAACAGATTTCCAACAAAATAATAATTTCCCCCCAAAAAAGGCGATGCTTAAAGGGAAAAGCTTCGTTTCAGTAACATTTCCCTAGGTGGAATCCCTCACTCCAGGTGCCACTGGACAGCCAGATGTTCATGGTGCCAGCCTTACCTAAGGAGGACATGGTGAGCACCAAATACTGGGGTGATGGGCTTTAAAAATGTATCAGTTGCTGTCCTGGGATGACCTTCCCTGGCAGGCCGTGTTGGAGCAGATGTTAAAGAGCTCCGGGCAGAATCACCTGGGGTGGAGGGGCACGAGCACCTGGAATGCCAGACCCCACCCCCAGAGGCCCACAGTTCCCACGTGTTCGCCATGCCGCCCCTGAGGGCTTGTTCAGCCCTGACTGTTACTCACCAGCATGCTCCAGTTTTGTAGAACAGCTAGAGAACAGTAGCCACCACTGAAGATTGCATTAATACCCACAAGACAGATTGCAGCCGCCATCACACACCTGGGACCTGGGATGGAGAAAGATCACCCGTTAACGGTGCACAGTAACCTCCACCTGGGGCTGCCTCGGTCTTGAAGACCGGCCTGTTCTGAGGGCAGAGAGCCAAGAGAGGCAACGCCGAAAGAGATCAAAGGCCTCTGCTGCTGAGCTGAGGACCAGAGGCTGCTGCAGAATGGCCTTGGATATGCGACATGAAAAGCTCTCAGCCAGGAAAACGCACTGAGGACTTGGCGGAGCAAGTAAGAGGAGGCTTCTGGGGGCCAGCGAGGAAGGACATTCCAAGAAAAGCATGTGAACTCTTCGCTGAGGGCGCATTAGGAGGCTGCAGGCCCAGCAAGCAGGACTCTACACCCACGTCCCTGTGGTTGCATCCCAAGGGCTGTGGCCTAGACCCGGAGGACTGTCCAAAGGCCCTGCAGAGGAAAGGCATGGGACCTGAGGCCCCCACACAGCAAGATCCAGAAACAGCCACCTCCAGGAGCTGAGCAGCTTTGGTCAGCCCAAGGCCATAGGAAATCCCTGTCTGTCACAGGCACCAAGGACTAAACTTTGCTCCAAGCATCTCCTGGAAAACAAAAACTAAAAGGATGCACATTTGTGAAGATATCTGGCTACTTGTACCCTAGGGTCTGAGAATTTTGAAATACGAAGGTGCAAAGACCTAGCAAAGAATCAGTTTCTAATACTCCCCCTGCAGGCACGGCTGCCTCTGAGCCGGCTGGTTACAGCAAGGATTCCAGTGCCAGGGAAGGAAGCCCAACTCCCTGCATGTGGACACCAGCGGTCCTATTTCCCACTAACATTTCTCAGATCTCCCTCCCTGCAGACAGGCCGTGTCCAGTATGCGAGGCTTATGAGAACTGGAGTGCATAACATACTGCTGCGGACTGTCCGGGTTCCCCAGAAAGGTGGCACTGGCTCAGCTGGCACCTCCGAGTGGTCCCACCAGGACTCTTCAGGGAGAGGGGACTGCGTGTGCTGAAACCCAGCTCTGGAATCAAGAGTGAGCCTGAAGACTACCTTCCTAGGACATCTCTCTCCTCAGATTTAAGGAAGAAAACATTTTCCCCAGAACTTCACTATGCAACATTAGATGATTCTAGTTTCCTAGCAAAAGTTGGGTTACTTGAGAACAGGAAAATAATCATCTTTGCACATGAAACCTATCAATCAGCTCACCCAACCTCTCCAGGACCCCTCCACACAGGAGGGAGAGCACGAGCCACCCAGAGCTGCAGAGCCAGGCCACATTTCCCGGGAGGCTGTATTTCTAGGATGATTAAGAAGCCTCTGGGCTTCAGCTAATCAGTGCGACTCATACAAGTACTGGGATCCTGGGACCCTCCCTCTCCTCCATGTCCCCAGGAGCATAGGGGACAACCCGCTCCTGGGACCTCAACAACAGTTGTCTGCACCCCCGGGTTTACCTGGGCGGGGGGAGGTGGGGGCAGTAACATGAGCCAGAGTCCGGCCAGGAATTGCTCTCAGGAGTCGCGGAGCCCCCAGACCCCATGGCCTGGTCTGAACACGTGGCTACCCTCTTTGAACTTCTTCCAGGGAAGAGTCAGGCAGCTCTGCCAGTGCACATGCTCAGGAGTCTCCAAGGACTCCAGACAGATCCACAGAAAACACAATGGGCAGGAGCAGGTTGGGGGGCTGCAGTTTTCACTGCATTTGGTTGTCACGTGGTTTGTAGAGGAGCTCGGTAAGTGCTTGTGATGTGGCACAGTCCGGAGGACAGTGGTGGCTAGAGGGGCACCCACCACGTCCACAGGACTGACAGTGTGGAGGGTCTTCAGGCCCACCCCTACCTTTAGAGCTCAGATGGGAACCATAACAGACTCCAGAGCTGGAAAGAATTGCAGAACCAGGCTTGCGTCTCCTCACTGGGAAAACAGAGAAAGGTCTCTGAGGAGGGCCCTGCACACTCTCCCAGTGATTCCTTAGTGCTGCGTGGGAGCCAAGCCTGCTGCACTTCCAGTCCATTTACTTTAAGATTACAGGAGTTAAATATTTTCCAAGCCTCACTAAAGTGGAATGTGTTCTGAAAAAGAAACCCCGTATAAAGCTGGTGAAGTTCTAGGTCTTTGCTGAGATGTTACCTTCTCAGGCGGACCCTGCCTGCTTTGCTAACTTGAAGCAGAAGGCACCAGAAGTGCTGGCCGTACCACAACACTGAGCTGCTTACCTGGCCTTATTATTTATTCCCTGAATACTATCACCACCCAAACTATTATGTCTATTTGATTACCTATTACCCATCTCCTCCCCAGGACGCTGCAGCTGCTCACCGTATTAGCCTTAGGTATGACGGACAGTTACGGCGTTAGTAGCCTTAGGTGTGATGTGCAGACCTCACAGCCTCATACTGGTTGGTGGGTGCACCGCAGTGTGATAGCATGACATGGACAGGTGGCTTTCTTCTAAGGGGAGGCCAGCGTGACAGCAGGAGCCACCGCAGCTGTCTGGGCCTCTGGAGCCCCAGTGCCTTTCCTCCTTGTTAAGCTCTAAGCTCCACCTGGGCACCAGCACCTGGGACTCTACTGAGGATGACTCAAGCTCACAGCCAAAGACAGGCAAGGCCATTCCACCCAAAACAGAAGAGAAGGGAAAAATAGCTCCAAATTCCGTCACGTTCTCTCTTGCATTTCCTTCTCCAATCTGGGGAGGCTGTAACTACATGTGCTTATAATTTCTGGGCTCTGGTCCCGGTCCATGGCCAGGAAAATTTCAAGAGTCCTGAAAGAAGACGTCCCCCTACACCCCACTTGGCTCCCAAACGCTGGTTCTTCCCTTTCAAGAACAGTTCAACTCTTTGAATATCCATCAAAGAAAGCTGCCTCACTCTCACTGCATGTAAGGAGTGACAGCAGCGTTGCTCATGCTCGCCTGTTCTCAGTGTATCTGGGAAACTGACAATTTTCAATCGTGATTCTGTATTCTGGGCTCTCTAGCACATGGCTGAACCATCAGCAAAACTCTGGCCACAGGCTGTGTCTGCATCACTAAACTCAACACCATCCATCAGCAAGAGGCGGAGCAAATTAAAACACCAGTAACACCCTGTCCCCTTCTGACCCCCCCTCTCCTGATGGCCTTGCTTATGCCACAGGAACAGCATGCACATGGCCTGTACATGCCCTCAGCTTGGCTCTCCTCACAGCAAGCTGGTCTTGCAGGATCATGAGCAGTAACTCCCTCTCCTGTACATGTGTCCACAGTTCTCTGCCATTAGAACTTAAGCTCCTGAGGGGCACAGGCCTGTTTTTTCATTTTTGTATCTTGGACACAGCAGACACAACAAATGTTTGTCTAGAGAATAAAGTTCTTATTTACATATCTAGTCTAGTCACTGATTTCTCTTTAGCACTAAGAAGTCCAAGTAGATAAATGAAAAATCCTTGAAGGACCTCTGGGAGTGCTGGCCTTTGAGGATTTGGAAGGACGGCATCACTCCTGCTCGTCTTCTGTTCTTTCCGTGCTGGGAAAGCAAGATGGGGAAGAAAGCCCTCCCCGCCGAACGGAGAGAGCCATGTGGGCCTCTGCCAATGAATGGTATGCGCCTTTCATTTGGCCTTTTTGACTTGTTCTGGTTTAAAAATGTTTATATTAGCTCATCAGCACCACTGTTTCCAATTCTAATTTACATTTGCCTAAGATTACACAGCTTGGATTATGGGCCATCTTGGAAAGGACTTGATCCAAGAGACTAGAAGGAGCTGAAATAATAGATCCGCACTGAGCTAGTCTAACTTTAGATGGGCTGGGAGACTAGACTCCCCCGCGTGCAGGAGTAACGGGCACCATTATCCATACTCCTTCCTCACCTGCTCCCCACAGGCTCCGAGGAAGGAGTCTGGCCCATGGCCCAAGCTTAGCTCAGAACAAATGATTCATCCACGGGAGACATTACATACTCTTTTTTTTTTTTTTTTTCGACAGTCTTGCTCTGTCGCCCAGGCCAGAGTACAGTGGCATGATCTTGGCTCACTGCAACCTCTGCCTCCCGGGTTCAAGCGATTCTCCTGCCTCAGCCTCCCTAGTAGCTGGGATTACAGGCGCCCACCACCATGCTTGGGTAATTTTTGTATTTTTAGTAGAGACGGGGTTTCACCATGTTGGCTGGGCTGGTCTCAAACTTCTGGCATCAAGTGATCCGCCTGCCTCAGCCTCCCAAAGTGCTGGGATGACAGGCGTGAGGCACTGCGCCTGGTCCATTACATATTCTTATTCGGATCTTATTCGGATCTAGGGCTTCTATTAGCCGTACTTCCAAAGGAGGGCAATTGTTCGTCCTTCTAGTAGCCATTGCTGAAGGGTCTGTGAGAAATGATTTGGAAAAAAATTAGGTGAGCAGATACAAATGAAACCCAGGATCTCTGTCACTGGAACCCACGCAACTGCTTCACAATGGATGTCTTCTCTGTGGCCTACATAAATTCTTAAGGGGAAAAAAGCCCTTCCTTAGGTCCCAGGCCAACATCCTTTGCCCACTTCTCTACCAACTGAAATTGCCAAGTTGAAGGTCTTCTCTCACCATGCTTGACTTTCCTGAAGCATCTGACTGACAGAAGTGGCCGGCGCACCCTGCTTCTCCAGCCCGCTCTCCACTCTCTGGGGGCTGCTCTTTCTCTGCTGACTCTTGGCTCTCAGATGTGCTTGGCAAGGGGCCTCTCTTCCAGTTTCACCAACTTCCTCAACGGTCAGTTTATGCTGAGGGTCAGGTCAGTGTTTCAAGCCATGCCTTCTCTTGTGCGCTTCAGAATTTCCAGTTACCTCATCCTCGGCACCTCTAGCTGAACACCCTACCAGCCTCTGACAATGGAGAGCTCAACACACTGTCATGGAATAGGGAGCTGCTCACAGCAGGGTCCGCTCAGTGCCATCTGGAGTTGTAAGGCAGTGCTGGGCACCATGGTAACGGGGAGGTTCCTATGCAACCAAATAAGTAAGGCTTTGGGATCTGTATTTAAAAGTCAATTATGGGCATATGAAGACGAAACATGGACTTACAAAATTCTGGACTTCATAGACCCTAGACTATATCTCAGATATAGTCTTATAGCTTAAGAATGGTATTCCCTGGAGCAAAAAAATCTCTCCTAAAAAGCAAACTTTTAGAATTCACAAAATAATTAAACATTTTAAAAGAACATTTTATCTATCATGAATTGTTAATAAAGGACATTTAAGAGACAATTACCATTTCCTAACACTACCATTTAAAAAGGATACTTAGGCGCGCACACACACGACATGTAATTTCAGAATAAGGGACAAACAAGTAGTACAAGAAAAGCTACTACATTGTCTGGGGTTTTAAATATCATCACAGATTAATGAGCAGTATCACACATGAATACTCATCCAAGGATCTCTATATATGGGGGCCTCTGGTTTCGTTTCTGGCTAAGAGGTTAGGATATGGTTCCCCCAGGCATGAAACATTAGTCTCCTAAGATTCTGTGAAAAAAGGATGACCTGGTTTCAAGTAAGCTTGAGGAACACCGTGTACCAGAGCCCCCTCCTCTTAAATATTCATGATGTTCATATGGTAATAAAGGCTCTGAGAATCTTTGGGTAAAGAAATTTGTTTCACTGACCTTGGAAGGATTTGTGTACTTCACCTGCGATTGCCCCTGAGGACTATTATTATTTGGCCACACTCGAATATGAAGTATTTGAGTTAAAATATGAAATACATTGGGTTAGAGGAAGAGTAGATACAATTTTAGCTTCCTGATGCTGATGTCCTAAAGCACAGAGCGCTCTCTCTCAACTTTCCTATCCCTGCCATCAGAGAAAGAGCTGTGAATGGCCAGGTGGCTGCTGGGCTATGACTGGCTGCTCTGAGAATCGTCTGTGGGCTTCCGACACTCTCATGCCCATTACTCATCTCTCTACTGTCTGCTGAGACCTCTCCTTTGCGAACACAGAAGGGGTCTTCTGACTCGGACCTGAGCTCATCCAAAAGGGCCGGCCTCCTGCGTGATGAGAACTTCAAACATGAAGTCCACACTCAGCAGTCCTCCCAGATCTTGAAGGTGACCTGACCCACCAACCGAGACTTCAGGTCAACAGGGCAACTTACCTGTGCACAATAAACCCTAGCACTCTTTAAAAATCTTATTCAATGCTCTCTTTCTTCTTCACTGACAGGCACTGACCTGCGCGAGTTCAGCTCTAGTGTCTTTTTCTTGTGAGAGGTCTGAAACATTTCTCCATTAAGTGGAATCTAAGTTGACCAGGGGCCTGTTCTTTCCACAGAATGCCTCTCCAGAAGAGTCTATCTAAATGGCTTCAAATGATCTAACAAAAGCATATGGACTCAGTATTAATGGTACAAAAAGAAAAGAACACTAGTTTAGTTTGGAAGTATTTTTATCTTACAATAGAAGTCTCCAAGGAAAGGCCCATGACACTATTGTAAAATCAGGTGCACAGGTTTGCCATGATCTCTTTAGCATTTCTAACAGCATGAGGATCAGGCCCCTCCCTCTTCTCATTTTTCTTCCTATTTCATGAAGGAACTGTGTAAACCAAGAGAAGACTGATGGTGGAACTAAAACATTCTAAAAACTTAACTCTAAGTAGACTCTCCAAATTCACATACTAAATTAGAGTTTAGAAGAACAGTGCCTTGTACTTAACAGAAATTCAGAATTTCTGAATTACAGAAGGCATTTGGTATTTTGTAGAAATGGAGAAAAGGCATTTGGTAGTTCTCTGAAGCAACGTTAGGCCTAAAATGGCACAAAAATGCCCATTTAGGATAGTGCTTCCTTCATGATGAAAACCTTAAAGGAAAGCCTGCTGGAACTGTGCACTGCACCTTTGGTAGGAAAATGAGGTATTTTTTAACGATTAGTACTTTGGATATGATGTATGCAGGGAAACTCATTCTAATAAATCTCCCATAATCAACTACTGTGTAAATTAGTGGATGACTATTCCTGCAACTTAAGGTTTTGATTTAATGCTGGCAGCAGGTGAACTACAATTAGGTAATAAAATGTTCTGACAGCTGTTCTACAGAAATTAGCACTGACTGCTTATTTTTAAGTGGGGAGGCCAGGTACTGGTTTCCTAAGTTAGACTCAAATAGACTAGCACCCGTACCTAGGTGAAAATTTCCTCTCGGAAAAGATGCACTGCTATGTAGTTCAAGTGAGTTTAACAAAGATGGACAAAGGAGGTGCATAAGGTGTGGGTGCAGAGAAAGGAGGAGAGCTGCGTTCATGGCGCACCCACCATGTACAGATGTGTTCTAGGGGCTTCGCACATTCCAAAGGAAAGCGAGTACTTACATAGTATTCAGCAGAACTGACGGGACTTCCAGCCCTGAGAAGTAGCCTCGGAGGGAGGGAGCCAGCGCATCTGAAAAGACATGGGAGAAGGCCGTGAGCCAGGGCTCCCCAGCATATCCCCATTCTCACGGAGGGTCCTGCTTGGCTACCACTTCCCTACTGTTCCAAGATGGTACCCACTCACACTAGCCTGTGAGGGCCTCTTCCCCAAGGGGCTGAAAAGCATCAGAGCGGTGTCCTGAGAGGCGTTCCACACACCATTATGAACACACAGGCAAGCTCTCTGAGGAAAGCACCCACCTCGAGAAGTGCCCGAGGTTCCACCAACTCCTCTGCTCTCATCCTCCTTTTAAAGGTTAGCAGCCATTTGAGGCTAAGATCCGGCACAGCGAATTCCTTTTCCCAGGCCTAGGCTGGTGAAAGGCTATCTAATGGCTTTCTAAGCAGAGTGTGGAAACATAGCTGCTTTGGTAAGGAAGGGGCAGTTCACGACCCCATCCACACCAGTGGCCTGGCCAGGACTACTTTGCGATTCTATTCCTGTTCTTTTAAAAAAAGGGTTCCAGCTTCTTGGCACTGTGTGTGTCTGGTACCCCAGGCCCTCTGTTCACCCTACTGAGGAGATGGGCCTACAGCCTTCAGCAAGGAGCCTCCCAGCTGGGACCAGCAGCCCTGTCTCTTCCATTAGCTTTCTAAAGTGGAAGGCCAGCCGCAAACACAGGTGCATTGAGCAACACTTTGCCCACCTGGCAGCATATTCCAGGTCCTATGCCAAGGAAAACATGAAAAAAAAAAATGGGTGTGGTGGCTCACGCCTGTAATGCTAGCACTTTGGGAGGTCAAGGCGGGCGGATCACCTAAGGTCAGGAGTTCAAGACCAGCCTGACCAACATGGAGAGACCTCATCTCTACTAAAAATACAAAATTAGCTGGGCGTGGGCATGCATGCCTGTAATCCCAGCTGCTTGGGAGGCTGAGGCAGGAGAATCGCTTGAACCAGGAGGGGGGAGGTTGCTGTAAGCTGAGATTGTGCCACTGCACTCCATTCTGGGCAATGAATGAAAATCTCAAAACAAACAAGAAACAAAACAAAAAACACCCAAAAGGGCAAGCGCCGTTTGTCTTTAACGGCATCCATCACTGGACATGTTTTTGGACACAGGCAAGAGATGCCCGCCTCCCACTGCTCTTCCTTTCACATGGAGGCGGCATGGTCTCCCCATGACCACCATGAGCAGCCCAGAAGTGCTGCTGGGAGTGGAGAAGGTGAGGCCTGTGGGGCCAGGTGAGGCGATGCCCTCCCGCAGGGTGGCAGAGGAGGACTTACTGAGATCTCCAAAGCTTAGTGATGAAGCAAGAGCCATTCTGGCTGAAATGGAGGTGCAGGGGGGTCTGGGAGGCAGCACTGCACAACGCAGGGCTCTGAAGGGACTGGTGGAAAGCTCCTGCCTCATCTCCTTGTTTTACAGGTGTGGGCACCAGCTGAAGTCTGGGGATTCTCAATGACCTTGGTCACAGAGCCCAGTGGGGTCAGAATCCAGGATGAGGCCCCACGAGATCCCCTAACTTGATTCTAAAAGCAGGGATGTCTAGAAATTGGGTCCTAGAGAAATCCGACACAGCACCCCGACCTTGTCCCTGGTCCGAGCACAAGGCGGCCTGGGAACCTCCTCCTCCCCATGGGCCTCCTCACGAGCGGTTCTTTCCTCGCTGGCCTGAGTCAGGAAACGCAGGCTTAGGACATACCGGAGCTTCTGCCTGCACCACGACTCCGTCAGGCTGCCTGTGCATTGGGTCTCTTCTGGCGACCATGCCAGATATGACCAGCGATCAGATGACCAGCTAGAGCAGGGTCCCCAGTATCAGGGAAAGGCAAAGTTGCTGTCCTCAGGGCCACCAGCAGGTACCAAAGCTCATTTAAGGCAGGGCTGGGGTCACTCCCAACACTCATTGCAATTACAGGGACAAGGGTCAGAAACTTTTCCCAGGCAGGAAGGCTAGAAAACACTCCTCTGGGAAATTAGAAGTGTGTTCAGAACAAAAGAAGGAGGGCAAGAGTGGGGAAGATGGGGGTGAGGTAGGGGCGGGCAGGGAAGGGGACAGAAGAGTCTAGGGGAGGAGAGGGAGGGCAGAGGTGGGGAGAAGAAAGAACTCATACCTACCCACGGCTCATGGCCTGGTGCATCTGAATCCACTTGCTCACTAAGCAAAGAGCAGAGTTGGAGCTGCCTTCCTGAGACAGGTGGGAAAGGACGGGGCGGGGACACAGAGCCCCCATGGCAGGTGGGGGGCTGGACACCTAAACACACAGTAGAGGGTGATGGGTCTGTGTGCACTGGGTCAGTGTGGAGCGCAGTGGTGTGACTGGTGCGGCCTGGGTGTGGGTTGGGGCGCTGAGCCCCGACGAGGCCAAGACGTGACGGTGTTTCACAGGAGACACAGGAGGGGGAGGGCTGCCCGGGGAGGAGAGCTGCACAGTGGATGGCATGGTTCTGCTTTCGGTGCAGGTGACTGCGAGAAGGAAGCCCTGCCCCAGCCTCTCTGACCAGCTCTCGCACACAGCCCTCACGTTCTCACTCGCACAGGTGCCTGCAGGGTTGGGGACGAGCGTGCAGCCCGTCTTCAGGCTCTCGTCAGCCTGGTCGAGGCGCACTCCAGAGTGACATGAAGGCGGGTTCCGAGCTGTGGGGTCCAGGGGAGGCTGTGCTCAGCTGAGGAGTGAGGACGCCAGTGATGCAATAGGTGGCTGCTCCTCAGAGTGGATGTGGTGGCGGGTGGCGGACACACAGACCCCTGAATTCATTGCTCTTGTGTCTCAGGCTAGGACACTATGTGCTTGCCAAGTGGGGGGCTCTTCTCACCGCATCCACAGACACCCACGGCTGCCTCCTCTTCCAGCCTGAGAGGCTCCGCTGCGCCCAGCTTCCAGCAGAGGGCAGTGCCCCCCTGGCCAAGTCTGAGCGGCTCATCCAGGTTCCCGCACCACAGCCGGCAGAGCGGCAGGGCTCATGGTGCACAGCAGAGTTCGGGCAGCCGGCCCGGTGGGGGGGAACAAGCTGCTCCGCGCTAATCACTGTGTGGGGGTAATGAGGAGAGGGTTCTCTCTTAGCCCCATTCGGGCTGCTTGTTCTGCTGGGCTTTTGGCCCCAGGTCACTCCTGCCCATCCCATAAGGGCTGCTTTACAATTCTTCTTAACGGGGAAACCTACAGTTCCCTCCAGACTGCCTGCGTCAAGGTCCTCTCCAAACAGTTCAGCAGGCTAGTTTAGGGCTCCCCATTAGAATAATGTGACAAGGGCTGGCCTTCCATGCAAGGCAGCGGCCCCTCACATTTCTTCATGCCATGTGCAGAAAACGTATGTGTACACAAACACACACCCTCTCTCTCTTCTCCCATAGTTCTCTCTCTCAAATGTGCACACTCACAGTCTTGCACACAATTCCAGGGGCTTCTCAAGACCCTGTGAGAAACTTTAACACAATATACTTAACCAAACTGACCCTGACATTTAGTCTGCGTCAGAGACCGCGCTAAGCACTTCACACAGCCTGTGACATCTAAGGCAACGTGGACGACCCTGGGAATCTTCTCCACTAGAACTTAACAATAGTGGTAAGTTATTACCATGTTACAGTTCACTACCCAGGGCCACACTGTTTGGGATTCTACCATCCCTCTTCTTCAGGAATGCTCTGAAAATGCAGTGCCCCTGCATGGCTAACACTGTAAGTCTCCAGCACTCAGCATGGTGACAGATTGGACAACAGGAGAGCACCAAGATACCCAGAAAAAGAAGCAACTCAGAGTAAAAATCAAATGGAATGCTAGAGAAAGCGGTACCCACCCATAAAAATAATTTCCATCCTCTTCCATTTATAGATGAAAAATGAAGGCCCAGAGGATTAAATACAGACAGAATTTATGTTCCTAATACTGATGCCAAGGACAGGAAGACCTTGACTAGTCTCGGGAGGACGCCCTGCCTGAAGTACCAACCCTTCTGCAGTGGTGAGTGACTGGCACAGGGTAAAACTCTACAGTAATGATTTGCATTGCGCTATCCCCTTTCTAGGGGCTGAATCCCACTATCATACTTGCCCTTAGAAAGAGTCACGAAAAGTGCTTAGCAGGTGACTGGCTCAATTAATAGTCACTACTGAAAGCAAATACTCTCTGGTTGGACTGTTTTCTTCTCTGGGGAATGAAGGGGTAAGCCTAGACCAGTGGTTCTCAGGTTCCTGGACCAACGGCATCACCTGGGAACTTGTCAGAAATGCCAAAACTCTGGGAGAGGCATCCAATAAACGACACTGTAACCAGCCCCCCAGGTGATCACCAGGCACATGGTCAAGTCTGAGAGATGCTGCTTTTAATTAAGGTTTCGAAAAGTATGGCTGGAAGAACACTGGTCTAGAAATGCTCTAATGTCAAGGACATTAGAGAGAAATGCACAATTTGGTCCCTTCAGCAGTTTCTTGATATGTGTGGGCACAGTAATGGCTCCAAGAAGTTCCAAAATAAAGAAACCTGTTTGACTTGATCTAGACCTGTGCTGCCCAAGTTTATCTGACTGCAGGATCTCTGGATTATGGAACAGCTGTGAATCCCTGTGGGTGTTGAGAAATGCTGGTCTGGAAGGTCCCTTCCAGTGGTAGCATTTGGTGGATCTAAGAGGCTGGGCTGTGCCATTTGCATGCTTCGAGCTGGAAGACAGACCACCAAACCGGCTAGTGCTCTGATGTCTCATGTACATGGAGCAGCTACAGATTTTCTCTCACCTTCCCTAGTGCAGATGCTGTACCTGAATGCAGGTTTCCCCTGCACCACATTCAGAAGTCAGCTATCCCTCTTTGAACAAAATAGTTAATAACAGTAGCTTGGGCAGGGCGCCGTGGCTCATGCCTGTAATCCCAGCACTTCGGGAGGCTGAGGCGGGTGGATCATGAGGTCAAGAGATAGAGACCATCCTGGCTATTATGGTGAAACCCCATCTCTACTAAAAATACAAAAAATTAGCTGGGTGTGGTGGTGTGCGCCTGTAGTCCCAGCTACTCAGGAGGCTGAGGCAGGAGGATTGCGTGAACCTGGGAGGTGGAGGTTGCAGTGAGCTGAGATGGCGCCACTGCATGCCAGCCTGGTGACAGAGGGAGACTTCCTCAACAAAAGACAAAACAAAACAAAACCCACAGTAGCTTGAACAAGTTGTTTTATGTAAATGACAAGAATGTTATCTCAAACTAATGGGTTAATGTTTTGAAGGCATGGATATTCTCAGGCAGGTTTCCATGACTCTCCCTAGAATGGAGCGCTGAAGTTCGCTGTGGGGCTCGTTCCCAACACTGAGCAACTGCAGGGAACCACTCACACAGTGACTACCTACCATCAGCTCTGCCCTACTCGCTCCAGACCTCAGGATCCACTTTTGGGTGGCATCACCAAATAAAGCACGTTAGGCCATTACAGCAAGCTCTGTCAGAGACTGCCAGGCTGAAGAGAGGCTGCCAAGCCCAGCATAATCTGGTCCAAGAAACTCCAAACTCATCGAATAGGCTGGAGGGATGATGTGCAATACAAAAAGATTGTCTTCCTTACAGCGCTGATTGCAAGATTCTTTTAAACAGCAACCCTCACCTCCATTTCTAAAAAAGCACTCACCAAAACTGGAAGAACACTTTTTGGGAATTTCGCTGCTGCATGAAATGAGGCCCTCTTGTAAAGGAACCACTCCTCTTCTCCCTGCCCCCCAGAATCGGCAGCCTATACTCTTTCTCAGCAGACTCAGGCATGAAAACGCCATCAGCATTCTTCACTACCTGTCTGGCACCTAATAGTCCTTGCCTAGGGCAATTAAGTCGCTATGATCTAGGCAGAATGTCAAGATTTGTATGACTTGGTCCTTGGTTAAGGCTGCCATCTCACCTGCCCCAACAGCTGGAAAAGAGGTGAGCAAGAAAGTCCTAGCTGGAGGAGGCCATGCTCCCCGCTGGCCTTGTGCTCTTGCCGGATCTTCCAGTCACGATGGCAGGTGCTACTGAGGTCCGAGCCCAGGCAGGGACAAGGTCTAGACCACAAGGACAAGGTCCTAGGACTGTGAGTACATCCTGGTAAGCCTGATCAAAGCTGGGTTTAATGAAACAAAAGCCTCCAGGGAGAATTTTCTCTCCTGGGCTCTTAGACTCTTTTCCTGTCTGTCCTAAGCACAAGCTAAGCCCTGCTTCCAAACAGGCATGTGAAATGTGCCCAGACATCTCAGAAGTTCACTTGAGATGCCACTTGGGTTAAAAGCACCCAAGCATGTAACACCCTGTGTCAGATTAAGTCCACAGTGGTTGCTTGTCATCCATATTTAATTCTGTCAGTCTGTTAATTTTTAACTATGTTTGCTATCAAGGGCCATTAGAGGTCCCCAGGAGCTGAGCTCAGTGAAGCGCATAGAACTTCGTGGCAGAACGCACAAAGCTTGAAGTTGGGGTGTCCCACTTTCCCATCCTGTCGCTGGGTCTGGCCTTCCCCACCGGCAGCACAAATCCTGAATAAAACATGATTCCATTTGGAGTTGATTTTCCTTTACCCCTACTGTCACAATTGGTTTTCTTCACAGAAAAGTTCACTCTCCCCTTTTATGAAGGCTACATTTTATAATTCCAAAGTTTCTCTGTGGCCTTGGTTTTGTTTCCAAAGCAGTTAGAGTTCACATACTTTCCGGACGGCATCTGGGTGCCTATGCCTACAGAAGAAAAAAACCTTGGGTACACACCCAGCTGACCCAACCAGACGGCCTCCTCTCGGTATACGCCACAGCCACGGACCATTCTCACCCTGGCTCTGGTGTTTCTCTTCTTTACCAAAGCAAAAAGCCCAGGCCCTTAGGTTTCTCTTATCAGGGTGCTGGTCAGGAGTCCCTGTGTCCTAAGTGCTTCTCAAGCTTACAGGGAGGGCTCAGGAGCCTCTGGGCCACACCAGATCGAATCCTGACAAAGGGAAGGCATTGGAAGAACTATTTTAATCATAACTATGACTTTAAGCCAAACATCTTACTGTTTTCTGCAAAATAAACCCATGGAGATGTTCATTCTTCCCATTTATAGATGAGGAAACTGAGGCTCCGTGCAGTTAAAAACCAACTTGCCTAGGATCCCAAATTTAGCAGAGTGGGTAGAAACTGTCATTAAAATCAGGTTTGTTTGATTTAAAAAACTGAGTCCCAGTTAGGTGCCAGGCGCTCAGCAGCACCCGACTGTGACAGTTGGGCCACGCGGTTGTTAATCCCAGGGAAGAGCCGAGCGCAGACGGCACTTCCAGGTGCGACTTGTTGGGACTCAGGGTTGGGCTCTTACTACTATTAAGGACAGGGGAGAAGGCGCGTAGGATCTGGGGAGTTTAACCTTCCGCAAAGGACAACATGGAACACACTTAGAAACCTGGAAAACAGTGTACCAAATGGAGAGTAATGGAGTAATGGAGAGTAATGGTGCCCCCAGTCAGGAGGAGGCCCACGTTGAGATGTTCTGGCAATCCTGAATAATACTGTGATTTCTACGGAAGTCTCCTTGGGGTGAGTGACCCTGGCCAAAGCCACACAGCCATACACTAGGGGACCGACTCTGGTTTCTGAACGGCATTTCCTCCTAAAACTGCCCAACATGGAGAGGCCTGGGCCTCAGTAGCAGCAGCAGTTCTGGACAAAAGAACACGTCTCCCTAACACCCTGGACGGATGGTTTTGGAGGACTGCTTCTAAAGAGGGTGAAGGACAAAATGCTGATGTCTCTCTCACTGCAAATGACGGAAGAGGTGGAGAGGGTCACCAGGGAGAGAGCATCTGCCTGGCCGGGGGCAGATTCTCGGGTTTCCTGGCAGAACTGTGAAGAGAGCAATATCCCCAAGTACAAGCTGTAACTCCATTGCCTGGAAATGAGGCTGAGGAGAATACTAGCAGAAGGACTGTGGGAAGAAAGTGCCAGAAAGTCCAGGGAGGAATGGGCTGGGTGACCTGTGATTCTTTCTCCAGTTTCTCCGATAGGAAAGTGAGATAAGGCTGCAGCTGGAAAGGTCAGGGACAGCGGGTTTGTGTAAAGTAACTCGTGAGGGCAAGGGCCATTCCGTCGCTGGGATTCAGCTGCCCAGCCCCCTCCACCCCGGATGTATTTCCTGTCAGAAGGGGGTTCCGGTGGCCGTGTCCAGCCTGGTTTGGGGAGGCCCCTCTTTTGGATAAGCTCTCCCAGTGCTGGCGTAAGCTGTGAAGATCACACTGCCAGGAGCAGGGCAGGTGCTGTCAATCGGTGCTGTGGGTGGTGCTCTCACTGCAATGCCTCATCTTACTCCCGTCATTCATTCATGCTTTCCAGTCTTCCATTTGGCTCCAGCCGTGAGGTCTCTAGCAGCCCCTGTTAGTGTCATCCACATGTGCTGGCCATCCTGTGTCTTAACTGTCACGGCCTTGTGGGTAGCTTAGGCTTAGTCCTGGGCTTCCTTCTCCTTACTGAAAATTCAAGTGCCCCTTAAAAGATCCTTGGGAAGGGCTACCTTTAAAGCAAACATGAAGCCCTTCTAATATGCCGGGCATTCTCTTAAGTGTTTATGTGAAGGATTATTGGCCCTTTTCCTGAAGCCCAGAGAGGTTAAGAAACTTGCTCAATTGAGGTCGCACAGCGTGTAAATGGCAGAGCTCCTGTGTGGCCAGGGAGTTCCAGAGCCTGTCTTTTCCACCCTACATTTCTTGCCATGAGCTTAGAAAGGAAATGAAGCCCCGCAGAGCTCTCCTGAAAGGCGCAGCTCAGAGCACAGGCCCTGCATCAGGAGGCAGGCATAGAAATCGCCCCCAGGCGCTTGTAATCCCAGCACTTTGGGAGGCCAAGGCGGGCAGATCATAAGGTCATGAGATCGAGACCATCCTGGCTAACACAGTGAAACCCCGTCTCTACTAAAAATACAAAAAATGAGCCAGGCGTGGTGACAGGCGCCTGTAGTCCCAGCTACTTGGGAGGCTGAGGCAGGAGAATGGCATGAACCCGGGAGGCGGAGCTTGCAGTGAGCCGAGATCACACCACTGCACTCCAGCCTGGGCGACAGAGCGAGACTCTGCCTCAGAAAAAAAAAAGAAGAAAGAAAAGAAAGAAAAGAAAGAAAAGAGAGAGAGAGAGAGAGAGAGGAGAGAGGGGAGAGAGAGAGAGAGAGAGAGAGAAGAAAAGAAAAGAAAAGAAAAGGAAAGAAAGAAAGAAAGAAAGAAATCGCCTCCAGGAAGGGCCTGGGAAAGGAAAGGAGACCCAGCCCACTCTCACAGGAGGCTGGCGCTGTGAGCATGAGGCCTGGCCTCCCCGTCCGCCCCTCCTCCTGTGAGAGCTAAGCCAGGTGCTCCTAGAAAGCCTCACCAAACAGGAAACCAGGCCAGGCTGGCACTATCAGGAGACGGAGCGCTCAAGGGGTGGCTTCTCCTCACAGTCTGACCTTCACAGAGCTGCAGGTTGAGAGGAAAAGGTAAATGTCAGAGGATTAACAATTTCATTTATGTCTGAAAACAATGGAAGGCCTTGGGCAGAACAGCCCCAAAGGCAAGCTCTGCAGTCCTTCAAAGCTGTCGTTTTCCGGATAGCCACAGCCACAGCTCTGGAGCAGACAGTATATACCTTAGGAATCCCAGGCCTCAAGGACAAGGCAGTCTGGGGTCAGGGGTCAAGTGCTAAAGTGACCTGAGATTCACAGAAGCAAGCAATGGGAATCTCCGGACTCCTGCCTTACTTTTGGGAGGCAGGACTGCCAGGTGAGGGGTTGAAGCCATGTCCCTGGGGCCCCAGACATGACTCTGTTCACAGGTTTCCCTGTGGGACCAACCACCCTCACAGCACTGGCCACCGTACAGGAGGTGGAAGCCAAAACCATCAGAGTCCTTGCCTTGTGAGCCTCCCATGCGCCTGGAGGGGATCCACAGCTGTCTCGCTGCTGGGCGACTCCTAAGGAGCTGTGTGCGCACTGAGGTCCATACCCAGCACTGCCCTCGAGACACCCCCCAACACTCTATGTATTCAAAACATACCCGACACCAAAGCAGAAGTCCTTGTGTCTTTTTTCTCAGTTATTTCC
The DNA here is from genome assembly GCF_000001405.40 of Homo sapiens. NCBI lineage: Eukaryota > Metazoa > Chordata > Mammalia > Primates > Hominidae > Homo > Homo sapiens. The sequence goes on along the minus strand of NC_000008.11, from coordinate 30,548,876 downwards.
TACAGGGCATAGTGATGCAGATGCTTAATACGATTTGCTTTTTTTTAAATCTAGTTTTCAGAAGTCCCACCCTGCTGATGAGCAACTGCTCAGATACAGGGGAGGTGGGGACAGCCCTGCAGTTCAGGTAGTCCACCCACTACTCCCAGGCCCATCTACTCCTCTGTGAGCTCCCTTCCTGGTTAGCCTATGTCTCTCTTCCCATGGTCCACTTCTGTATTTATTTTGGGTTTAACCTTTAAAATTTTTCCAGTGTGTCACAGAGCCATCCCAAGGGACACGCATGCCTTGTCCTCAGGCAGTCTGTTATAATTTTAAAACCTTTGGTTTATGTCCAGGTAAGCTGTACAGCAGCCCTATTAGAAATCCGATAGAACTGCTGTTACTCTGGACAAATGAGGCCTCTGAAAAGGAATTAGGTAACCAGGACTTTCTCTCTCAGTCCTACTTACCTACAGAAGCTTCTGGCCCCACACTGTGACTCTGCCTGAAGTACAGGGTGTATGGTGTGTTTCGAGAATGTGGTAAGGACAGTATACTTTAACGACTTTCTCTCTGCCCATCACAACAAGACTGAAAGCAGAACATGAGCTCAAACCTAAGAGGCGGAAGTGTGTGAATGTGAGGTGACAGAACAGCTGTGTGCTCTCTTCAGTGTATAAGCTTTTTGAAAGCAACAGATGAAAGTTTCCTCTCCTAATTAACACATTTCAAATACCAATGACCTTGAAAGTAAACTGGATGATCACTTTTAAAAATGTTAATGATCTTCTTAGCAATCCGATGTCTGCTGCACAGGGTCGCTCTTTGATCTCTAAACATTAAGTCAGTACTGAGGCTTTCAGTCCTATTACCTTATCCAATAATTTCTAAAAAACGGGATCTGATGGCAAATAAGTATCCTTACTTTAGAGCTGGGAAATCTGAAGGGGTACCAGACCACAGCTGAAGCCGGGGCAGAGCTAGAAATGTGACTCAACTTCTTTTCAATGACACTTTGTCTCCTGGTCTTCCTTCCTGTGGATCCCGGTGGGCAGACTGCACACTGCACCCACACGTTTCACAGGGGCTCCCCTAGCTAGACGCAGCATCCCTGCTGAAGTGAGGTCTCCTGGTGGATGAGACGCTTCCAACATGCAGCTCTTGGTGGCTCTTCTGGGAGCCCAGGGAGAGACAAGCAGCAGCAGTGTGGCCTCGGCTCCAGGACCTGGCCTCTCCAGGAAGCTCGTTCTGAGTCCTTCTATGTAAAATAGACTTGGTGTCACAGGCCCAATTCTCCCAAAACCTCAGTCAGAGAGTAACACCTTTGCTCCAAAATTGCATCACCATGAAAACAAAACGCTGCAGTCTACTTGAGTTCATTTTTGCTCTGATTAAAATTTTTATTGAAATCTCTCAAAGGTCGTCAAGAAATAGTTTTTGTGAAAGGGGGGAAAATAGCTAACAAACAAATTCAACATGGGAGCTCCCTCTGCTGGTCTGCAGTAGGTTGGTATGTTACAAACACATTCCCAGAGACAAATCTAATTTGCTGGAGAAGTGGACAAAAGACAGGTGTGTTGGGCTTTGCCTCAGGAGAGAAACACTAGAAGAAAAAAAAAATCCATGTCTCAAAATAGAGCATAACATTGCTAAGAAAAACAAAATTATTTAAAGCCTCTCCAAAGACATTATAAGATTTCCAAAACAAAGACTGAATTCTCCAATATGGGGAGATGCCCCGTAGAGGCTCCAGTCTGCTCTGCCTCCAGTTACTAAAGATTCTCTTGGGCCCTTTGGGTGAGGGTTAAGTGCTGATTCCCTTTGCTTTGCCTCCAAGTCTCTTCTTACAGGCTTCCCATCTACTTAGAGAAGAAAGATCCAAAGAGTCACTGGAGTGAGGCCTTTCCAAAATTCCATTAAAGAATAAGTCTGTGGTGAGCCAGCACCTCGGAGTGGAAAGAGCCAGGCCTGGGAGGCAGGTGACCTGGGTCTAGTCATGGTAGAGCCCCTTCAGATTGTGGGTAACTCCCTCCATCTTCTCAGGCCTGTTTCCTCATCTGTAAAATGGGTCAGACCAGCTGATCTGTAAAGCCTCTACTAGTTCATTCTGATTCTCATACTGGACAAATACATTTAAATAACCGTATTTGTTCATAGAGTCCATGACTGCACTGGGAATGACTCCAAACAAGAAGTGGCGTTGAAAACTGATACCAGAGGAGAGTCCCACCAAATCTGGGACCGATGTGGCAGAGCTAAGTGGATTCCAGTTTGGGAAAGTCTCAAGATCAAGGAAGAACTCCCAGGGGAGGGTGCCACCATGGGCAGTGCATCCCATTAAGTCAAATGGCTGAGTCCATTTAATCTTGGCACTGTCTCTCCCCATCCTTCCTTACAATGGCATATGCTTTCTAATCTCTTGAGACTCTTTAGGCCCTTCTCTTACCATACCGTATCTCCAGAATTACTTCTGATTTGACCCATTACATGAATGAAGAATGAGCAGATGTCATGGCCAAAAGCCACTATTCCCAGTACTTTCTGGCTGTTGTCAACTCTTGATTATCCAGGGTAAGGGTGAAAGGCTTTGTTGCTGACTAACCAAAGCCATGGCTATTCAGAAGACTATGCAAACCACTGTTTCATGGTATTTATTAACATTTGCCTTAATTGCCACGTGATCTGTACCCGGCAGTCTAGCAAGAGGAGACACCATCCAGAGCAGGGGTGGGAGGTGGCAAGCAAAAGGGGCTCTTAGTTGCCCCATGTCATCCACATATTTATCCGCAGCCTGCTACAAAGATCCTAATGACTCAGCAGAAGACACCCACAGGTTTACATTTTATCCCGACCCCGTTACCTGCCAGTTGTGAGGGTTCCCAAGCACTGACATGGAAAAAGGAAGAAAAAGCAGCAGGGGAAGGAGAAGCCAAAGGCACAGGTAATCCTGGCTCCTTTATTTTCTGTGCCATGTACTCTCAACCACCAACACCACCTACATTTTTTTCTTCACTACTTGTACTACTTTCTCCCTTCTTCTCCCAACATAGAGGGCAATCATTACTGGGGCTCAGGCACCAAGGGCAGGCCAGGAAGCCGGGTCATCAATGCACGCACAACGTGTTGGTAACTCAGAATTAAAAGATGTTCAGCCAACAACAATCTCGACCCCATGACTTTCAAGAACCCTCGCTGGGGGCTGCTTCTAGGTGGTCTTTATCAAGACAGGGAATTCTGTACAACATAAAAGAGTTTTAAGTCAGAAGGAGGTTTTCTGGGAAGCTGTTTATTTCACCCAGCCTTGTAAACAAACACTGAGCAAAACAGGCAAACGAAAACTCTGCCTGTCCAGCCTAATAATTTTTAAAAATTTAAAATTTAAAGGCTGAATTACACATGCAGAAAGACAAATGAAACCTACGTACGTACTTTCTATTTGTTACTGGTCATCAATCTTTGCAGGCCAAAGAATGAGTGGTGATCTCCAGAGGTGAATCTTTACACTGATTACTACCACTTGCACTAAAAGCGAAGCTAAGAGAAATATTTTCTCCAAGGGGAGAGGAAGTGTTAGTATGTAGACAGTAATCTTTGCGGAGAAACAGGAAGTTTGTTTATAAAAATCAGGCTATTTTTAACTAAGAAAGAAAGCTGGTCAGAATAGAGATCTCTACCTTGACCTGTAATTCCATCTTAGACACTATCTTGTATCTCCTTTTCTACAGGGTTTCCTGAAAATGGAGAGAAGGAACCCTTAATCTTTCCTGTAACATATTTAAGAAAGTACAGCCTTCCCCCCTGGAAGCTTTCCCTTTGGTCAGAGATTCTTCTCACCGTACACGAGAGTGGAAAACTCTCAACACACAGAAACACGCACAGACGCACATATCCCCTTCTCCTAGCACACACCTTCCTCTGCAGCCCTTCCACACAAGGCACACACGTATACACTCTGGTGATGCCCTCTAGCTAGCTGGGAGCCAGGTGGATAAACCTGCCCCGGTCTCTCATGTGCGATATGAGGTGAGATCATTAAGGAAGAGAGAGGTGTCATTTGGGGCAAACATCAGGCAGTGGGTGATATCATTGCTGTCAGACGATCCTCGTCAGTCCTGAAGGAGTGTCAGCTTGATTTAGAGGGGATCATTAATCTCTTGAGGGTGGATCTGTTAGCTGGATAGGTGTTAGTTGTATGGTGTGCTCTCGGGAACCAAGTTTGAAAGGACTGGTGGTGAAGTGAGTGAAGTCCTGGCCGATGGGTATCAATTACCTGGGCATGCAGTGAAGCGGGATAGGTGAAAGCAGGAGGAGGTAGAGCAGGCGCTAACTCCGCTGGGTACAGAGGGTACGGGGCCCACACTTCAGGGCTACTGGGGTAAAGTGCAGGCACTGTGAGCTCATCTGCAAGAAAAGAATAAGGCGAGAGTTAGTGGTTACCATACAGCTAGTTTCAAATCAGAAAACAAAACACCCAACAACCCCGAGCCCCAATCACTGTCGGAAGTCAAATTACTCTCATTCTTTTAACAACCTGTTGTTTGTTGGCTTTGGTCCCACAAATGCTAAGTAAGGGAACGAAAAATATAACACAAGAAAAGCAACAAGCATCTGCTGCCTGTCTGGCCTGCTGAGATCTCAGGCCTGGACTCCGCCTTGAACACTCTGATGTCTTTCCGACTGTAGCTGGGGAACCCAAAACAGTGGGAATTTCCTGCACAAAACAGGAAATGCGACCCTCTGAGGAAAAGGGAGAGAAAGAACCAATGAAAGACATCCCATGAGAACCCACTGCAGAGCCTTTGGGAAAACCATGGCTTAACGGCAGGGCCTCAACAGACCAGAACTGGAAGACTTTTCTGTTTATTGGCATAATTACTATTGACAAGTCAGTAATGATCATCAAGCATTTTCCACGTAGCCCTCAGAAGTACAGGGCCAAATACTGTGACCACAGGGCATTTAAGATCTTAAAAATTCAGAGAATTGAAGTGAAAAACCTTGAGAATCCTGATTAAAATTACACTCCACAAAGATGTAAACAGGAACATTTCCAGTTGCTCTTTACAGACTAACTTTTAGGGGAAAAAAGTGAGTCATATTGCCAAGTGCCTGGTCTAAGTGTTCCTCAGGCAGCTCCAATTCCACCCAGGTCAGGCTGCAGTTGGCCAGATTGAAGGGCAAGTGCCTGGGCCTCCCATGTATCAGGAAGCAATCCATTAAAAGTAACAGCAAACACATGAGGGAGCTTCTCAGGAAAGGCAAAAATAACATCAGTCAATAGCAAGGAATCTGGGCCCTGTGAAGCAGCAATCTCAATATGTGCTTTTATCACCTGTCAAAATCTGAAATCAAGTGTGCCAAGGACGCTATCCAGGACTAACACGGGAGTCAGCAAAAGGTGATTTGATAGAAGTCATTAGTAACTCTGCCATTCAGTACTTTCCCTGAGTCTACAGTGCAAGGTCAACAGAGTCACTTTATTCCTTCCTACCATCTAAGGAGCCATTCCAGGCCCAGTGTCTCTGCATCCTTCCCATCCCCCGAAACTCTTCAATACAGAAAGGGGGCTAGCAACAGAAAACTGCTTTGCTCGGTGTGATGTGGGACTGCTCTATGGCGAAACCAGAAAGTAGCAGAACCTGTGTGAGGCTTCCCCACAGCCAGCTTGCATGGCACGAGCTTCTCTCAGGATGGTAGGGAGTCAGGAGCTGACTGCTGATGATACGTTCAGAGGGCAGTTTGTACCCATTTTCAGATATGATGGGACCCCAACAATGTGGTTTAACATACTGTTGCTGGTTGGCCTTCCTGACTCCCTTCTCCTCTCAACAAGGCAGTAAAAACTACCTCCTCAGGACTTGGTGATAGAAAGACAGACTGCCTGTGCATCTAGGTGGGAGAAATAAGCCCCTAAGAGTGGACTGATCATTATTAGTCAGGGTGAAAGCAACAACACCAGAGTCCTTAAAATGATCAGGTCCACAGCATCTACTGTGTTCTAGGGTGTGTAGGTGCCTGTAGCCCAAGGCTTAGGGACCACCCTCAGAGGGGCTGGGAGGGGCTTAATAGATCCCTGTGCTTCCTGTTGTGATGAGACCATGTGATTTCCAGAGTAACTCACGTGGGAGCCCAGCTAGTGGAAACTAACTGCTACCAGAACCAATGCCTTGAATTTTAAACAAACAACCATTCTCAGGAATGCCAAACTATTATTGTTGTTTAGCGACCAGGCTATTTTAAGACATTCTGAGTCTTTTAAATCCTCAGTACACTGTGGCCCATGCTTGTCTGTTCCCACTGTGATAGCAGAAGACCATAAAACTGATACATACAACTGATTCCAAATGGCAGAGCCCTCAGGGGGAACGTGTTTGGCCTGCAGCCTGTCAGTGGTCCTTCCTTATCTTCCTGGCTAACTGGGGTGGGGTGGGTAGAGGTGGTTACCTGATCAGTAGGTCCTTCCTTTAGAAACTTTTAAAAATGAAATGAGTATGTCCTTTAAGATATCTGATCCTAAAGAGATAAGCAACAGAGATAAGCTGGAATCAGATTTCAGTGTCAGCCTGACTGCTGGAATTTATGTTTCCCAGACTTTTCTCTGTTTTTATCCTGAAGCATTACTTCCCATTAGTTCTTTACTGATGCTTAGAGACAATTCACCATTGATATTTGCACAAAACCCAGCCCAGCAGAAAAGAGGATTTGGTCTGAAATCCCCTAAACTCAAAATTGCTGAGTAGTAGTAACGTATTAGTGAGGCAGAAGCCTAAAAGAGATAAAGGTGAACTTACACTTGATAAATCCCTTGATACATCTTATCATCTCCGTCTCCCTTCTCCCATCATGAAGGAATGTGGAATTACCATAAACATCAAAAGATACGTGGTCTGACCAGGTCAGGATCGCACCTGAAGCAGTCCTCACCAACACCTAACTTTCCAGTATGAGCCTGAGCACTCTCCTAACACACACATACACTCCTTTGACGGAAATGGGTATTAAAGCAGAATAAGCTTTTTGCGTTTGTTTGCTTTTTCGTTGCTTGAGAAAATTACAAAAGCTAGAGAGACTGGTTTTCCACAGCACAAGCCCTTCACAAGGACTCCCCACTGAAGGAGCAGGCAAGGCCCTGATGGGTTTCACCTTCCTGAGTCACTGCCCATCCTGCTCAAACTTTACAGGATGGAAGGCTGAAAAAAGAAGACAAAGATTGCTGCCCAAGGCCCACTGGGATGAATTGGAGTTTAGGGAGGGGGTGAGATTCCTCTTGACAAAAGAGGCTCTTGACCACCCAGAGTGAGCCAGGCCCCAGTAAGCAGAAAGAGGGCAGATCAAGAGGCCAGGGCTTTTTTGTCTGGGCCTAATCCATCCCTCCTGAGAGGCAGGGCAAATCCTTTCCCATTGCACCAATCTGGCTACATCTTTTCTTTTTTGCACCTTCTGAGGATAATGTTGTTGAGGGCTCACAATATACATCTGAATAGGCTTTTTTTCTTAGCATGAGAATATGCAACCAGAAGAGCTCAAATTGGATTCTGAAAAACAAGGACTGGAAACTTCCAACTCCACCCTGTAATCCCTTTGAAACGAAAGAACTGCAGAGCGTCTGATGAAGGTTTAAGCCTACAGAGCTTGGGAAGATCATCTTCTGCCTTTTCGTTTTAGATGAGGAAACAGATGCAGAAAGGTGAAGCTTACAGTCTACGGTCACATTGAAAGAGAGATAAACATGAATGACTCTTAGAAACAACTGAGAGATGGAAGAACAAGGAGAATCTTTAATGGACTTAAGTATGGCCATGTATCTCTGAGTTTAGTTGGTAACACAAGGTTTAAGAACTTTTTTGCCTCCTGAAAACATCTATTTGGAAATATTCCATAGCAACTTCATGCTCGACATACTCAAAACTAAACATGCTCCCTCAATGACCTGTCCTCGTTGGCTCCAGATTTCAGCAAGATGCTACCTTCCACTCAGCTGCCCAAGCCACAGACCTGGTGGTCACCCCATCCTCCCTCTCATTCATTCTTTCATCAAGGTCCTGGTGAATCTATCCCATGATCCAGTTTGATCTTCACCAACACTACTGGATTACTGAAAAGGCCTCCTAAAAGCCCTCCCGGCTTCCACACTCAAGTCAAGACAACTTTAAAAATACACAGTTTGGCTGCGTGCAGTGGCTCACACCTGTGATCCCAGTGCTCTGGGAGGCAGAAGCAGGAGGAAGAAGATCGCTTGGACCCAGGATTTGAGACAAGCTTGGGCAACATAGCGAGACCCCGTATCTTAAAAAAATATATATTAGCCAGGCCTGGCGGTGCATGCCTTTAGTTCCAACTACTCGGGAGGCTAAGGTGGGAGGTTCACTCGAACCTAGGACTTATTTGAGGTTGCAGTGCGCTCTGACTGTGCCACTACACTTCTAGCCAGGGCAACAGAGTAAGACCCTGTCTCTTAATTCAGTCATGTCACTCCCGCTTAAAACCCTTCTATGACTTCCTCTTGCTCTGTGGATACTGCCCAAACTCCATGTAATGGCCTATAAGACCCCAAATGATCTGGCCCTCATCCTCCTCTCCAGCCCTGATTCTCATCTGGTTCTCCCTCATGGTCTGGGATCAGTCACTTCCATTGCATGACTATGCCTGCCTCTCGCCCACACACTGCTCCCTCTGCCAGAGGCACCCTTCTCCCCCTCCTCTTGCCTGGCTTAACTCTTACTCATCAGTTACTTACTCCTTCCACCCAGCTTAACTCCTCAGTGTGCTCTGCTTAGATGCCTCTTCTGGGGGCAGGGAGGGGCCTGGTCTCGCACTGCTAGTCTAGAAGACTGCTTTCTCTGTGCTCCACCACATCCTGCACCTCCCCAGTCACAGCAGTTACCTCCTGGACGGCAAGCTCACTCTTATTCTTGCTCACCAGTGTCTACCACCATATTATAAGACAATATCAAGAAATCAACCATTTGGGCCAGATGCAGTGGTTTACGCCTGTAATCCCAGCACTTTGGGAGGCGGAGGTGGGTGGATCACTTGAGGTCTGGAGTTCGAGACCAGCTTGGCCAACATGGGAAAACTCCATCTCTACTAAAAATAAAAAACTGAGCTGAGTGTGGTGGTGCACGCCTATAATCCCAGCTAATTGGGAGGCTGAGGCACAAGAATTGCTTGAACCTGGGAGGTGCAGATTGCAGTGAGCCAAGATCACACCACTGCACTCCAGCCTGGGCGACAGAGCGAGACTCTGTCTCAAAAAAAAAAGAAAAGATTTTTTAAAAAAAAGATTAAAAAAAAAAATCAACCATTTGCTTTATACTTGAGAAAATGAATGACGAAAAAATATACTTCCATCCTGCCTTCAGGTGAAGAAATAGCCAGACTGAGGATTAATTCTGGGTGGGAGAGAAATAAGCACATAAAGGCACCAAGATCTATCTAAGGTCTCACAGATAACTTATAATGTCTGAACTAAGACCAGAACTCATGCCTCTTGTCTCATAGTTTGGGGTCCCTTCTATACACCATCCTTTCCTCCCTGGGGTGGGTGATGCCCCCACTGCTGCTGGTGATGACAAGTCCCCTGGAAAGCAGGTGGTCTTTATGTCTGGCTTTTAGCATACTCAACTTGCTATAAGAAACTCAGGGACAGAGTCTTCCAGGAGAGCTTGCCTCGTAGATGAAGAATTTGGCCAGGAAAAACAGCAGCCATGACACAGAAAATCCAAACATGATGAAAAATTCCATTTTTAATAGGAATAATATAAATTTTGAAACAAGAAAAATAAATCAAGGATTCTGTTAGCAATCAACTCCCACTCACATACCTCAGCAAGTAGCTGATCCATGCCTGTTAAGCCCTTCAAAAATCAGCCATACAGGCCCACTCTTTTAAGGACTAGCCTATTCAGACATGCTCTTCCGCCATCAGGACTAAGAATGTAGCCCACGCCAGCTCCCGTGGTGCAGGGCAGTGCACACTAGCTCCTGTGATAGGGTGAATGGCATTTCCCCAAATCAAAATCCACCTGCAACCCCAGTACATAACTGTTTTTGGAAACAGGGTCTTTGCAGATTGATTTAGGAATCTTGAGACAAAGGCAGGGACTGGAATGGTATCTCTACAAGCAGAGGAATGCCTCAGAGCCTCCAGAGGATCCAACACTGCTGACACCGTGATTTCAGATTTCTGTCCATTGAAGCCACTCAGTTTCTGGTAATCTGTTGTGGCAGCCCTAGGGAACTAATACAGTTCCCATAGAATGTCAAACCCATTCACTGGCTTCCCAAGAAGACAAATGTAGATGAAGATGTTTATGAAAGAAGCTAATGAAAAGATTGTTGCCGGGCGCGGTGCCTCATGCCTGTAATCCCAGCACTTTGGGAGGCCGAAGCGGGTGGATTACTTGAGGTCAGGAGTTCAAGATCAGCCTGGCCCACATGGTGAGAACCCCGTCTCTACTAAAGATACAAAAATTAGCCAGGTGTAATGGTGGGCACCTGTAGTCCCAGCTACTTGGGAGGCTGAGGCAGGAGAACTGCTTGAACCTGGGAGGCAGAGGCTGCAGTGTGCCAAGATCGCACCACTGCACTCCAGCCTGGGCGACAGAGCGAGACTCTGTCTCCAAAAAAAAAAAGATTGGGTGAATAGCTCAAAGGAGGTGTTTTCCACCACCCAGCACTAATTACCATGGCGGTTTTTGTGTTCTGTACAGGGAACCAACTGTACTACGTGCTGCAGTCATGAGGAGAAATCAAGTCTCGGCTTGGCTCTCCACTATTTCTATTTTCTCTCTATCATGGACCTTGGTCATTTCCATTGCTTCAACTACTAATTCTATTTAGGATGACTCATAAACCTATAGCATTGATTTCTACTCCAATGTAAACACCCTAAACTCATCAAACTCAACTCATGGAGAAGTGAACTTACTGTCACTCATAAACCAATTCCTCTTCTTACCTCCAATACTTTCCTTTATCCCTTTTACTCAGGCTAGAAGCCTCCATCACTTCCCATGTCCAAACAATTGCTAAGTCCTAGTAACAATAAAGATGACAAAGATAACTACAGTGATGATAGCAGTAGTAACAACAGTAGGAGCTCGTGTTTACTGACCACATTCTGTGCACCAATCATCCTCATGGGAGACATTAGCAGGAGCCCCTTTTACCTTATGAGAAAGCTGAGACACAGCGAGGTTAAATATCCAGCCCAACGACTCTCACAGAGCCAGGATGTGAATCAATCAAGATCATGAGTCCAGACCCTTCACTTCTGCACTTCACTGCCTCTCTCCATGTTCATTAGCTCCACCTACTGATGATAAAGACATATTCTCTATGTAAAGACATATTCTCTATGTCTTTCTCATTCCCATCCCTACTTCTATTACCCAAATGCGGGTTCTCAGCCAGACTGACTTTAACTTCCACCGTCTCCCCACTCCACTATTTCTCTGATACAAACTGCAGAAGCAACAAGTTTTCTGCAAAAAAGCAAGCAGACCCCAAAATAAATATGCCAAGGAAATTCCAAAAGCAAGCTGGTCATGATTCAACTGGCCCAGAGTCACTTTTCCATTTAATGATTTTCTGCTGTTCTGACCAGTCACTGCTTTGATGGTTGTCTTCTTCCTTTGCTGCCCACTTCTTCGAGGCTAAGAAATCATGCGATGCAATCCAGGATTTTAAAAGGATCTGCTTTCTAATCAGAGTTGAAGGGAACCCTGAGCATGAGTGGGAAGAAAACTGTTCCTCTGGGAACTTAAGCCACTACTATTACCTACTCTTACTCATCACATGGGGACATTTTCATTCCTCCTCCTTCCTATGACCTGCAGCTGCTGGGATGAGGGTTACCCAGAGTTTCCCCAGGAAAGTCTATTCCCTGGCATTAGCAGAATATTCCAAGTGTCTGCCAGCCTCTCTGCGAGCCTGGATTTTGACAACTGCAATCAAGTCTGGATGTTTAACAGGAGCTGTATTTTCAAAACGTAATGGTTTTACATCTATGAACAACATAAGAAAATCTGCTCAGTCCCACTCTGCTAGAGACCTGGGTAAGCTTCATGAGAGCAGCATACTGTTCTGTTAGATTCACTACTGTGCCCGCCACAAAGGAGGTCCACAAAGGAGAAAGAGTAGAAAAGGAAGGAAAATAAATTTCTTCTAACATAAAAAAAGTGTTTCAGGAAGTATATCTTCAGGGCAACTTGAATCTATGATTCAGGTGGAAATTAATTTTTTAAAAATAAAAAATTTATAAACAAACAAAAACAGTGTTTTAGTATAACTTTCATTTGTCACTCACACACCTCTTCTGGCATACATCTGTTATTTGGTGAGGGAGGAAAGGGAGCAAGGGAGAAGGATGGTTATGACAGCAAGGGGAGGCAGAGGTGTCTTTTCAATGAAATTGAAATTGCTGCTTGGGTACATCTCTATCTAGTCCATAAAAAGAGATGATCTCGCCAGGCGCGGTGGCTCACGCTTATAGTCCCAGCACTTTGGGAGGCCGAGGCGGGCGGATCACCTGAGGTCGGGAGTTCGAGACCAGCCTGGCCAACATGGAGAAACCCCGTCTCCACTAAAACTACAAAATTAGCTGGGCGTGGTGGCACATGCCTATAATCCTAGCTACTAGGGAGGCTGAGGCAGGAGAATGGCTTGAACCTGGGAGGCGGAGGTTGCGGTGAGCCGAGATCGTGCCATTGCACTCCAGCCTGGGCAACAAGAGTGAAACTCCATCTCAAAAAAAAAAAAAAAAGAGAGAGATGATCTCTTATTGAACTATAAGGTCCCTGAGTGCAGGGCCTGTGTCTGTTGTGCTTACTGCTGTATCTCCAGTACCTAGCATAGCGCATGTTACATAGCAGACATTCATTCATTCATTATTTATTGATTTATTTTAGAGACAAGGTCTCACTATGTTGCCCAGGCTGGAGTGCAGCAGCTGTTCACAGGTGTGATCATCAATGTGCACTACAACTTCAACTCCTGAGCCCATGTGATCCTCTCTCCTCAGCCTTCCAGATAACCTTGCCAAGCTTTCAGAAATGAACATTTTTAAGGATCTCAATACACCTAACTGTGCTGTTTGAATGTATAATCCCCAAAGTAGCAACATTTGTACCAAATTTTAATGTAACAACACTGGGAATCATCCTTAAAAACAGAACAGGGCACATGCTTGTAATCCCAGCTACTACAGAGGCTGAGGTGGGAGGATCACCTGAAGCCAGGAGTTCAAGGCCAGCCTAGGCAAACATAGTGACACCCTATATCTAAAGAAATGTTATTAAAGTCTATTATTTTAATGTAGATTTCTTTGATAATTAATGAAGCTGATCTAATGAACTTTCCATTTCTTAGCAGGGACTCTTAGTTGGGACAGGTGCTGCCTAAAAGAGTCTTCATCAAGGCATGGAGCACTCTTGAAAATCCAGTAAAGACCAGATATCCTTTCTTACACCTCCCAAAACAGGCTATGTGTACCCTGAACACTGCACCTACTGCTTATACGAAAAATTTTCTTTTTCTGTGTCTATGTCCTTCACAAAACTGTTATCTCCTATCCTTAGCACATATGTCTGGCACACAGAACATATTCAAGAAAAGTTAGTTAAAATTAACGATATTACAAAGTGCCTACAACTAACTTAAAACTAGCAAGAGGATATAAACTTCAGAATTATGTAATCCACCCAATGATTTACAGTTTAGCACATTTCCTTGACTTTTAAGAAAATGTCAGTTTTCTTAAATCTGCAAAGGTTCCAGTCCTTGACGAAAAAAGGTGGAAACTACTAACTTGTCATAGTTATCAGTTTTTTTTTTTTTTTTTTTTTTTTTTTTTTTTTTTTTTGAGACGGAGTCTCGCTCTGTCGCCCAGGCCGGACTGCGGACTGCAGTGGCGCAATCTCGGCTCACTGCAAGCTCCGCTTCCCGGGTTCACGCCATTCTCCTGCCTCAGCCTCCCGAGTAGCTGGGACTACAGGCGCCCGCCACCGCGCCCGGCTAATTTTTTGTATTTTTTTTTAGTAGAGACGGGGTTTCACCTTGTTAGCCAGGATGGTCTCGATCTCCTGACCTCATGATCCACCCGCCTCGGCCTCCCAAAGTAGTTATCAGTTTTAAAGAGATTGCCACTGACCTAGGAAACTGATGAATCAGAACCCCAAAATATACTTCATAGCACAAATAACATAAATCTAGACACACACATAAGCAAACTCTTCTGTGAGCCACGTGAGGAATTCCAGAATGAAGCTGTGTGTCTGAACTGAGCTCCCACTCTCACCCATGGCCTTCTCCTGCTCTAGGAACTCAGCAACTCCACCACCCCCGTTCTTCTGGTTCCCCATCTATGCTGGCTAGCCGTGGGCTACTTGCCCTTGATCTATCCACAGGGAATGTTAAAAACATCAACGACTGAAATCCTATTTTAAAATTATGTTAATGTATCCCTAGAAACCAGAACAAGTATTTATTTTGTGCTTACGTGTATAGTATCCTTCACAAGCATAAAGTCTCAATCTCCCCTTAGTCCTTTGAGCTAGATACTAGTATTTCCATTTTACAGATGAAGAAATTGATGCTTGGAGAGTTTTAGTGACTTGTCCAAGGTCATACAGCTTATAGGTAGAGGGATACAAATCTAAAGAATCTGTTTCCAGAGTCTACATTCCTGACAAGGCATCACTGCCTCCAAACTGAGTTTCTGTGTTTTTCAGAAGTCAGAGTACAAAAACAATTTTTTTTTTTTTTGAGAGTCTCGTGCTGTCACCCGGGCTGGAGTCAGTGGCGCAATTTCGGCTCACTGCAACCTCCGCCTCCCAGGTTCAAGCAATTTTCCTGCCTCAGCATCCCGAGTAGCTGGGATTACAGGCGCCCACCACCACACCCAGCTAATTTTTTATATTTTTAGTAGAGACGGGGTTTCAATCATGTAGGCCAGGCTGGTCTCGAACTCCTGACCTCGTGATTCACCCACCTAGGCCTCCTAAAGTGCTGGGATTATAGGCGTGAGCCACCATGCCTGGCCAAAACAAACAATTTTTATAGACTTGAAATAATTTAACCTGGCATTCTGGTGGGGGGAAAAAACCTGATTTGTGTACAAGCAAAAATTATACTGTTACTAGTCCTGAAAAGAAATTCCACAGGATCTGTTCTACACTTCTTTGAGTAATGAGTACTTATTCACTAGCACCAGATTTATCAGGCACCACAATGGCAATGGATATGAAGAAGGCTGCTAAACATTTCTGTGTGCCAAGGAATTTGATCATCTCTTTAAGCCAGGCTAGATCAATCACACTTGAATATGAAAAGTCTTTTACTGCCAATTACTGTGAAACAAGAAAAACCTACAGGAGCAAAGCCACCCATGGACCCAGAACCGTCTCTCCACAGGTAACAAAGCTGCTAGCAACAAAGTGTGGACATCTCAAAAGTGCCCTCCTTTTCCAAACTCTCCTATTTTGATTCATTCATGTTTTAAAAATCTGGTGCCCTTGGATTAAATTTTCAGTGCAAAACAAAACCCCACTTCTGGAAACATCTGCTGTTGCCTGAGAGTTGCTTTCCTTCACCTCCCTTGCTTTCAGAGGCAGGCTAGGTTCCACGTTGCCACTGAAGGATAATCCCCCTGCATACTCCATGATCGCAGTGAATAAAAAATGTTTTCTGAGAGTGTTAAGCCATGAGGCCACAAAATGGATGAATAACTGGGCAGTCTCCAGTTACAAAAAATAAAATGAGGCTAATTCTTAAATGAAGTTATGACCAGCATGAATAAAGCCCACAAGATCCAAAAATGTCAATTTGGTCAGGGCTACTCTCACATTTAAATTCATCTTGGTTAACAACTGTTTGTCTTCAACAAACACTGAGCACCTGCTGTGAGGCAAACTCTGGTTGAGTATCATCATCATTTATGTTTCCAGCCCAGATTTCAGGCAGTAATGCTGATTATCTACAGGTAATTCCTGTTTAACTGAATGTATCCTGGTGGTCCTCGGTGGGAGTGGGTAGCGGAATGTACTAGAAACCATTTGGAAATGGAACTCCTTATTTTACAGTGGCAGGTTATTAGGAAGATGTGGTATGTCATCTGAAAAGTGTCCGAAGACCTGGGAACTCTTTGGAGGGTGAGGAGATGGTCACTGAAAAGGGTATGGACAAGAAAAGAACAAATGACTTCCTCGTATCAGTATTATAGATGGGGTAATTCCAGAATGTATGCGTATGGTGGTGAAAGGTGACTCAATAAGCTTCACCTGAAAGTCAAACCGGTGTTTCTCCCCTTTAAGTCCTTTAGTTGTAAATGTTACCAGCTGTGCAACATTGGATAACTTACCTAATCTCTGCCAGCCTCCGATGCAACAGATAAAAATAAAAACTAACACCTAGTTCATTATAAAAACTGAATGCGAATTTGACATGCATATAGTTACTGCACAGTGTCAAACAACAGTAACATTAGTAACTGACATTAATATAGGAAAAAAGGTAAGGAATACAATCTGGGGGTATAAATAATGTTGTCTCTGCTATAGGAAATCCATCCTCAGTACAAAAACAATCCCTTGATTCATCAGATGATCTGGGGTCATTACCTACCAGAGGGAGGTGGCAGGGAGTGGTGCTTTGGAATGTATGCCCTCAGCCACTTCTCATGTTTAACTGTTTCTTCCTCATTCTTCGTGCCTCAGACATATTGTTCAGCTCTTTTGTACTAAGATTAAATTAATGATCACTAGAAGATAGAGCTTTGTTAATTATATTGGTGTTCATGTACTTATTTTTAAAATAAGAACAATGCTCTTCATTTAAGAGCAGAAGACTTTCTTTAAAAGAAATCTCACAGCCCTCCAGCTTCACCAGGGAAATGTGATCTGCTCAAAAAAATCTACTTAACTTTATTAAACAAAACTGGCTAAGTACCTTGGGAGACTCTGACCTACACAATTCCCTTATCATTCATTCCACCGGCTGCAATGAACCTGCCAATTTACAACAAGCAGCTCCAGGTGTCCATGTACCTCAGTCCCCTGAATAGCCATATTTTATCTTCCTTTTACTCTCCATCTCTTTGCCTTCTAAAAATCACAAAGATTTAACCACAAGTTTAAGAACAACCATAACAAGGCCCAAATTTTAATTATGCAGGAGGTTAATAGTCACACTGTTGACTTTCCGGTAAGATAAACAGTGAAAACTTGGCAAATGCTAATGTAAATAACTCCCCCCTCCTGCCCTCTCATTCCTGAAAATTGTACTCATTCTTGCAGAGTTCATATATGAGAACAGGGTATCCTAACCTAGTTAGAAGCACTGAAATACCAAAAGAAAACTGCAAGAGTTTAGACTAACTGAGCTGCTTCTTTCTGGGGAATAGTAAGTAATTCTATCTCATGAGGATCACTGGTCTGGGATGAACAGATTACCTTCCAACACTAAAAGGTTGCCTGTCAGTCTGAAATCTTTTTTCAGTTGCAATGATGCAAAATCAAGGAAATCTGGGCATGAGGGTCAGCAGAAGGCTGGTTGGCTCTGGCATGACTTCAGATCTTTGGTGGGTAATCCAACACAGGAACCAAGGAGTTTCTGGGGTTTCTTCCCTCCCTAAAGCTTCAGAACATTTTAGAATGAAGGTGTCCAAGCCATCCCAGTGCAGGCAAGGTCCCCTACAAATCTAGAACCGACTGCTGGTTAAGTATTAAGAAGATGGTCATATAAAGTTTTTTTTTTAATTAGGGGACGGGAAATACCTTAATGTTCAAATCTAAGAGCTAGTTCAATAACTATAAAATGGTCCACTATTATAGCCACCGAAAATAGTAACGTAAAAGACCTGTCTATAAAGATGGAAAAAGTTGCATAAACAAGTGAAAAAATATATATATATAATACAAGCCCATACTTATACATACGGTTTGCATGAGGGATTGGTATAATGTTTTGGTAGGTAGATCTAGGTTTGAAGTCCCTGGTCACTTACCATCTATGTGACCTCGGGCAAATTTCCTCATCAAAAGAGGAGGAGGAGGAGGAATAGTAGTAGTAGTACCTATTCTCATAGGTTGTCATAATTGAAAAGATAAAGGGTTTAAGAAAACTTCCCATGAATGGCCA
The DNA here is from genome assembly GCF_000001405.40 of Homo sapiens. Classification (NCBI taxonomy): domain Eukaryota; kingdom Metazoa; phylum Chordata; class Mammalia; order Primates; family Hominidae; genus Homo; species Homo sapiens. The sequence goes on along the minus strand of NC_000008.11, from coordinate 30,530,756 downwards.
GGCGTGGTGGCTCACGCCTGTAATCCCAGCATTTTGGGAGGCCGAGGCAGGCGGATCACCTGAGGTCGGGAGTTCGAGACCAACCTGACCAACCTGGAGAAACCCCGTCTCTACTAAAAATACAAAATTAGCTGGGTGTGGTGGCACGTGCCTGTAATCCCAGCTACTCGAGAGGCTGAGGCAGAAGAATCGTTTGAACCCAGGAAGCGGATGGTGCAGTGAGCTGAGATCGCACCACTGCACTCCAGCCTGGGCAACAAGAGCGAAACTCCATCTCAAAAAAGAAAAGAAAAAAAGAAAACTTCCCATGACAGAACACATATTCAACCGTGTTGTTGTGATTACCTGTCTGGATAGTGGAGACTGAGAAACCCAGAGTCTGAGAAGTTAAATAACTTGACCCACGTCCCACAACTAATGTGATAGACTTGTATTTCAAAACTCAGGTCAGCCTCACTCTCAATACTGAGGCTACCAGTTCTCTGCAACATGGTGTGATGCCCAAGCTTGAAATCAGGAGATCTCATCCTGGGGTGGTTCTCAGCTTGTGTTGTAATATACATTCCAGTTAAAACTTGGGCTCTGTACAATAGGCAAATGGTGGAAACAACTCAAGTGTCCATCAACAAATGAATGGATAAACCAGATGTACTATATCCATACAATGGGTCATCATTCAGCCACAAAAAGGGATGAAGTTCTGGCCGGGTGCGGTGGCTCACGCCTGTAATCCCAGCACTTTGGGAGGCCGAGGTGGGCGGATTACCTGAGGTCAGGAGTTCGAGATCAACCTGGGCAACACGGTGAAACCCTGTCTCTAGTAAAAAAATACAAAATTGGCCAGGCGTGGTGACACATGCCTGCAATCCCAGCTATTCGGGAGACTGAGGCAGCAGAATCGCTTGAACCTGGAAAGCAAAGGATGCGGTGAGCCGAGATCATGCCATTGCACTCCAGCCTGGGCAACAAGAGTAAATCTCCATCTCACCAAAAAAAAAAAAAAAGGATGAAGTTCTAATATATGCTACAACATGGATGAACCTTGATGACATTACGCTAAGGGAAAGAAGCCAGACACAAAAGGACAAATATTGTATGACTCCACTTATATGATGTCTCTAGAGGAGGCAAATTAACAGAGACAGAAAGAAAGTAGATTTTCAGCTACCAGGTGACAAGGAAAGGAGGGAATGGGGAGTTACAGCTTAATGGTTAGAGTTGTTTTTTTGTTTTGTTTTGTCTTTTCTTTTTTTTTAGGTGGAGTTTTGCTCTTGTTGCTCAGGCTGGAGTGCAATGGCACCATCTCAGCTCACTGCAACCTCCGCCTCCCAGGTTCAAGCGATTCTCCTGCCTCAGTCTCCCGAGTAGCTGGGATTACAGGCATGCAGTTAGAGTTTTTAAGGTGATGAAAAAGTTTTGGAAATAGATAGTGGTGATGGATGCAAAACACTGTGAATATAATTGATGTCACTGAATTGTACACTAAAAAAAATGGCAGGTTTATGTCATATATATTTTACCACAATTTTTTTTTTTTCCTTGAGACAGAATCTCGCTGTTGCCCAGGCTGGATGCAGTGGCGCAATCTTGGCTCATTGTGACCTCTGCCTCCTGGGTTCCAGCGATTTTCCCGCTCAGCCTCCTGAGTAGTTGGGACCACAGGGGCATGCCACCACACTTGGCTAATTTTTAATTTTTTTTTGGTAGAGACGTGGGCTTTACCATGTTAGCCAGGCTGGTCTCGAACTCCTAACCTCAAGTGATCCACCCACCTCGGCCCCCAAAAGCGCTGGGATTACAGGCATGAGCCACTGTGCTGGGCCTACCACAATTTTTAAAAATTAATAACATACCAAAAAAAAATACTGAGTTGTATGCTTTAAATTGTATGGTATGTGAATTACAGCTCAATAACGCTGCTAAAACAAACCAAAAAACAAACCAAAAAACCCCCACCTTGGGGTCTGTGACCTGACAGACTTGGCTTAAAACCTCAGATGAGCAGCTTACCAAATGTGACCATGGGCACATTTAAAAAACTCTGAGCTTAATTCCTTCTTTGTAAAATGAGGATAATGACTATATTTATGTAACAGGGTGTTGTGAAGATTGAATGAGATAATGAATATAACGTGTTTAACAGAAATGTCTTGAATGAGTAACAGCTGCTATCATCCTCATTATTGAATTTCTCATTCCTAAAGATGCCCAAAGGTCAAACATGCACTATCTAATGACCTCAGGTTTCACCAGTTCCCAGAACTATGTTAAGACCTAATGACCCACCATGGTCACAGGTATGTCCCGGCTCCCCATCTGGAGCCCATAAGGCAAACATACTTGCAGGAGTTTCCCCCATCCTACATGTCCTGTCCACCCACCCCTCTTTCTCCAGTCTCTGTACCAGTAAAATTTCAGGGCTGATCAGACAAGGGATAGAAAAGACAGGGAACCAAATCCTATTGCAGAGACTGCTTGAGCACCTTAGTACCTCTCCGAAAGCAATGTGACATCCCCCACACACACAATCCACCACTAAACAAGGATTACCATTTTAAACCTATCTTTTTTTTTTTTTTTTGGAATAAAGTTTCGCTCTTGTTGCCCAGGCTGGAGCGCAATGGCGCGATCTCGGCTCACTGCAACCTCTGCCTCCCGGGTTCAAGCGATTCTCCTGCCTCAGCCTCTTGAGTAGCTGGGATTACAGGCGCCCGCCACCACGCCCGGCTAATTTTTGTATATTAGTAGAGACGGGGTTTCACCATGTTGACCAGGCTGGTCTTGAACTTCTGACCTCAGGTGATCCACCCGCCTTGGCTTCCCGAAGTGCTGGGACTACAGGCGTGAGCCACCATGCCTGGCCCATTTTAAACCTATCTTTAAGGATATTATAACCATGGAGAAAGTGAAACAAGAAAAGGGACTGCTGACTGTAATCTCTCAACATATGTCTCATTCTCCATCTCTTCTCAAGAGCTAAACCTACCCAGCTTCTCCATCCTTTTCTCACAGACACTCCTCTTTCCAATCTTTCATTTTTTTCATGCTGGATCCCCTCCAAGTTTTCCTTTTCTCACACTGTGCTGAGGCCCAGCACAGGATGCTGGGGCTGGGAATAGTCTGGTAAATGGATCATGAAGCCCACAGCACACACAGTGTGGGGCTTGGATGGTAAATTATGAAAAGACTGGGCTGTGTATGTAACCAACGGTTGTAGGCCAGCTAGTGGGTGACGAGATGGTAGTTACAAATGTCTCAGAGGGAATAGAAACTGTTGGAAGAGTTGTCTCTGGATCTTCAAAGAGAATTTATGAAAAGAGATGAGAATGCAAAATTTAATTCAGAGACCTGGGGAGCTGGCAGTTGAGGAAAGAACAAACTCCACCCAGAGTGAGGCTGGGAGACCCCAGAAAAGGTTTCCCAGGGTAGCTGTGTGATTAGGGACGAGAGGAAGGCCTGGGGTGTGGATGCTCACACCAGCTTCCAGGGCCATTTCATCTGTTAATTCCTCTGATCCTGCTACAAATATAGAATGAGTAGCGTGTCTGAGGGTTTACAGTAACTCACTTCAAGGTTTTGCCAGAAAGTGATTTTTCTCAGGATGTATTTACTTCCCACAACAGAGTATCTTTAGATGAGAATCAGGTCCAAAGGGGCAAATGGTGCTGGAAATAAATAGAGGTGGAGAGAGAACTGGGAAAGTTTTGTAAGTATGTATCAGAAGAACAGGCTAGCATGCCCTTTTTAGGATGGAGCTACAGAGCGCTATCTGAATCATCACCCTGGCACTTTTGGTGATGCATTTTTAATCATTCTCTTAATTTTTTTAGATGAGAAAATACCTAAGACAAAGCCACATCTCCTTTAAAATCTGTTGCTGAGTTCTTTCTGATAATGTAATTCTCCTTCTTCCAGATCTGCAATACCTCCCAATACCTTTTGAATTAAAGAAAACTATTAACTGTAATCTAGCATTCCCATTTCCTTCTTCCTTCTTCCCAAATTTATTGCACACCATCAACTCACCCCTAGCTTGGTAAAATTAGTTATGATTTCCTGAATGAAGTCAGTCTTGCCATTAAATTTTCAAATCTGTTCTTCCTTTTGACTGGAATGTAATTCATCTAAATCAAGGGGTAGCCACATACGTTCAGAATTGCTTTTCTCCAGGCTGTGTGTGCTTCAAGAAGCAACCTGAGGGCTTCCCAGCCTTCAGTAAAATAAAATTGCGGTTAGAAAATTTATCTCAGTGGATTGTTTTCACTTTGGGGAACTTGCCTTCCACCAATGGTCCTACATAAATGTAGTCAGTATCAATGCCGCAGCCTGAATAAACACAGCTCTACAGCAGTAACCAACACGGTAGAGCAATTAACCTACATTTGGAGAGCCAGGCAAGCTTTATGAAGAAAGAGATGGTTAAGGTGACTTCTGAAGGACAAGCAGCTAATTTGTAAAGGGATTAAATTTATGGCCAGAAATTGGGCTCTCTAAGCAAAAAGCCTGAAGGCAAAGCGAATACATGATGGACTCTGTTTGGACTCCCAGAGCTGAGTATTGTTGGAGCATGGCTTTGAAGGAGACCTTATGGCTGGGAATCTGGGGATAAGGAGTTGGGGCGCAGATCATGAAGGGCCTGCACACCGTGCTAAAGAGTTGGACTCTACAAAGTAGGAAGTGAAGCTCTTCTCATTTCACTATGGGGATCCCCCATCTATCAGAAATGGCTTTTCATCAAAAGGACATCTGTTACCATAACTGCTACTAATCTGGGATTTAAGTGCATCAAATATTTTCAAATAAATCAATACATTTCTCATGAGTGGCAAGGAATTCTTTCACACACTGTATAACTATTCAGAGGAGAATTCAAGAGAAGCAGCTTAGGGCTGGGAAGCCTCAGAGTAATTGGTCAGGGCTAGGAAGGCCAGCTGGAGGAGCTGCAACCTGCAGAGAGCTCTACAGCATGGGTCCTGACACCCGCCACCTACCTGGCCTAGGGCTGTGCCACATCAAATGCCTTTCTCTGTACTAGAGTCACCTACCTACGTTCCCCCGCAAGCAGCTTCCAATCTCCTGACCTAAAACGTCATTACTGATTCACTGAAAGGAGTAAGTAACACAATTCCTTGCAGAAACTGCAAAAAAATGTTCTTATGGTTCTATTTCAGTATAAAGTCTCACTTTTATCTGATGGTTTGTTTTATGGCTTCTGAATTTTAGATGACTTCAGAGAGGAAGCCAGTGAACTTTGAAAGGATATCATTTACATGTGTTTGCCATATCAGGTAGCACTTAACATATATAAATAGGGAGTTGTGGGTAAGAAAAACAAAGATTTCTAAAGTTTCTACAGGATTACTGTAGATTCTTTTTATTGCGGAGGAGGAGGAAGGAGAAGGGTCAAGTGGAAAAATGATTATATGATTTAAAATATTTGTTAAAAGAATCACATAGTTTCCTGTTTGCATATCTCTTTTGGCATTTGTTGATATCTGTGTCTAGGTCTTGAGAGAGGCCAGTATATTTTAGACTTTTAAAAGTTAACTTGGATTTGAACTAGGAAGTAGGAGACTGCTAATTCCTAAATTTAACTTCTACTAAAAATTATGACATTAAAAACTTTGCTAATCTTTAACTATTTACCAGAAATCAAGTTAAATTGCTATTTTAGGAGAACTTAAGTTTGAGAAACATTTACAATAAAATGATTTTTGAAATAACTTTTAATGACACATCAAACACATCTAGATTAAATTTTTTCATAAATATATCCACTGATAAAGTGCTAGCAAAAATGGTATGATAGACTAAACTTGGAATATTCCAATAGGATCCCAGCTTTGGTACTTTTTATAAATAGTACTAATAATGGTCTTTAAAGGGCTACGAAAAAGTAGTTTTACTGATAAAGTTTGAAATTAAGTTTCTAAAGTTATTAATGTGATCAAATGCTTATTTTGAAAAATACAAAAGGTTAGGGAATGAATTAGTAGATCTAAGTAATGATTATCAATGGCTGGATAGTTTTAAGCACTAGAGAATCAGTATGAGAGAAGAAAGTGCAGAATGTTCTGGAAATCACATTTGGGTCTTTAACCCTCCTATGTTAACTGCTTAGTTCCCTTCTTTTCATCTCACCTTGCCCTACTTATATCTGCCTTTCTATAATTTTTCAAAAAATGAAGAGGGGTAATAACCTGGGACTGTAGTGGAAGGAGAGAAGAAAATTGGTGTTATGTCTGAGATTAAGGCAAAATTTACATATATAGACCTGAGTATTGTACTGAATAGCTGTGTAATCTTGGGGAAAACTACATATCTCCTTAAGCATCAGTTACCTATAAAATAAGAAAATAAAAATTTGGATATTCTGGTACATGGCTGTTGGCTGTGTACATTGGTATAATCTTCATACAGCACTGTTTGGCAAATTATTATAAAATATTTTTTAATTTAATGAAATACATTAACATAACCAAAAGACAATAAACAAACATAAAAAGGAATGGGCAATTGGTAGATCCTGATAATCAATGGCTGTAAACATCACAAAATGAGAGACCACTAATCCTTATGTGCCTCTTGATTGAAGTACACACTACCAGGTATTCTTGCAAGATAAAAAATATATATAAAAGATAACTTGCAGATAATTTAGAAACAGAATCATGCTAAACAAAATCACAGAGATACTCTAAGAAATTACAGGACAAACAATCTGGGTTCCACAACAAATAAACTGCAAGCAAGAACATGAGAGAGAATGAGAGGGAACATATTGAATGTTGATTCAAACAACTTAAAACAATAAAACATTATGCTAAAAATCCTTCAATTTTTAGATATGTTTGAAATTTTCCATAACAAAAAGTTAAAGGAAAAATGAGTAGACCATCATTAAAAATGGTAACACTGGAAAGCAAGATAATCCACTTATAAAGTCTCTTTTCTTGTCTAGCCACTTGGTTATTTGATTACTAACCCACTCAGCAGAAATTAACATGCTAATGCAGTTATGAGAACACAAAATGTGTCTATATTAAGTATAATGCAATTTATGGACTTTGCAAGAGCCCAGAAATCAAGAAAAGAAAAAGCATCAAGGTTAGATTTATCTTTACAGTTACAATTTTGAGGAATTCTTCCCCTGTCATGTGCTCACCCTAAAGCCCTGGCACACTAGATTTCTAGAGGAATCTTACTCAAATGATACTCCAAATGAAGCTGCTTAAGCCTTGGACTGTATTTGCAACATGCCATTATGTAGTACTCAACACATTTTAAAGTATATTATCTCATTGTATTCCTACTATTACAGCTCAGTGAGGTAAAACAAAACAGGAAATTCATCATCATTATTACTTTTTTTTTTTTTTTGAGACACAGTTTCACTCTCTTGCCCAGGCTGGAATGCAGTGGTACGATCTCAGCTCACTGCAACCTCCGCCTCTCGGGTTCAAGCAATTCTCGTGCCTCAGCCTCCCAAGCAGCAAGGATCACAGGCACGCACCACCATGCCTGGCTAATTTTTGTATTTTTAGTAGAGATGGGGTTTTGCCATGTTGGGCAGGCTGGTCTCAAACTCCTGACCTCAAGTGATCTGCCTGCCTCAGCCTCCCAAAGTGCTGGGATTACAGCGTGAAGCACTGCAGCCAGCCTAATTCATCATTATTTTAAAGAGAAACCATCAGCTGTGGAGATGCTCATATTATTAATTTTGAGGGATAGGAAAACAGAGAACAGAATCACCAGCTTCTCCTTCAACCAATGAGGAAAGTATCCACCTGAAAGCAAACTACACTAGTCAAGAAAGCATTATTCTTCTTATATAGACCTATCAATAAGGAAAAGAAGAAATGGACAAATAACTGGAAAATACCATTCTCAAATTAAATGGTTAATAAGTATATGACAAAAAACTTTATTAATAAACTACTAAAATGTCATGCCATTTTTGCCTGTCAGAAACATAAGTATTTATTTTTTAAAAATCACCTAATTGAGAAATGACTGATATACAAAGAGCTATACATAGTTAATGTCTACAACTTCATGAGTTTGGAGATAAGTATATACCTATGAAACTCTCACTACAATCAATATCATAAATATATCCATCATTTCCAAAAGTTTCCTCCTATCCTTTTTAAAAATTATATAAAAATTGACATATATTGTTTAAATTGGCAAATTAAAAATGGTATATATTTATGGTGTACAACATTACATGTGTGTGTCTGTGTTTTGAGAAAGGGTCTTGGTGCGTTGCCCAGGCTGCAGTGCAGTGGCTCCATCATGGCTTACTGCAGTCTTGACCTCCTGGGCTCAAGCAATCTGCCCACCTTGGCGTCTCCAAATGTTGAGATCACTGGCATGATCCCCTCCACCCAGCCACATGGTTTGTTGTTGTTGTTGTTGTTGTTGTTGTTTTGAGGTGGAGTTTCTTTCTTGTTGCCCAGGCTGGATTTTTTTTTTTTTTTTAAATAGAGATGGGGTCTCACTATGTTGCCCAAGCTGGACTAGAACTCCTAGGCTCCAGGGATCTTCCTAACTCAACCTCCCAAGTAGCTGTGACTATAGGCCTGTGCCACTGGCCCTGACTCAATGTGACGTTTGGAATACGTGTACACTGTGGAATGGTTAAATCAAGTTAATTAACATAAGCATTACTTCACACACTTAGGTTTTTCTGATAAGAACACTTAAAATCTACTCTCTTAGCAATTTTCAAATATACAATACATTGTTATTAACTACAGTCACCATAATGTACAATAGATCTCTTGAGCTTATTTCTCCTAACTGAAAATTTGTTTCTTTTGACCGACATTTCTCCAATCCCCCCATTCTATCTTCTTTATTTATTATGATTTTGGAGGATGTGGTAAGAACACAACCTAAGATTTACCCTCTTAACAAATATCTGTACTCCCATGTTCACTGTAACATTATTTACAAAAGACAAGACATGGAAGCAATCTAAATGGCAAATGACAATGAAAATGTGGTGTATACATGAATTGGAATATTACCCAGCCTAAAAAAAGGGGGGTAGAGGAGAGGATCCTACCGTTTGCAACAACATGGATGAACATGGAGGACATTATGCCCACATGATACTCATATAATTTAGGTTACTCACAATTATATGAGTAATCTAAAATAATTTTATACGATAATAACCCTAACTGAGGGAGAGAAGCAGGGAAATAAGCATTCCCATACCAAGAGCCTACTACGTTTCAATCTTTCTGCCAGGCACCATCTTTGTTGACAAAGTTCATCTATTCTTCATAAACGTACAACGAAAAAGTCAACTAAATTCAACCTCAGATTCAAGTGTGTCCCGTCCTTTTGGGGAAAACGTCAATAAACCCAAACCAATCATGACAGAACCATACTGTCTTGGTCCTAGAAAGCCACTAAATATTCAACAGTATTAAGAAACAACTAAAGGGCTTATTCAAACAAAGAGAAAATGTTAAACAAACCCACCCATATCACTGTCTTCCTGTCTATACATTCCATTTCAGGGACCAAGGTCAGGTGTTAAAACAAGCAGAGAAGACATGTTCCAGGAATGCTCCATCAATGGCACACTACTATAAAGCTAACATTTTGAACTAATCTAAATATTTAACTTTCTGCCCCTTCTGCTTATTTTAAAGCATCTAGTCAATATCAGTGCTCAGTCTGTTTTATGTTTATCTTACGTGCAAAGACACACTTTTTACAAGATAAATTTCTTTTCTTGTTGATGAACATTCTGGCTATTACATGTCCCACCTTTCCACTTTTAGCTTAATTTCATGTTCTGCTGACAAAGCCTTACAATTGGGAAGAAAATAACAACGTATAGCCACTAGTAATCCCAGTGTTCTACTGTAGTTCCTAATCAAAGAATCTTAGTAATTAAAAAAAAAAAATCTATTTCCTTTCTAAAAATTTTATTCTCACAAAGCTGTAAAAGTGGGTTTTTCTGTGGATGTTCATCTCACTATGTTGCCCAGGCTAGACTAGAACTCCTAGGCTCCAGGGATCTTCCTACCTCAACCTCCTTTTCTGTGGATAAAGGAGTTGCTTTAACCAGATAAATAGCCAAAGAAATGCATTATACTCTAACAGTGATAGGTCGTATTGGGCACCTAGGGAAGCACCTCTAATGGTTCTGAACCATTAGGAAGTGAGACTCCATCATTCCTACAAATGATGGACATTCCAAAACAAGGTCCACTGAGGCAGTCCTGGTGTTTCCTTCTATCAAAAAGATACTGTCCCTTCCCTGCCCCTGAGCATCAGAAAGAATAATGACTGCGGTATACTGAAACCCCTGAAAATATACTAAAAAACACGAGTTCACGATGATACTCAAAAGTAGGGAAAGGGGAAACAATAACAACAACGATGCAACAAACAACCCCCCACAAAACAGTGATCACCAATGGAGATTACCAGGCACCAATGTCTTAGGCGGAAAATTTGCACTGAAAGGAAAAGAATTAAGCATTTGTCCTGCTTTTTTGGATGACCTGTATTTCAGGGTAAACAACCAATTAGAAAAATCAACATTTTTCAGTCACTAATGAAGTAATGAGGAAAAGATCAATACATGAAGTCGTTAAAATGAAGGTGATAGGGACCTTACAATGTAGGCTTGAATCCACAAACCCCTCTTAGTTTACACCAAGCATGGAATAGCCCCCAAATTACTTATTTTATAAAGGGATGTCATATAAAGTACACAGTATGGCCTATGATGTATTCATACCCAGAAATGGCAAGGCTGAATTTAACCAAACCTTGCAAATCTCATCAAGCTTTTATATTTACAGTAAATAGAGGGGACACAAGAACAAGCAAAAGGACACCTAAAAGAAGAAAACAGACAAACCCAGGAGAATCTTTTCCCAGGAAGGCTGGCACTTTTTTCAATAATCCAATGGCATAAAAAAGAGAGATCCGGCCAGGCGCGGTGGCTCACGCCTGTAATCCCAGCACTTTGGGAGGCCGAGGTGGGCAGATCACGAGGTCAGGAGATCGAGACAATAGTCTCTCTATTAAACTCCATCTCTACTAAAAATACAAAAAATAAAAATAAAAATATTAGCCGGGCGCAGTGGTGGGCGCCTATAGTCCCAGTTACTCAGGAGGCTGAGGCAGGAGAATGGCATGAACCTGGAAGGCGGAGCTTGCAGTGAGCCGAGATCGCACCACTGCACTCCAGCCTGGGCAACACAGTGAGACTCCGTCTCCAAAAAAAAAAAAAAAAAAAAAAAAAAAAAAAAAAAAAAAAAAGAGAGAGATCCTCCCACGTAGGGTGAGAGAAAGTGCTCTAGATTAAAAGGCACTTAAAAGACATAACTAATGCAATATATGGACTGACCAATTCAATTGTAAAAAGACAACTGAGGAGGAGGAGAAAGAAGCAATCAAAAAGTTGTGGCTAAATCTTGGTAACTGTTAAACATGAATGATTCGTTTTTGGGATTGGTCATACTATTCTTTCTATATTTTGGTATATTTACCAGTATGAGAGGGAAAGAGAGAATTAGACACATACCCTCCAAGCAGATAAAACCCAAGCCATGGAAAACACCAATCTCTTCTGTATTGTGGCTTTAAAAACTGGTTTCTTTGTAAACCTGCCAAGAAGATACTGATTCCATGAGACAGGAGTCCTAAGATGTTTGTGATTTAACAGGGAAACGTTCATTAGCAGTGTTTCTTTTGCAAACATGCCCCTCCTTCTTCCTCAAAGTCACAAGGGAGAGACTTTTTAATAAAATTTTTCCTTTCCAACTAAATTCAGGCTTTTGGGTGGAGGACACTAGCAATATCACCTGAAAAACATCATTTTCCTGCTCAGGGTGTGAGGTGTAATCAGCATTCCACTTACTCTCTGCTCCATCTATCAAGTGTAGGTCATACTGGCTTACACTGAGGTCAGGAGGGGTTAACGATAATGTATGCATGTGCCTGTATTTGGCATGTGGTGGGGGTTCAATTAAATGACAGCTAAAAATCATACTCCTTTTCAGAAAAAAAAAAAAAAAAAAAAAAAAAAAAGTCATGCTTGGCCGGGCGGATCACTGGAGGTCAGGAGTTCAAGACCAGCCTGGCCAACATGGTGAAACCCCATCTCTACTAAAAATACAAAAAAAATAGCTGGGCGTGGTGACGCACAACTGTAATCCCAGCTACTCGGGAGGCTGAGGCATTAGAAGCACTTGAACCCAGGAGGTGGAGGTTGCAGTGAGCTGAGATCATGCCACTGCACTCCAGCCTAAGAGACAGAGCAAGACTCTGTCTCTAAATAAATAAATAAATAAATAACCAATGAATGAATGAATGAAAAAGTCATACTCCTAGCTAACTGCCTACAACCTCGAGGTCCTGGATTCTACCACAACCACGGGGGAATGGAAAAACATCAGATGAAATTGCAACTCAGCCAACACACTTATTTCAGCCATGTGGGACCATAAGCAGGATCCAGTTAACCTGTGCCTGGAATTCTGCCCTACAGAATGTGTAACATAGTAAATGTAAGTCGTTTTAAACAAAACAAAGAAAAAACACAAGAAACGTCTCCATACTCCTTTATCAGAGTTTGCCTATTCCATACATGCTACTTCTGAGACGACTAAAGCAGCATGCTGGTAAGATGTGTTCTGTGAATCCTGAAAAGTTTCCTCCTATTCACAGAACAAATGGTATCTAGATTTCCTAAATGCGGCACAATATCCCTGCCCAGTGCTGCTGCTTTCTGTTTCCTTCTGGGCATCTCTTCAGCTGCACTGGATCATGAGCTCCAGCTCTTTTGTGATTTCTTTCTCCCTACACTTTCAGTTTTTGATCCTCACACTGGACACCCCTTCAGTCTGTCGATCTGTTTCCACAATTTCTACTTAACTGAAATCTTTCTCATGTTCAGCTAAAAGCGGAAGACCACCAGGTCTTTCCCATACACTGAATAATGATTGGCTTCATCAGTTGCACAAGCATTGTCTATAACTTCAACTGAACACTTGCTCTACCTTACACACGGCAGCTCCTTACAGGCCTGTTTCCTCTACTATGTGTAAACACTCCAAGAGCAGAACTGTACCTTATTCAGCTTTTTAATCTCTCACCTCCCCTCAAATGTTTGCTAAACTCAAGTGAGAAAATTAGAACAGGAACTCACCATAATTTCCTGCACAGAACTGTTAATGTTTGACCAGTTTGATCTCCTTGACCTTCTGAGGGCTATTTAATTAAAAGACAGAAAGACACCCCTCCACCTTCAGCCACTAATTAAACTATTTTGTTTAAGTAGAGATACTGCTGCTCCTCCACTGTATCTCAGTATAGCTAGGGTCCTAGTGGCTACACGAAGCACAGAATGAAAAGAAGGATAAGGGACCTGAGTTTGCACAGATTACATTATACTTACCCAGAGATTTAACTCTCTAAGCGACCATCATTTCTGCCAATGTTTTCCAAAATGAAAAGAGCTTTGGTTACATGGTATTTCACACACACACACACACACACACACACACACACACACACACACACACACGGGGTCTTGGCCTATATATCTATTGATAAACAAAAAAAATAAGGTCTAGAGCTGAGAATGAAAGCAGGTATCAGAGCAGGATGTAATGTCAAATCCCATTCATACAATATCTATGTGTATATCTGTATAGCTATTCATCCAAAATGTTAAAATACTTATCTCTGGGTGGGTAACATAATTTTCAGCATTCAATTTTTAAAACATACAGATTGAAATAAGTTATATTATTAAAAAAATCAATTCACATGAGGAAAACTCATGTGTGTCTGTGTGTGTGTGTGTGTGTATTTAGAGATGGAGTCAAGCTATGTTGGCCAGGCTGGAGTGCAGTGACCATTCACAGACAAGATACACTATAGCCTTAGATTCCCGGGCTCAACTCCTTCTCTTGCTTTAGCCTCCTGAGTAGCTGGGACTACAGGCGTATGCCACTATACCTGGTTTTATATACACGTATTATAAAAACTATGTTTTTGGAATGCCTTAAATCTTTGTATTTAAAAAATTTTATAAATGCCTTACATCTTTGTATTAAAAAATTTTTGTTTAATTTCCACATTTCTTGAAATAAGCTTGTACCACATTTGGAACTGGTATTGTGGTGGGAGAGAATTGGGCATTTGTGAAAGATACTTGGGTAGAGTCTCCCAAGGAGGTACTATATGAACGGCTGGTATGTTATCCAGCTCATCATACAACCAGTTACTCGTGGGCTAGTCACTACAGAATACACAGCAGAAATAAAAGACCCATTTTAAAGGAGAGGCTGACACAAAAGCTTGCAGGTGTTTTTTCTTTTTTGAGATACAGTTTCACTCACTCTGTCCCCCAGGCTGGAGTACAGTGGCACGATCTCAGCTCACTGCAACCTCTCCCTCCTGGGTTCAGGCAATTCTCCTGCCTCAGCTTCCTGAGGAGCTGGAATTACAGGTGCCCCACCCTCCACCACAGCCGGCTAATTTTTGTATTCTTAGTAATGATTGGGTTTCACCATATTGGCCAGGCTGGTCTTGAACTACTGACCTCAAGTAATCCGCCCTCCTCGGCCTCCCAAAGTGCTGCAATTACAGGCGTGAGCCACTGTGCCTGGCCAAAAAATGTTAATTTTAAATTATTAGGACCAGAAGTTTTTAAACTTTGGTTTTAGGACACCTTTACACACGTAAAAACGATCAAGCCTAAAAGAACTTTTGTGTGGTTTTGTACCATGTTATAAACTTTTGAAGTTAAAAAAGGTAAGGGGCCAGGTACGGTGCCTAAGGCCTATAATGGCAATACTTTGGGAGGCTGAGGTGGGAGGATTGCTTGAGCTCAAGACCAGCCTGGGCAACAAAGCGAGGCCCCATCTCTACAAAAAAATTAGAAAATTAGACAGGCAAGGTGGTGCGTGCCTGTAGTACCAGCTACTCAGGAGGCTGAGGCAGGAGGATCACTTAAGCTCAGGAGCTGGAGGCTGCAGTGAGCTGTGATGGCATCACTGCACTCTAGCCTGAAGAACAAAGTAAGACCCCCATCTCTTAAAAAAGAAAAAAAGTTTATTAATTCATGTTTTTTAAAATATTTTAGTGAAATCTACATATTTAGAAAAAAAGATAAAACTTTAGATCTACATATTTGCAAATCTCTTTAGTATCTAGTTTAATAGAAGACAACTGGTTTCTTATACCTGCTTCAAATTAAATCTATTGTAACATATTGTATTGGCTGTAGTATATGAAAAAAATATGGTCTCACAGAGACATGCATCTAGCTGGTCAAAGGAGTAATATTTCAATACCCTTTACAGGTAACTGGATATTCTTCTCTGCTATTACACCAACACTTATTAAGGGGTGGTTATTAAAGATGTCTTGGATTATGGAATCTGAAACCTTATCAATGAGCTTTCCTATTATGTTCCATTAAAATCCATTGTCCTGGCCTGGTGTGGTGGCTCACACCTGCTATCCCAGCACTTTGGGAGGCTAAGGCAGGAGGATGGCTTGACACCAGGAGCTTGATACCAGCCTGGGCAACAAAGCAAGACCCCATCTGTACAAAATGTTTAAAAATTAGCTGGGTCTGGAGGCACACACCTGTAGTCCCAGCTACTCTGGAGGCTGAGGAGAGAGGATCGTTTGACCCTGGGAGGAGTTTGAGGCTATGATCGAACCACTGGCAACAGAGTGAGACATGGTCTCTAATAAAAAGTAAAAACTAAAAAAGATTTTTAAAAATCCATTGTTCCATTTCATACAGACCTTTACCCATGCATGATTTTGGAATATAATACATTGGTCATTTGGAAGATAATGGTTCAATGAGTTATGTGGATCTTCTAAATGTTGACCCATTTCATTAGGCAATTTAAAAATTCATTAATATGGCTGGGAGTGGTGGCTCACACCTATAATCCCAGCACTATGGGAGGCCAAGGTGGGTGGATCACTTGAGGTCAGGAGTTTGAGACCAGCGTGGCCAACATGGGGAAACCCCGCCTCTACATTAAAAAAAAAAAAAAAAAAAAAAAGCCCGGCATGGTGGCTCGCACCCGTAGTCCCAGCTACTGGGAAAGCTGAGATGGAGGTTGCAGTGAGCCGATCAAGCCACTGAACTCTAGCCTGGGTGACAGAGTGACACTCAATCTCAATTAAAAAAAAAATTCATTAACATCACCACCAATCTGTTGGGAAACTGTCAAAATCATGGTGGTCAAGTTTTCAAAAATTCTAATTTTTGCCTTAAACCTAAAATTTTATTATTTGGAACAAAAACTGTCATTTTCCGTGAAGTGACAGGCACATCTCACAATTTTTCAAGAAAAAGCCAAAATCCAACTCTGAATAACCATAGTTTATGAGTGTCAAGTAAAAATGGATTAAAGGAAGCAGCCATTTACTTCATACCTTAAAAGAACTACAGAACAGCTTTATGTACACTCCCCATTCTGTCACAATCATAAAACGACTTGCACTGAAGAGCTGAGGTTAAATAACGTTAATTTTTACCTGTTTATCAAAAACATTCTTAGGCAAAATTGGCTTTTTTCTTAACAAAGTGTGCAGGAGTGAGGATGCACACTTTACTGCTGCACACTTTTTACTAATGCTCACATTGGTAAATGATTACTAATGTATTTTGGTGCCACTGTCTTGATATGTATTAAGGTGCCAGTAGTTATGTCCACTACTACACATGAGAAAAGCAAACTATTTTTGTGAAAATAATATAGGCCTCATGTACTCCCTTAAGGAATCTCAGAGACCAACCAGGGGTGCGTGGACCATGCTTTTGAGAACTGCCATACTGTAAAAGAAAAGATAGCTCTTTATTTGAGGATTACAAAAGGGAAGTAAAAGGGAGCCTGCATCAACAATGTAAGAAACACCTTCCTTCACAATGAGCAAGTGAGGTGAGAAATGGTCATCAAATAATTAAGCTTGTATTTCTTTTGGATTGTCCCAGTAAATCAACTCCCTTTACTCTTTCATCTCTAAGAATATAATGAATAATTTGAGTTCATAAAACAAAAGTTGGGGCAATTATTTGCATTACAATAGAAATATGTGATATCCAAGGAGATTCGAGTCCCTGATTTTTTTTTTTTTTTTTTTTTTTTTTTTGAGATGGAGTCTCGCTGTGTCGCCCAGGCTGGAGTGCAGTGGTGAAATCTCGGCTCACTGCAAGCTCTGCCTCTGGGTTTACACCATTCTCCTGCCTCAGCCTCCCGAGTAGCTGGGACCACAGGCGCCTGCCACCACTCCCGGCTAATTTTTTGTATTTTTAGTAGAGACAGGGTTTCACCGTGTTAGCCAGGATGGTCTCAATCTCCTGACCTCATGATCCACCTGCCTCGGCCTCCCAAAGTGCTGGATTTCAGGTGTGAGCTACCGTGCCTGGCACCTGAGTTCCTGTTATTTGTTTACAGCTGTTCAATGATTTAATAAAGAAACAAATTCAGCTGGGTGCTGTGGCTCTGATGCCACAGTCTGAAGTCTTTCTCCTCTGTGTCTCACTTCCTGGCCTCTTTCTTTTGCTATCACCCTAGGGCTCTGCTGCCCCAAGACTCTGCATTACTTTCTCCCCACAACCTGTTCTTCACACTGAGACTCCTATCCCTCACCAGCAAAGACTGGAGGCAAGAAAAAGGGGTGAAATAATGACGTGTGCCCTCACTACCACCTCTTCCCAAAATCTCAGGGTGGGGTGGGGTGGGAAGGCTGCCTTTCTAAGTGTACCTCCAAATCTACCCACCCAGTAGCATTTCGGGTGATATCAAGAAGAAACTTCAGGGCAGGCCCCTTCCCCTTTTTATTTACCACTAACTGAACTCCTCTCTCTACACGAAAGAGATCATATGGAGTTCTGCTCTTATCAGTTTCCTAGAGCTTAAGGAGGCGGTTTTGATGAAGTCTACCTGGATAGAAAAGTGTTCATGAGGTGAGAATTTGTTTAAGTATAGTATGGTCAGTGGCCAGGTGCAGTGGCTCTTGCCTGTAATCTCAGCACTTTGGGAGGCCTAGCGAGAAGGCCCAGAAGTTAGAGACACAGCGAGATCCCATCTCTACAAATTTTTTTTTTTAAACTAGCCAGGAGGCTGAGGCAGGAGGATCACTCGGGCTTCAGCCCAGGAGTTGGAGACTGAAGTGATGAGATATGACTATGATTGCACCACTGTACTCCAGCCTGGGTCAAAGAGCAAGACCTAACCTCAAAAAACAACAACAGTAACAAAAACCCAAACAACAACAAAAAAAACAATGCTTTGGATATATAGTCCTGGATGGAAAGGGGTCCACGAGGTGAGAACTCATGTTAAGAATAGTATGGCCATGTTTTATCTAAACTAAATCCAACCAAAAAACCTGCCATATGCTGTATTTTTATACAGTATGTATAAATGCATAGATATTTATGTATAAAATAAACAAAAACAAAAAAGCATACACAAACAAATAAGTAAACAAAAATAAATAATAAAAAAGGAAATACATGAAGAAACCCCAGGCAAGGTGGTATGGTATGTGCTTGTACTCCCAGCTACTCTGGAGGCTGAGGCATGAGGATTGCTTGAACCCAGGACTTTTAGGCCAGCATGGGTGACATAGCAAGGCCCAATCTTCAAAAACAGAGAGAGACTGACTGACTTGAGGCATGTTCTCTTAACGTGGACTGAAAATTTTATCTCCCTGAATAACCAACCCAATATTATGTAAAACAATCCCTCACATTCCTATGTTAGTTTTAGTTTTCCCAGAGAGAAAAAAGTACACCAAAACTAAATATAAACGATCTGGTGGTTCAACTTCAGCTAACATTTTACAGTTAATGCACCTTGGCCATCAAATTTGATGCTACTGAATTATACTGAAGCTTGATTTTTTTTTGAGACACAGTCTCACTCTGTTGCCCAGGCTGCAGAGGAATGGTGCGATCTCAGCTCACTGCAACCTCGGCCTCCCGGGTTCAAGCAATTCTCATGCTTCAGCCTCCTGAGTAGCTGGGATTACAGGCGCACACCATCATGCCCAGCTAATTTTTTTTGTGTGTATATATATATGTGTATCTATATACACACACACACATATATATACAAATATATATATACACAAATATATATATCTATACACATATATACACAAATATATATATCTATACATACACACACACACACACACACAGAAATATATATATATATATATATATATATATATATATATATATTTTTTTTTTTTTTTTCTTTTTTTGTTTTAAAGAGATGGGGTTTTGCCATGTTGCCCAGGTTGGTCTCAAACTCCTGAGCTCAGGCAACCCGCCTGCCTCGGCCTCCCAAAGTGCTAGGATTACAGGAATGATCAACCAAGCCCAGTCTGAAGCTTGATTTTTTGTTTTATTTTGAGGCAGAGTCTCGCTCTGTCACCCAGGCTGGGGTGCAGTGGCACGATCTCAGCTCACTGCAACCTCTGCCTCCTGGGTTCAAGTGATTCTCTGCCTCAGCCTCCGGAGTAGCTGAGATTACAGGTGAGCGCTGCCACGCCTAGTTAATTTTTGTATTTTTAGTAGAGGCGGGGTTTCACCATGTTGGCCAGGGTGGTCTCAAACTCCTGACCTCCTGATCACTTGAGATCACCTCGGCCTCCCAAAGTGCTGGGATTACAGGTGTGAGCCACCACGCCTGGCCTTGATTTTTTTCAATAAGAAGTTGACCAGCCCTGAAATCCTGACTTTATATCTCTTTAGTAAGTGCATTTTCAAAGGTCTGAGTGAGTTTAAAGCACCTTCTAAGGAATTATCTTCGAAAGAACTATAGCTGTCAGCACCCATGGGCTACTTCAAAAAGAAGTGAGTCATGGCTCACACCTGTAATCCCAGAACTTTGGGAGGCCAAGGCAGGTGGATTGCTTGAGCCCAGGAGACCAGCCTGGCCAATGTGGCGAAACCCCATCTCTACAAAAAATAAAGATTTAGCTGGGTGTGGTGGCATGCACCTGTAGTCCCAGCTATTTGGAAGGCTGAGGTAGAAGGATCACTTGAGAGGAGGTCAAAGCTGCAGGGAGCCATGATTGTGCCACTGAACTCCTGCCTGGGAGACAGAGCCAAACCCTGCCAATCAATCAAGAAATGGACCATAAAGGTAGGCAATGTTGAAGGGCAGGAGGGGGAGCAGGTTGGGAGGTAAATAATAAAAACATAACTGGAAAAAAAAAAAAGGCAGTGTGGTGATGTGAGACTAGCAATGAGTTTTAGAGCCAAGCACGCCTTAAAATGAGCTATGTGACTTTGGGAAAGCTACTCAAACTCTTGAGTTTCAGTCTCCTTAGGGGTAAAATAGGTATTTTACATATAATTCTTAAGGAAAGAGAGTAGTTGCTCAATAAACATTTCCTTTCTTCCCATCCATTAAATAAAGGCCTATGAATCATTCAATCAAATGCCAGAATTCAAGCAGCTCAGGAGCTGGTTTGGGTTTACTCGAGACATCAGAGTTAAGAGAGACTTCTCTCTGCCACTATTCCTCTTGCTCTGATTCTAGCAAGCGTATCTGTGCCATATGAATACACAGTGCTCTACAGCAACAGCAGCAGAGACTGAGGTGATGTTTTGTGAGAGCCCAGGTATTATTTTCGGCCCTACTGAGCCACTTAGTCTCACTTGCAGCAAAACTTTGTCCTAAAGATAAAGGGGTAAGTTAAATGATTTCAAAATTCAAAATGCAGAAAGAGATACATTTTATTATGTGCATATTAAAAGGTGTGTAAGGATAAGCACCAAATTGTTAATGGTGATTGTCTCTGGGTAGTAGAATTTAATGACTTTTATTTTTTTGCTGGACTGCCTGAAAATTTTTCTTCTGAGAAGCATGTAGGATTTTGGTTATGAGAAAAAAATGAAATAGAAAGTCTTGCCCTCAGAACACCTGCAACTTTTAGTCATTCCCTTGTGTCCCGTTCCTTCTGCCCAGATTGATTAGGTATTCCTCCTGCCCAGTCAGTCTTCATAAACAATGCCGCTGGAGAGCAGGCGTGAAACTGACAAGACATCTGCCAATCTTTCTAATTGTGCATGCCATGCACTGCTGCCTTGGAAAAAATGCAGGCACCAGGGCTCTGTACCATGGGATACAGGAAGCTTTAGATAGGCCCTGGATGACCTTGTCCCGCAGAGATGAATGTTAAGAGATTTCCTATTTGCTCAGTGTTGTCTCTGGGAGGGAATGTGTGAGATACTTTACAGGCTCTCCTGAACCTTCACAGGGTCTCTTCAGACATGAGACACAGAACTCACTTCCAGTTAGCGTAGGTTGTTACTGGATAAATGGGAACTTCCAGGGACATGGCAGGTAAACAAGGAAGTAATCTGATTAGTCACCAAAATGTTATGTGCTGATCAGGTATCTAAGAGTACTAATTTAACAGAGCAAGCTTTTGTCTGAGAGAGGGAAGGGAGGAGGGAAGAAGGGAGGAAGGAAGAAAGGTGCAGGGGCAAAGGAGAAGAATATGAAAGTAGGAAGGAGAATTTAACTTTAAAAATTCCTTGATTTATCAGTGACTCTCAACTGTGCATCAAAACTACCCAAAGAGCTTTTAAAAGCCTAGAGGGGAGGAAAATAAGAACAATTATTATTTTTTTAAAATACAGAGCCTACGTCCTAGCCCAGACCTGCAGAACCGGACTCCTTGGAGCTGGAGTACAGGAATCTTCATTACTGCAGAGTTCTGGAGCCTTTTGATATCTGCTTCATAAAAACTGAATCGAAAGGACAGGATCTGTCTAAACTGAGTAAAGGCTCTATTAAGTGTTGAATGCCTCCACCTTTAAGGGCACTATTATAATAAGGTATATTGCAAAGAGTATAAACTCATCAAGAACATTTATTCAATTAATTTCATATGTATTATGACAAACTAACCAAATGAGCCATCTTAAATATGTGCATTTTATCACATCCCAATCAGACCTCAGTAACACTGTAAGTTTAAAAAGTACTTTGAAGGGCACCTCTCTCCACACTTGCTGGGAATAAGAAAATCATGATCAATTGAAAAAAACATAAAAATAAAACTATGGTATGTTACCAAAAAAAAAAATCCATTATGTATTTATAGATGTGAGATGCTGAGTATACAAACACAGAAAAACTACAGGTCTTTTAATTATGAGGGACAAAAGGCACGTGAATGTACCCATTTTTACACACGCACACTAACAGTCACTGCGTACTGACTCTGTGGCCCTAATTATTGCCGCTGTGTAGCTGAGAAAACTGAGACACAGAGAGGTTAGGTAACTAAACCAAACTTACAAAACTAGTAAATGACAAAAAATCTAGAATTTAAGTCTAGGCTCTATCACTTGATGTATTGTATTTCTAGGGCTGCCATAGTGATATACCAGAGTGAGTGGCTTAAACAACAAATAATTTATTTCCTCACAGTTCTAGAGGCCAGTCTAGAGGTGTCTGTAGGGTTGGTTTCTCCTGAGGTCTCTCTCCTTGGCTTGCAGATGGTTGCTTTGTCCTCTGTCCTCACACGGCCCTTCCTCCGTGTATATACATACCTGGTGTCTCTTTTTCTTCTTATATGGATAGCAGTCATAATGGATTAGGGCTCCACCCCTAAGGGCCCCATTTGAACTTAATCATCTCTTTAAAAATCTTATCTCCAAATATGGTCACATTTTGAGGTACTAGGAACAGACACTTCATCATATGAATTCTGGGGGACACTATTCAGCCATCACACTTACTGACAGTGTTAACTCAGGAAAGTTACTAGACTTTCCCAGGCCTCAGTTTCTTCAACTGGAAAATAAGTGCTATTGAGAATGAAATGAGATAATTCACATAAAAATGCTTAGGAGAGGATCTGGCACACAGCATCATCACTTTACAGACGAGAAAAATAAAAATCAGTAACAGTGACTTACTCTTTCTTCACCTCCAAAGCAGAGTTCTTATTATAGAATACTACATTCCTGTACAACCTAATGCACAATCTAAGAGAATTTAATGTAATTTATAATTCTTCCTCATCTCTTAACTCCCGCTTTCTCACAGATCTTTTCCAACTTTATTACATACAAGGAAGAGAAATAAAAGCTCAAATTAATGATCAATTCTATTAATTTAGGCAGGTAGGTATACTACTTTCTTGAAATTGTATGTCAATTTCACTCATCCTTTCTCCTAACTTGCAAAGACAATTGGCTACACTCAAACTGTGATGACAACTCAGAAGATCAATATCTGCTGTAACTATTAGGAAAGAAAGGCAACCCAATGCTTTTTATTAACAAATTATGATTGTACTTTACGTTTGCCTAGTACTTTACATACACTATATCTATTTAATCCTCAGCCCAATCCTGGGATATTGTTTTATTTACCTCTCCTAACAATCAGAAAGTATTATTCCTATTTTACAGCTGAGAGAATAGGAGCACAACCAAGTGAAAAAAATTTTTTTCTCTTAAAGGTCACAAAGCTTGTCAATAATTGGCAGAATTATCGACAGGATTCTCAGTGACATCTTCTAGCCTGAAGCCAAAGTTCTCCACAGCAGGCCACCATCTACCCAGCTAAGTTGCAACACCTGGTTTTCTCACTCTCCATCCCTGGCACAAATAGAGCAGGTGCTCAGCAAATACGGCAGTCTGATTCGGGGTCAATCTCAACTAAGCTGCAGAATCTCTTATATGTCCTTCATATGGGGCCAAGTTTTTCTGACAACTTTGACCACCATCACCTCCCCGGAACGACAGCTCTTTTAAGGCAGCAACCAATTTCCTTCTTCTCCAGGGTCTAGCACATTGGGTGCTCGTTTAAGTTCATTAAGTTCATATATTTATGGAGAATTGAGAGTTCAAGTGTATGTGTGTTGTATAATCAAACCACAGAACATTCTTCCTTTAGTGATGGCAACGAGTGCTTTTCAGCCACTACCATATAAAAACAGTAACCAAAAGAAACATTTATAAAAAACCTCTATGGCCTACAACAAAGACTAGCCTTCAGGGCCTTTCCAATCCTCAAATTCTCCAATTCCATTATATTCTACACCTGATAAGTAGTTAAACTGACCACCTTGAGTACCAATTCTGAGTACAATGCAAGTGGGTTTGTCCGTGTAGACCCAACACAGTGTTCTTAGTCTTGCCGTATGCTTCCAGGTAAGCAAGTTGTATGTGACGGTCAAGTTCCCAGTTCCCAGAGGGAATGGCAATGGATAATAAGGTTGACCTGAGCCATAGTGGACTTGCTCTCCTCAAGATGCTGTGTCGTAAAAATGAGCTATATTAAGATAAATCATGCTGACTTTTATTTTCCTCAAGAATACACTGCTGGCTGCTTGGATTTTTTTTTTTTTTTTTTTTTTAAACTTCAAATTTGTGTTGCTGTGAACAGCTGGGCAAGTTTTTACCC
Source organism: Homo sapiens (assembly GCF_000001405.40). Classification (NCBI taxonomy): domain Eukaryota; kingdom Metazoa; phylum Chordata; class Mammalia; order Primates; family Hominidae; genus Homo; species Homo sapiens. Next base: position 30,506,289 of record NC_000008.11, on the reverse strand, counting down.
TGTCATGGAAACTATCTGGCCATTTTTGCACTGTTCTGTATGCTGGGAAGGGAGGTGAGCAGAGCTTGCCAGAAAAGAGTTCTAAGCTCAGTTTCTATGCTCTCCTGTAACTTCAGGGACTTGTGAATGTCCAGTTTGTTCCTATTTGTTGCTTTTGTATAGCATGTCGTAATCTGGCTACAACCTTCCTGGCTACCTATTTCACAGGGCTGTTGTAGGAAATTCAGAAAAAGTTTCGTGGTCCTGTTAAAAAGAGCATTCAGCAAAGAATTGAAAAGGTAAAGTTAAGTATCACCAGCATTACATTTCCTGCCTGAATTAATCTTTTCAAAGAACTCTGAGATCTGAGGCTGGCAAATTCACTAAAAAGGCAAAGAATTACTTTAGGTTATTTTTACTAAATCAGGCATCCTAAAAATACTCTTTTTTGATGCCTTGATCAAGAGAGAAGAAATTTCAGAGAGAAGAGGCATACAAATGCATCTACAGTTCTACAAGTAGCCCAATTTCAGTATCAATTTATCCACTCACTATAATAAATATTAAATATATACAATATACAAAGTATTAAGCTAGATACTATAAGGATGAAGAATTATGTAAAAGATGTTCCTATATCCTCCTGTACTACAAGTACACTGTAAGATGTAACTTTTGTTTAGATTTCCTTCCCAAATAAGCAAAGGTTTCTAGTTTCCCTGGGACAAAGAAGGTGAAAGAACAAAATAATTTTTTTTAATCTATTATGACTTTCTGGATTCATAGAAACATTTATTTTAGAACATTCAGGGAGACTTATCTGTTAGTTTCTACTGATGAGTACCAAGAGTGACTGAACTACAGAATGGCTGTGACTTCCAAAGATAACCTGATTAAATCTGACATGCACATGACATGGGGGGAGCAAGGAATCCATGTGTCCTTCAATTTCAATAAGAAGAGTTAAAATGTACTATCGAAGGAAGAAGATCACAACCGTGTGGTTTAGAAAGCAGACCAAAAACAACAGGACAGAAATATTCCAAATAACTTGGAATCCAAGTCACTTGGGTTTCCTTGAATGCCCTGCCATATTAAATCACATATGGCTCTGCAATGAAAGGAGAAGTTAAGGCCTGTCTCATGCCCCACTTCTGCCACTGACTGAGCTTGAGAAAGCAAATTCAATCTTTTAAAGTTATTCAGGGAAAGGCAGAAATGGTAGTCTGGACATATAATGAAATAAGCTTATTAATGTGGGGTAGAAGACGTCTTGAGCAATTAGCCAGTGTCCTTATCCAATTAAGTTGGAAAAGAAAGCCCCAAATTTCCTTAAAGTTTTACTGGTATTAGTTTGCTAGACTGACAGTTCCAATATATACATTCTTTGTATGTGTTTACTTTTCCCCCTAGAGTTATGGCTAAACTGAATAGAACCAAATTCCCAAGATCTGCTTCTTTCTCTTTTAATATCCTATTTTTCCAAAGCCACCGAGCTGATGTCCTTCAACAAATGGATTAAAGTAAATGCTGAGAACCAGCTCTCGTGTCCGAGCAGGGGGGAATGAAGGGTTTATACCCAAGGCAACTAGGGGCATACTCATGATGGTCAATATAACATTAAGGAAATCTGTAGTACATCAAATGATATTCTGAAGTTATGGTTCTATTCAAGCTGAACCATCTTTTGGGAAGCCAATCACAAACAAGATTGCTGTATTTGGAATTCTGACACCAAGAACGCCTAGGCAACCTCTTCACAGAAATGGAAAATAAGACTCAGCCAGCTCCATGTCCCATGGTGTAACCTCACATGCAGCACATGAACAGTTCTTAGTTATTATTACTTTTGAATGAAAAGTAGATCGACTTACATGGCTCTCTGGCAATGAACTGAGGTACAGTGTTGGGCAGAGGAGTACTGGGGTTTGGAGTCCCTACGAGTTTGTTCTTGGCCATCTTCGTGTTTGCCTTAGCAAACTCTAGTCGTAGTGTTTGCGGAATTTCAGGATCGAAGCGGATGCCCTTTGGAAACAGAGAACAAATGGAAGATGTTTTCATTTCCTTTGAGTCAAACCGGAATGGTGACAAAATAAACACACCAGTAAACCCTGGTCTATCAGGAAAAAAGGTCAGCAACCACTCTCATTCTTACTACTTACACAGGTTACATGAAAAATGACAACACAAAGTGTCCCGAAAGTCAGTGGGATTTAGTTTAGTTAAAAAATGTAGTTACACAGATTTTCAACTATTCCTTTTCTTTTTAGACAAAAACTTTTCAGTTTAAAATTTGAACCAGCAAATTCCTAGCACAGTTACACACTTTAATATATAGTAATTTCAGTTACCTCTGACCCTATTCCTGCAGTTTACCTAAAATAGATTATATTCAGTAAAACAAATCACAGACACTATGAAAGACACTAGCGCAAGACAAGTCTATTTGGAACCTTTCCACCATTCAAGAATGTCTTCATTATTAAGCATCCAATACCATGAATTCTGGACCCTACGTGTCAAAAAGATATCCCAAGAGAGTGTATTTTAAATGTGCACCCATGGGACCCACTCAGTTCCCATGTTTTCATGGTGTGGTCTGGAAAGGGACTGGAGTCCTGAAAACGAGTCTCCTAAGAACACAGTTGCCATTTAGTGTTCTGAATGTACACACATGGGCCTGAGGGCTCCAAAGCATCCCCCGCCCCCTCGCCACCATTCTTCCTAATGAGCTTGAAAAAAAATAAGAGCAGGCAGGGCGTTGTGGCTCATGCCTGTCATCCTAGCACTTTGGGAGGCCGAGGCGAGTGGATTGCCTGAGCTCGGGAGTTCAACACCAGCCTGGGCAACATGGTGAAACCCCATCTCTACTAAAATACAAAAAAAAAAAAATTAGCTGGGCGTGGCGGCATGCACCTGTAATCCCAGTTAGTTACTTGGAATGCTGAGACAGAATTGCTTGAGCCCATGAGGCAGAGGGTACAGTGAGCCAAGATCGCGCCATTGCACTCCAGCCTGGGTGACAGAGCTAGACTCTGTCTCAAAAAAAGAAATATCCACAAAAACAAGACTCTCTTACTCTAGAGACCAGGATGAACAACTCTGAACTTCACAGGCTCAGCTTCAAGTATACAAGGAAGAGCCTGTGGCTGGATGGTAATGGCATTAACAGGAAACAAGGGGGGAAGGGGAAGGAAAGAGAGGTCCTTAGGGAGGCCTAACAAAAGCCACAGAGCCCTGACCCAGAAGTCTTGGAGTGGGTGGAACTTCATGAGCATGACTCACTCATTCTGAGAAGAAACCAACTGAGGGCAGTAGCAAAAGGGATGTGGAGAATACCCTTGTGCATACCTAATCAACACCAAAAAGCGAACAGATAGTGCCTGTTCTGTGAAACATAAGAACATTTTCTTTAACTGATATTGTGTTGTATTTTTGTTTTTTAAATTTGGGAAACCTCAGTATTATTTTGAAGAAAAAGTATATAAGGAAAAACAAAAACAAAAAGCAAAGCTGCATTCTGAAGCAGGCTGGGGTGAGGTCACAAAGGACCTCACTGAGGTGGACCAACTTCCACCCTAACAAAGCTAATATTACAACAGAATTAATATTTCCAAGAATGGACCTAAGAACTGTGGTCTCTGCTGGGAGGCAAGCACAGTCCCTGGGTGTTACGTACAGGTATGCTGTAAAAGGACTTCCTCATTTGCACCACACTCCATCAGACACACATAGTAGCAACTTGCCATCAACTTCAGGACGTCCTCCCCGGCACTAAACTTGACCAACCTTCCTGTGAAGAAGCAACTTTCCTAAACCTGAGTTCACATTAACCTGAGTCCTGTGGCCCAGGCCACTGGGGATGATGTGAAGAGTATCCTGGGACCTAGTTGTGGTCTAGAGCATCTAGCCTCAGAAAATGAGGCTGCACATGTGAATTCTATGCCTCAGCTCTTTCACTGGTGTTCCAGAATCAACTGAAGCTCCACATCATGTGTTTGCCTCTTACACAACCTGGGCTGGCGGCTTGAGTCCTAAAACATGCTGAACTAAGTCTCCCCTACTCCCTGCCCCCTTCTTCATACCCGCCCCCCAATTTGAACTAAAATAACATCAACATCATGTTCCAAATCAAAGTTCCAGCATCCTTATTTAAAAAAAAAAAAAAAAAGCTCAGAAGTTAAAATGACCTAATTTGTTTGGCAGCTTATTCAGAGGCCGGAGGCTTAGAATACAAGCCACATTCCTCTAACATCTTTAGCAGCAATACCATATTTGGTAATCAATATCCTGCGCAGCTAAGTTTCCATCCATAGGGATTAGCCAAGCCAAAAACATTTTAAATGTTAAGGGATGATGAAGAGGAGAAAAAAGAGGGGCAGGAAAAGGGAGAACACAGAAACGAAGAGGGAAAAAAGAAAAAGAGGCAGATAGGAAGAAGACAAGAGAAAAAAATTCCTTGTGTTTTTAATTAAAGCCTACTAAGATTCTTCTCTGGCTACAATTACTCCACATTAAATGCTGTCAGGATAAGATTACTGCCAAGTGAAAGGGTGAACCTGTGTCTTTCAAAAGCAACCTTTTCCTCTCTTGCTCATAATTCACCGTTCTTCTCACAATGAACAGAGAACCTTTCTCTTCCAAATGTAAATGGTGTCCTATTTATTACATGGACCAGAAAGGACAGTTTCTGAATATTAGTATATTAATTTGAATATAAACAGTTACTTACAAGCACCCCAATCTGACTGGCTACTGGACAGCCAACAGTCTCTACAAATGCAGGTTCCATATAATCTACAGAGGCTGAATTCCCTACTCAGGGCAAATTCTGGGAGATCTTTAAAAGGACACTGCTGAGAAACAACATATTCTTGTTCGTCCAGTATACTTAAAAGTATACCAGGGCAGTTTCATGCCAGGGAGCCAGGGAAGGCACCAGAGGAAGTGATGAAGAGTAGAAGTTCACCAGGTGCAGTTCAGGAAAGGGCTCAGCAAATTTCTCTGTAACAGGATGCAGAAAGGGTGTTGGGGTGGGAGGGGTCAGGGGTGGGGTGGCTGAACAAGCAGACTGGGGAGAGATCACAAAGGACCTCTTATGCCATGACTGAGGACTTTGGAGTGTGTGCTCAGCTAAGCCATTAGGTTTTAAAAATGGGGGGGATAATATGATCAGCTTTATGTAGTAGGTCTGTGACCCTCAAATGTTAGCAGCATCAACTTGGAGGATTTGCTAGAGTTTCTGGTTCAGTAGCTCTGAGATGGAATCTGAAAATTTGCATTTTTAACAAGTTCAGGGTAATGCTGATGCTGTTTGTGTAGGGACCACATTTGAGAATCACAGTGATTGGCGGTAACTCTAGGGGTGGTAGGGAAGACAGACTCAATGAAGGGACTAGAACAGATCAGATATGAAACCATTAGAGCAGCCCTGGGAAGAGAAGCTGGGATGAGATGGCTACTGCCCTCTAAGCCTTCTTCTTTGGGAAGGGTACTCAGGGGCCAATGTCTGTGTTCTGTGCCCTTATTCCTCTGACCACAGCTGCCTATTTAAGGGGCAGCTGCAGCCTAAAGTGACAAAACCTGTTTTCTCTTATAAGGATTTCAACCTTGAGCCTATATAGAGACACAGAAAATGGTGTTGACCAAAGCTGAGTCACCGTAACAGCCTCTCACTAGAGAAAAAGTCTCCAAATTCCTGTCACTGAGGTCTTCAGAGCACCCTCATACCTGATACAGTCTTGGTTATGTGGTACAATAAACAGAGTACTTCAATTCTGTTAGCTTCAGGCTCCCAGTGTTGTTACAAATGGTTCTGCGCTAAAGTTAGTCCATCAGTCCTTGACAATGAGTTTTAGGGACAATGGAATGACTCATTTAGAAAAAAAATGCTTAGAAACAAAGCAGAGCTATATATACATATTGAGAAAGATGTCCATGGCTAGATTAGCCTGAAAAAAAAAAAAAAAAGATACTCAACAATGTTTGGTAGTATGGGGGTAGAGGAGACTGTATATACATCTGCATGTATACTTCTCTATCTGTGTAAGTCCAGAAAGGTTTAGAATGAGACAACCAACCAGTTAATAATAGCAGACAACTTAGTGGTAGGGGTGAGAGAGGGCACAGACTTTTGTACAATTTTGCATCATTTGAAATTTTTACAACTATGTATAATTTATAAAATCCAATACAGAATTAAAAACAAAAGGAGAGAGGTGGAATAAGGGATTTCCTACTGGGACACAGCATTCAACCAGCTATGTTTTTAAAAACTAGTTACTTTTAACAAAGAACTTTATTCTGAAATAATTTCAGACTTACAGAAAAATTGCAGACATAGTATAATTCCTATATACCCTTTGCACAGATTTCTTAGATGTTAGCATTTCACATTTATCAAACACACACACACACACACACACACACACACACACACAGTTTCCCCTGAACTGATTAAAAGTAAGTAGCAAGCATGCTATTCTTTTACCCTTTACTTCAGTTTGATTTCCTAAAAACAAGGACATCTCTTTGTTTTCCTGATCCAAGATCTAATCCAGAATCACACAGCACTTAGTTGTCATCACTTTAGTCTCCTGAAAGAGTTCTTCAGTCCTTACCTTTCATGAGCTTGATATTTTTGAAAACTACAAGCTATTTATTTTGTAGAGTAGCCCTCGATTTGGGTTTATCTAATTTTTTTTTTTTGGTTTAGATTCAGGTTACGCATTTTTTGGCAGGAAGATCAGAGATGGATGTCCTGCACAGTGCATAATATCAAGAGGCACATGATGTCACTTTTGTCCCATTACGAGTGATATTAGCTTTGATCATTTGCCAAGTTTCTCTATTGTAAAGATGCTGTTTTCCCTTTTTAAGTAGTTTCTTATAGACAGATATTTCCAGACTATATAAATATGTTGTTTTTCAAAAAAATCTACTAGTTTTAACACCTATTAATAATTATTACCTGAAGCAACTGTTACTATTGTAGTTGCCAAATGGTGCTTTAGTAATCTCATTGCTCCTCCCTGCTGCCACCAGACGGAGTCTTGCTCTGTCACTCAGGCTACAGTGCAGCGGCATGATCTCAGCGGCTTACTGCAACCTCCACCTCCTGTGTTTAAGCAATTCTCCTGCCTCAGCCTCCCGAGTAGCTGGGATTGCCTTCATTGCTCCTTTTATATACAGTGTATCAGCTTTCTACTCCATGGAAAAGCTCTCCCTTCTGCCCTGTTAATTATTTACATCAGTAATGACTTACAGACTTATATTTAGCTCTATGCTTTATAATTCATTACTATCATTATTTATTTTGCTGTTCCAAGTGTCCCAGTTGTGTACACATACATGCCCTAACATTCAGATCTACTTCTCTGCATCATATAGATATATTTAAAATATTTTTAATTTTTATTTTAATAAACACATTTTAATATATTTAAAATATATTTAGATGTATTGAAGTTCATACTGATAGCTCCAATTCCAATCTAACACCATTTGGTTAATTCTATCCCTCTCCTTTGCCTATGTGTAACTCCTCTAATAGCGAGAATCCTAGCTCTCATTATCTACTATACATTTATTTATTTGCTCAATACAAAAATGCACAATTGCTAACCGATACCACTATAAAAAGTCTATTAACTACAACTTATATTTATTTACAGTTTTTTGTCTTTAGTCTAAATGTATGTTGCCAATATGTATATTATTTGGATTATTTGTGGGTTAGTTTCCCCATTCCCCCCACCTTCAGTGTGGTTGTGTTATTCATTTGACATACAGTTAGTCATTTGTTTCTGTCTTCAATTTGGAGTCTCTCCCCATCCTTGTTGTCTCCACTTTGCCTATGCATTCATAGCAAGTAAAAACTATTCTACCATTTCAAAAGTGAAAGCTGATTCATCGACCCATTCATCTTTCTGCTAACCCACTTATGAATATATATTATAAATATTGACTAAAAGCTGAGGATCTAGAATTCCAACTCCCCTCCCCACCTGCTTTGACTTTCTGAGATACTGAACTTCTCCAAGGAAGCTTCTAAATAATCAAAGGCTCTACCTCCTCTGGGATACAGCCACAAGTCACTTCTTTAAGAGCTTCCTATCAGATTCTGCTAGAGCTTCCTACACTTCCATTCTGATCTGTTGATCCAGTAGATCTGAGGCATATGTACTGAACTAGATGAAACTGCCTTTTACTATAGGATAAAAATAGTAAGGTAGTAGTAATATACGATCCCATCTAGTAGGCTGAAAGACTTCTTCAATTGATTCTAACAACCTTTATACTGCCCCTTCCTCCACGGCCAACTCCAAATGAAAACCCACAGCCAATGAAACTCAAGGTCAAATTTGCTACTATCCCTCTGTGACCTTGTGGCCGGGCTTGGTGGATCATGCCTGTAATCCCAGCACTTTGGGAGGCCGAGGCGGGCAGATCACAAGGTCAGGAGATCGAGACCAACCTGGCTAACATGGTGAAACCCCATCTCTACTAAAAATACAAAAAATTAGCCAGGCGTGGTGGCGGGCGCCTGTAGTCCCAGCTACTCGGGAGGCTGAGGCTGAGGCAGGAGAACTGTGTGAACCCGGGAGGTGGAGCTTGCAGTGAGCCGAGATGGTGCCACTGCACTCCAGCCTGGGCGACAGAGCAAGACTCCATCTCAAACAAACAAACAAAACAAAACAACAACAAAAAAAACCATTTTCTAGAGAGAGCTAAGAATAAAAGTCTTCTACCGGTTTATCATTTTTGAGACAGAGTCTCACTCTGTCACCCGGGCTGGAGTGCAGTGGCATGATTTTGGGTCACTACAACCTCTCTGCCTTTGGGGTTCAAGCAATTCTCATGCCTCAGCCTCCCGAGTAGCTGGGATTATAGGTGTGCATTACCATGCCCAGCTGATTTTTTATATTTCTAGTAGAGACGGGATTTCACCATGTTTGTCAGGCTGGTCTTGAACTCCTGACCTCAAGTGATCTGCCTGCCTCAGCCTCCCAAAGTGTTGGGATTACAGGCATGAGCCACAATAAAAGCCTTCTACTATTTTCAAAGAGCGTTTTGGTCACAAGAAAAGGAAATATCCTGGGGACCACAAATCTTTCAACAGGAGAAAAGGAAATGAAGCAGAAAGAATTTTTTTTGCCTTTTTAGAAGTTAAAAACATAAGTTAGGAATATAAACTGTTTCTTAAAATTGATAGCCATGTCATTTCCATCAGAAACTAGGAAGTAAATACATACTTTAGAGAGATTCTGAGCTCTCAAATATTGGTCCAAGGTTAAAATATATTTAGTTTTTTGAGTATTGTCAGCTTTCTCTGCCACAGGCATCATAATCGGTTATATCAGAAACAGAAACTAGGCAAGGTATAGTCGAAAGTTTCCCCAGGAGTCTGTGAAAACAATTGTTACGCTCAGTTGGAGCCTGAAATGACTCCATGACAGGCCACAGATAAACCCGCATCTGGGTAATCTATTACAGTGGAGAGCACAGGACTCACTGAGAGACAACAGTGTGCAGGTGAGTTAAAAATGAACCAGTAGAAGTTTTCTACCATTTATTAATATATCACTGTGTTACAAGTGAAAACTTGTGACACTCAAACATTTTTAAAATAGAAAACTATGAGTAAAGATCACAGGAATGGGAAGCTAGTAGAGAACTGGGTCAGGTTCTCTGATAAGTAATACAGGTTTGTCAACATAAATCATGAAATTCATAATTAGTACTGAACTTTTGGGGTCATCAAGCCTAGTTCTCAGCCATGGTTAGTACTCCTCATTGCCCTTTCCCCCTACTCCTTAGGAGTATTTAGAAATGAGTGAGGGTGGCCGGGCACGGTGGCTCACGCCTGTAATCCCACCACTTTGGGAGGCCAAGGAGGGCAGATCACGAGGTTGGGAGATCGAGACCACCCTGGCTAACACGGTGAAACCCCCGCTCTACTAAAAATACAAAAAATTAGCCGGGCGTGGTGGCGGACGCCTGTAGTCCCAGATACTTGGGAGGCTGAGGCAGGAGAATGGCGTGAAATCAGGTGGTGGAGATTACAGTGAGCTGAGATCATGCCACTGCACTCCAGCCTGGGAGACAGAGCAAGACTCCGTCTCAAAAAAAAAAAAAGAAATGCGCAAGGGTATCTGAAGGCTGTTATATGACTGAATACCACACAGGCATTCATTAGGCAGGAGGCAGGAAGATAAAGTCCTAAAAGGAGCAGGATAGTCCCACACAATGTTAAGAATTCTCATCCAAAATGCCAATAGGCTTCCCAACACAGATGAAAAAAGATCCAGAAAAATAATGTGCCTAAATTCCCAGCTAACTACTGGTAGAATCCATATCACAATCCAATTTTTAAATTCCCAATAGAGCGTGTGTGTGTGAGGACATTACAGTTCCGTGAAGATTTTTCTTTTATAAAGACTACATTGTTTCCAGATAATAACTGAGGCTGTTGTTCAGTTTGCATTGTGATGAAACTTAGGTAGATATGGATTCCAACAGAGAATGAACAAGTGAGGGAAAGAATCCGTCAGATGTAAACCGTATTTCATACTTTTCCTAAATAAGGGCATTGCTTGCAAAGACATCAGGACTGTTAATACAACAGCCTGTGCTGCTGGGTTACTGCCCAATGAGAAACTGTATCACACCAATTATGCCTCATTCTTTTTCTTAATCCAACTACCTCCCAGTGCTTGCCCTGGCTTTACCTTAGAATAATCTGATTTAATACTCCTTTTTTCCCTTGCCTAAATCAGTCATTTGAAAACATGTTTGCCTGTCCATTGGTAAAACAGCTATACTGCACTTGGAGAAAGAGACCCCTTTCCCAAGGCTTCCTGTGGTATACGTGCCCATGGAGCCATTAGAGGTGATGCTGGGCCATGAGTCTGGGCACAGTTTCTCGCTTGATTGCCTAATTGAACAGTCTTCCAGGAAGTGTTAGGTTACCACATATCTTGAAGTCAGTTTTGATTTTTAACCCCTTGAATTTAAAAAAAAAAAAAAAACCTTCATAATTGTTTCTAAACCAGATGTTCCATAAAACGCAATAAAATTTTATCCTCTTTTGAATGTTTTAGTAACAGACAGGAATATGTTTCCATGTCTAGTCTAGAATGTTTCCACAGGTTTATCTTTGATTTCAAGCCTGTGTAACTTCTCCTCTGATAATATCTGTAACAAGCTAAGTGTTATAAAAGAATAATATTGGCCATGATAGAGAAGCCTAATCTCATCCTCATTAACCAGAGGGATAAAAAGATTTTAATATTTCCTAGTGACTAGGCCACTTCTTAAAATACAATGTACATTTGGCTTCACTTTTATTCCTTTGAATAAACTGTGGCACTCAAACTCACACCCTCCCACCACTAAGCCAAATTCCTATGGTGAAAACAATACATTGTGTTTAAGGTATGTAGTAACTGCTCCAATAACAAAATGGGGAAAACCTCATGTCTGCCCCCGAACCTAGAAGGATTAGAAAAGCAACCAGGAGAAGAAGGTCTTGGTTAATCAATCCCCTTCTACAACTGGCAAAGGTATCGAGAAAACTAGGTGTCTAGGAGTACCATCAGCTAGAGTTAATTATAGTCACAATTATAAAAGAGACATCCCAACTCAGCATCACAATCAATTTTGTGGAACCTCCCCAGGAACAAGAGGCTTACACTGTGAGAATCGGGAGTGTGGATTTAAGAGTCTGACTTCCTAGATTCAAATACTACTCCAGTATTGACCTTGGATATACTGTTTAACCTTTCTGTGTCTCAGTCCTCTGCTGTAAACTGGGGATGAATATAGTCCATATTTCATAGCATTCATTGTAAAGATTAAATGAGATCTTGTAAATGGCCGGATTAATGCCTGACATCTGATAAACACTAATCCCTATGGCCCAGTGCTTATCAGCTATGGAGCTCCTCTTCCAAATATGAACCAATGGGGATTCTTCTCCTTTGGCTTTTTTGGAGAGGTTCTTCTATTACTTAGAAAGAGAAAGATGAGATTCATACTCTGCTCTGAGACTGCCCCAATTGGGAGAAAGCAGCAGGACACCTGAGCTGCTGTCCAGTCTGATGCTGTGTAGTTTCCTTTATTTCCTGTGTTTCCCCCACAGGGAGCTGACGTGTGTCCTGCTTCTCCTGCCCCATGTCTGTTGGTTCACACAGTCTGAGTAGATCTTAGAGGCCTGGCTGGTAATTGCAGAGACTGGATTCCCTTTGTAGGAGGAACCAGGCAGATATACTTCGAAGGTATCTGGAATCTCCATCTGACTTGACCATCCACCCCAGCCCAATTAATTTCTTTTCTACAACACACACTTACTTTTTGTGTTAGCCAACCACCCCTATGTATATAACCATGCCCTAGGAGAATCTGCTTTGTATAGGATGACTATAAAGTCATGACAGGGCCTTTGAAGAAGCGATAAACGCAATCTTTAACATGTCAAGAGAATCAGAGACAAGCAGAGTTTATTTTCCAAAGGGTCGAGAGGGCGTGATTGTTTGAACTTTTGCCACTATGTTCTCAAACCATTCTGAAAAGGATGATTGAAAGACCTGGGCCCTGACAATGATAGGAAAGGGCTGTTTCTAACCCAAACACAGTCAGTTACCCATTAAAGAAATATTTTACAGTGACACTTTGAAATAGATAATATTACATGGAAAGAAACATAGGCCAGAGTGCAGATGGTACTCTCTTACTCAGGAATCCTGATGCTCACATTTTTACACCGAGAACTCTGAAGGTGAACAGAAGGTAAAGCAGCAGGTCAACTGCTCTGGTAGGCATAAAAACATCCCTTAGAATCCTTAATGCACAAACACCAAACGTGGCTGGTGCTGCCAGTAGTCCCTTTCATTGCAGAGTCCTTACTGCCTTTTCCTCTCCTGTCTCACTGTAAGGATAATGAATAAACCCATTGGCATACATTCTTTCCCCTTTGCATCAATGTCTTTTTCTCCTGCTACCTGCTAAATGAAGGCACTCAAAATGAAAGCTTAAAGGAAGCAGATCCTAGGCAATAGCTCTCAATTCAGTTAAATTTTCAACTCTGATAGAGACCTTGGGGTGATTTGGGGAAAACCTATAAACAAATTTTTAATGGTCCATATTGGCTTAATGTTGGCCCAAGACATTCCAGTCTGATGTCGGTCACTGTCAAGTGACACCAAAGAAACTTCAGAATTTTAATGGCCAACTTCACTGACTTGGGAAATCAACAGTGGGTTTGCCTCAACAAAGCACGTCCTTGTATTTGACTAAAGCCTTATGGGTGTCACATCAAAAATTTCAGAAATGTGGCATAGAAACCATGCCCTGTCAATGTGAACATGTAAATGATTTCCCGATTATGTGATTCATCTCTGTAAAGCTCAGATCATAGGCTTAAATCAGTGAATTTGGCACCAAAAAGGAAAAAAAGAGTAAGAAAAAAAGAAAACAACAATAAAATGGACAAAAGAAATCACAACCTTATTCTTAAAGAAGCCAGTCTATATTACTGAAACAGGCCAGTCTAGAAAATACACACCCCTTTGGTTACATAGTGAATCCAGTGAAAAAGTAGGGGGGTTTATGTGCAAATTCATTATCAATAACAACTTTAAAAGTAGCTTGTATTTTTTTTTCCTAGTGATTGCAAATTGAGAGAATCACTTTCATTCATAAGGGCCACATATGTGCCCATACAGCTTCTGCCAAGTACAAAACCCAGGATTAAACTTGGAAGGGATGGGTTTTGAAATACTTACTAATTTCATATCCAATTAGCAGATGACGATCTAGATCCTTTAAAGATAAAAGGGGTATTTTTTTTTTAAGTCAAAGGGTTACTGGTGTTGACAAGCGTGGTGTCAGCTCTTTAAAGAAAGGACTAATTATACATAATTACACATTAATCTTCTAATTACTGAAAAGGAGATCAACCTACTTTTGCATCTAATACATATTATGCACTTATCAGGCAAAATGAGACAATGGATGCATGCATGTGTGAAAGTGCTTTATGCACTCAAAGATAAGTTGAATAATTAACACTGTGTAATATAAAAAGTCTCAGAGAATTATTTTAAAAAACAAGTGTGTCGGCTGGGCGCAGTGGCTCACACCTGTAATGTCAGCACTTTGGGAGGCCGGGGCAGGTGGATCACCTGAGGTCAGGAGTTCGAGACCAGCCTGACAACCATGGTGAAACCCTATCTCTAATAAAAATACAAAAATTAGCCAGACGTGGTGCTGCACGCCTGTAATCCCAGCTACTCAGGAGGCTGAGGCAGAAGAATTGCCTGAATCGTGGAGGCCGGAGATTGCAGTGAGCCGAGATTGTGCCATTGCACTCCAGCCTGGGCGACAAGAGCGAAACTCCATTGGGGGAGGGGTGGGGGTGTCTGTGTCTACATGGAAAAGCACATGAAGAATAAGTCCTACTTGTGAGGTAGGCAGGCTAAGAGAATGCATTTAACGAGCTCTTCTTTTAGCTTCACCTTAAGTGCTTGTTAGGTCATTTGAGGACCTATCTTAACTTTCTGTATATGTTTTAAGGATCGTTCTGCAAAGTTTACTTTGAGCTTTTATTAGTGGCTGGTGCAGAAGAAAAAAAGAGGTAGGAGGAGGAGAGAAAACAGTACTGACATAAACAAACTCTACAATTGAAAAAAAACAGTTGCCTAAACTTTCCAAAACCATTTTGAGAAGATTTCTATTTAAAGATCAGACATAGACCGCAATAGGCCTCCAAGTATATTTTCACAATCCTGTTTCTGCTCTCCAGTATTTTAGCAATCAGCCCCCCAGCCCCCAACAGGATCCAGTGAAACCTCCCACCCTGTGTGTGCCCAACCAAGTTTAGGTAATGTTAATGAAATGAAATACCAAGAGCAAGTAGAAAACGTGCATTTTCTTGTTTTCTTCCCCCTCCCCCAAAGATAATCACTATCTTGATCTAGCTACTAATTTTCAAACTGTACAACTTGACAACAAATTTTTAGAAAGAAAAAGCTGTAGTACATTTAAAAAATACAAATAATTTTATAAGTCAATGGTTTTATATCCTTTATTTCACTAAGGATAAAAATGAGCCATTTATACCAATACATTATTTACTGGTCCTCAACATCATTTACTAATACCATATACTAAATTAATCAATAGGGTTGGGGGAGATGTCACTGATGAATTTCATAAAAGTACAGAAATAAGCAAAGTGGGTAAATTTGCTCCTTAACCCTATTTTTTAAAACACCTCTAACACACACCATCAAATGGCTTGCAACCTCCTTCCAACCAAGAACTTGGGGCTTAAGGCACAAGTTAGTTGAAAAGAATGTAAACAGTCAAGTCCAAACTTAGGAAGTTCACTGCAAAGTACTTCCTGTGCTGCACAGGGAGCCAAAACAAAGTGAGGCAAAACCTATCTCGCCACTACACAACTGAAATCAGTGCTCTTCCTCTACTCTAATGAATCCTTGCAATTAGATTACTAGTGATCTAACCAAACTGAGGCTGAATTTCTCCCCTTCTGCAAAAAGGCTTATCTATAAACTCTAAGTCAGTTGGGAGGCCGAGGTGGGCGCATCACGAGGTCCAGGAGTTCAAGACCAGCCTGACCAACATGGTATGGTGAAACCCTGTCTCTACCAAATATACAAAAAATTAGCCGGGCGTGGAGGCACGCGCCTGTAATCCCAGCTACTCAGGAGGCTGAGGCAGGAGAATCACTTGAACCCCGGAGGCAGAGGTTGCAGTGAGCCAAGATTGCACCATTGCACTCCAGCCTGGGTGACAGAGCGAGACTCCGTCTCAAAAAAAAAAGACAACAATAACAAACAAAACCCCTCTAAGTCAGGAATCTCACTGGCTGCTAAAGAAACATTATAATCAATGGATGTTGGGTCTTCGAAACAGAGATTCAATTAGAATTTGAAATGGAGAAAGATGTGCACAATTAAGATAAAATAAAAGGGAGATGAGGATGTGTTTGTTCAGGTTACAATATTTTATAGGCTTGAGAATATTAAGGATAACATTGCAACTGTGTTTCCCTGATGAGCTCCAAGAAAGGAAGGATGAATAATTTTACCATTAACTATAAGTCAATGTTTAGAAATACTCTGAATCCACTGGAATTTGAGGTTCCACCAAAATTATTTTAAAAACCAGTATACAGAGGCTGGGCGTGGTGGCTCTCGCCTGTAATCCCAGCACTTTGGAAGGCCGAGGCGGGAGGATCACAAAATCAGGAGATCGAGACCATCCTGACTAACACAGTGAAATCCTGTCTCTACTAAAAAATACAAAAAAATTAGCCGGGCGTGGTGGCGGGTGCCTGTAGTCCCAGCTATTCGGGAGGCTGAGGCAGGAGAATGGTGTGAACCTGGGAGGCAGAGGTTGCAGTGAGCCAACATCGCGCCACTGCACTCCAGCCTGGGTAACACAGCGAGACTCCGTCTCAAAAACAAAACAAAACAAAACAAAAAACACCAGTATACAGAAAAAAAGAAAAAATAAAAACACCAGTGTACAGAAAAAAAGACTTTAGCCAGGCACGGTGGCTCACGCCTGTAATCCCTGCACTTTGGGAGGCCGAGGCGGGCAGAACACGAGGTCAGGAGTTCCAGACCAGCCTGACCAACGGGGTGAAACCCCATCTCTACTAAAAATTCAAAAATTCGCCGGGCGTGGCGGCGCGCGCCTGTAATCCCAGCTACTCAGGAGGCTGAGGCAGAAGAATACCTTGAACCTGGGAGGCAGAGGTTGCAGTGAGCCACTGCACTCCAGCCTGGGCGACAGAGCGAGACTGTCTCGAAAAAAAGAAAAGAAAAGAAAAAGAGACTTTAGGAATAAAAACCAGTCCTTTGTGAAGGTTGTCATTATCATTAATTAACAGCATTTTTACCATTACTGAATGCCAGTAGCTTTAAAAATACCCATCTCGGTCAGGCGCAATGGCTCACAGCTATAATCCTAACACTCTGCAAAGCTGAGGTGAGAGATCACTTGAGGCCAGGAGTTTGAGGCCAGCCTGGGCAATACAGAGAGACAACACTTCTACAAAACATAAAAAAATTAGCCAGGCCTGGTGGCATGTGTCTGTGGTCCCAGCTATTCGGGAGGCTGAGGTGGGAGGAGCACTCAAGGCCAGGATGTCGAGGCTGTAGTGAGTCATGATGGCACCACTGCACTCCAGCCTGGGCAACAGGACAAGACCCTGTCTTAACAACAAAAAATCAAAAACCAACAAAAACACCCACCATCTCATTTAATTTGATCCTCTTACCCTTTGAGGTGGCCACGATCAACAGCATAGGAAGGAAAATCAAGGCTTGAAGAAGAGCCCCCAAATCAGTAAAGTGGCAGGGCCTGGATATAATCAGGTCCGCTGGATTCGGACACCCACATGATTGGTTATCAAGAAGACATACTTCCATTGTTCTCTTCTTAGCCTCAATTAACAAATTTAGTACCTTTTTACAGGTACAAACTCACTAACACTTGATGTTATGCAGAAATACATAAAACTACCCTAACATCAAATACACAGTATGTTTTTAATGTCAGTGTATTAAAATTTTTTATTTTAAGAGTAGTTTCAAGTGTGTTTTCAGAATTTGGTAAACACCTCTACAGATAAATCAAGGGGACAGGGTGAAATTTTGTTAAAATCAACATTTTCCTGCTAGAGTTACCTAGGGTCATCCCTAAGCCTAAAAGCCTTTCCTCCATTCATTTTGTCACTCATTTATTGAGCATTCTAAGAGGTGTGAACAGCCAGATTCTGTTTCACACCTGGTTGTTTGCCTTTTCCACAGAGGTGTATCTATCACCTGTAATCTTAAATAACCTTTTCTGCCTTCTATTCAATGTTCTTTTATTTGGACATCATTACATCTGACTTCTAAGTGAATACCTAAATTCTGTGAGACATTATACAGAAATTACTTTGTGTGGATTGTATTTTTATTCTTATTTTTGAAAGTACACATACAAATAATGCTTTTATACTTTACCTGTTTTTGTTCCTTTGTTATAAAGTAACTTGATGTGAATTCCTTTTCCATCTAAACTTATTTTCATGTCCTGTGTTTACAAATTTAACTCTTTAAGTACTCTGTGTATTTATTCATTCATTTACATATGACTGATGTCTTGTGTAAGGCAAATAAAGGAGAAACCAGATTTAAAAATTCAAAATACAAGAGAACTGTTGGTCATAGGTTTATAGTAGAAAAGGAATTTTCTACCCAACTGCTTTTCTGGGGAAATTATTTTGAACTTTTAATTTAAAAACAATAATCCTAAAAATTAACTTGCCGCACAATGGCCAAGAAAAAAAAAATCTTATATATCCTTTTATGCAATGACCAGGTTACTCAAAGCATCACTTGGTTTTTCAAAATGTTATCTACTGAAACTTTACACTAGATTTTTAGAAAAGAAGTTTTAGTCTTAAAAATATACTTCACGGTGTATTTTTCTATAAATGTTAGCTTTAACAGATTTTATTATCTTTTAGATTCTAGATTAGTCTAATAATGTTCACTAAAATTTGGTTTCATTTATTCCTCCTAGTCTCATATTTATTATGTATTACATATATAATTTTTCACATTCTATAAACATTTACTCTTTCTTCTCCCTCACTTATTTTACATATAAAAAATTTTGACTATTTGTAATTTTCTCATTAAAATTTTTTAACACATCCATGTAATTATTAAATGTCTATAAAAAGCAAAAAAAGCCTGCATTTAATTATAAAGAAAATACCTCATATTGCATATACTTGAAAGAGTACAATAATTAACTAGTCTCTATCAAAACACCTTATTCAGTCTTTGAGATGGTTAAGTCCTACCCGACTCCCTAAGGTTTTAAAATGTTTTAATGCATTCCAGTTACAGAGTAAGACCAAGGGTTCTAGCTTTGTGGAGCAAAAGTTCAAATCCTTATGGACTATCAGAAGCATTAAGCCAGTGTGTGAAAGGGAACTCTGAAGACCCTAGTCACTGTGATGATGTGATCATTCACTAAAAGTAAAAGAGAACAAAGAAGACAGTGATTTAAGCTGCCAAAATGTGCTGCCCTGCAGAACCGTCAGTAATGTGGGTAGTCAAGACAGTCAAGACATTAAGATTAAGACTTCTTGGTTCTAAAACTGGCTTGGCATCTTAGCAGCCAAAACAAGATCTAGCAAAAAACTCACTCGGCACTTCATGTTCCACAAACACTAACTATATTTTCTATTTACATTTATAACAGAGGCAAATTAGATTCATAGCACTTTCTGAAATGTCTGAAAAACCATGGAGAAAGGGCAAGGTCAAATGAGGTATCATTTTTTAAATGGCATGAGTTTTAAAATTATGTAAGTTTAAACAAATAGATCCTCATAAAAGGCCATAAGGAAAATTCTGAGAGCTATTTCACACAGTCATGTAATTATCTGATGGAAATGTTTTACCTAGAGAAGAGCTGGGTGAAGTTGAGATTTCCACATATACTTGTCATTGGAATATACACTGGTTCATGTGTGAGAACGTGTGGTTCTTCCTCCCTAATTCTCCAGGGAAAGGATGCTACTAAAATTTCCGACTACTTTTCTTTCTTTAAACTTCCTTGAGATTCTTTTATTTTTTTATTTTTTTTTGAGAGAGAGTCTCACTCCATCGCCCAGGCTGGAGTGCAATGGCGTGATCGCAGCTCACTGCAAGCTCCATCTCCCGGGTTCAAGCGATTCTCCTGCCTCAGCCTCCCAAGTAGCTGGAATTACAGGCAGCCGCCACCATGCCCAGCTAATTTTTTTTTTTTTTTTGTACTTTTAGTAGAGACGGGGTTTCACCATGTTGGCCAGCCTGGTAAAAAGTAGGGGCACTGGATACAGACCTGGGCTGAACCCTGTTTTTTGTTTTTTTTTTATGTTATTTATTTATTTATTTATTTGAGATGGAGTCTCGCTCTGTCATCCAGGCTGGAATGCAGTGGTGCGATCTTGGCTCACTGCAACCTCCGCCTCCTAGGTTCAAGTGATTCTCGTGCCTCAGTCTCCTAAGGGAATTACAGGCTACCACCATGCCTGGCTAAATTTTGTATTTTCAGGAGAGACAGGGTTTCACCATGTTGGACCAGGCTGGTCTTGAACTCCTGACCTCAGGTGATCTGCCCACCTCAGCCTCCCAAAGTGCTGGGCTTACAGTCGTGAGCCACTGCTCCTGGCAAGGCGCTTTTATTAGTGTTTTATTTTCTAGTTTCCTATGTAAATGCTTCATAAATTCAAATAACCAACTTACTCTTCTTCAGGCAAAGACTGAAGACTACTTATAAATGCATCTTCATTTGTTTTTTCACAACAACTTTTAACTTACATGCTATTATAATCGTAGGGAGGTTTTATAACATCTAAAAACTGCAGGGCCACCATGAAGAGAACAGAGCCAGAACAAAGAAAATCTGGACAGATTCTAGAACTAAATAATCACACACTGGGCACTTGTTAACTAGTGCTTTCTTTCTGAATTGTACATGGGTTAGGAGTCACTTTTGGTGGTATGCCTTTCACGGTGAGTCAACTTCAATTTTCTTTGGGGGGAGTTCACTGGACACGGCTGTTTGTCAAGCTCCAAAGTGCATGCACATAGTTGAGAAAAACAGAAGGGCCCAATGGCCCCACATCACAGCGGCTTTATACTGGCACAAGCCTCGTTCCCAACCCTGTGACGTCAAATGGCTGCCTTAAAAGTCTGCAAGTCAAGAGTTAAGCAGTTATAAACAGATTTAACAGATAAACACTAGATCAGGCCCATGATCTCATCTGGCAATCCTGCATATTTCCCATCTAAAAGTCCCAGCTGGGATCTCACTAATTGGGCCTCTTTAACCCACTTTCAGCAATATGCTAAATGAAACTTAAGGAGAAAATTTCAAAACTGATAAGAAACATATTGATATAGTGTCTGGTGGGGGCCATGGGAGTTGAGATAGGCCATCTGGATGCTTATATTCGTAAAATGTTTTGTTTGGTGGAAATAATTCACCTAACTCACAAGCTGTACAAATATTAAGATCAAAAGTCCTAACTTGCACAGGCTGTCAGGAAAACCTGTGGTACAGGAAACAGAGACTGTCTAACCAAGCCAAAATGTTTCTATGTACCCAGTGCAGGTCTTGACTGCCCTGGTATCCCTCCATACTTAACGGTCTGTACCAGTACTTCTGGCCAAGAAAATACATTCATGATATAGGTTTACTTACAGAGCATTTGCAAATGCTTTTGCTTGTTTTCCCTTTACCATTTCGAAGTAAATAATACCTCCATCTCACAAATGAGAAACTTGGTATAGAACTAATGAATTAATTATATCTAATTGTAAAGAACCTTGGTAGTTGGAAAGCTCAAACTATTTAGTATAACAAATTATGTACAAGGCTGTAATCACTGTGATATTTATAAATAACTGTAGTGTTTATTTGAATGCCAGGAATTTATGGAAATGAAAATAGGGCTAAGTTTTCCTGATCATATCAGCTGTTTTTTCAACATCTGACACTATTAAGTCTTTTCTCAGCATATTTTCTTACAAATTAAAGCTTTCTAAAATTCTCTCTTAACTGCAAATACTATTGAATCAAAATTTTTCAATAGTCAAGAAATAATTTAATATCTTATATATTTTTAGTTTACATACAGTTTTTCCATTTATTGTTAAGGTTTCTTTGCAATGGAAGTCTGAGTGGCAGCCATTTTACCTCTTTTAAACAAAACTGCTTTTCAACTCTTTATTCTAAAATCTATTTAGACCTTGAGAAAATACCTTTCCTTCAAGTTCTGTCTTATTAAAAGAGTAATATGAGGGTTGAGTTTTTCCCCCTTCTGTTACTTATTGACAGGTAAAACAAACGCAGTTCCATTACTTAGAACTGTCACAGAAATGTTACTTGTCCCTGCTAAAAGAAACATTTTAAGTCATGTGAAATTCCTACAGAAATCAAATCTACTATTAAAATCAGTCAAACAGCATTTAGCAAGAATCCACGATTGCTTCGTATCTACTAGAATGGTTATAATTTTACAAACAGGAACAAGTTTTTAATGCAAAATGGTGCAACCACTATGGAAAAAATTACAAACCAAAGTAAACAAAAAGCTAACATATGATCACCACATGACCCAGAAATTCTACTCCTAGGTATACCCAAAGGAATTAACAGATTCAGATACTTACACATCAGTGTTCACTGCAGCCTTATTCGCAATAGCCAAAACATGGAAACAATCTAAGTGTCCACCAACAAATGAATGGATAAACAAAATGTACATATCCATATAATACAATTTTATTTAGCTATAAAAAGGAATTTGATTCTGGTAAATGCCACAGCGTGGATGAATCTCAAAAATGTTATGCTAAGAAAGAAGAGCCAGAAGCAAAAAGACAAATATTTCATTATTTAGAATAGGCAAATTCACGGAGAAAGCAAGCAGATTAGAGATTACCAGGGGCTGGGGAAAAGGGAGAATGGGGAGGTATTTACTGCATTAAGGGCTACAGAGTTTCTGCTTGGGTTGATGAAAAAGTTTGGAAATAGTGGTAATGATTGCATAACATGGTGAATGTAATTAATGCCAAGAAAGAGTACATTTAAAAGTCATTAAAATAGCAAAATTTTAAATGTATTTTACCGTAATTAAAAAAAATAATGTAATATACCAAAAGCCATTGAATTGAAAATTTTAAATGGGTGAATCATATGCAAATTACATCTCAAGAGCTATCTGGAAGAAAAACAACACTGAACTTGGAGGTTCACTGATAATTAGAGATCACTTAGATTAATGAGTATAGTTTGAGAGTAAAGCAAATTACTACACTAGCCTAAGCAATTTTGGTTGGGAAGGCAATTTGTAGTGATGTACAGACTTCTCTAGTTCTCGTGTAACATAATACAGTCTAAGATAAAACCTAGCCTAATAACAACTATCCAAAATCAGGGAAGGAAGGATAGCAAATGAATGGCACATATACTAAAGAGTCCAAAACTTTTTAAAGTAATGACCAATTTCCAAACACCAGTAAGACAAAACAATGCCATAACAGGTCATTACAGAGATCTCTAGGTTAGCAGAGATCATGCACAAGCCTGAATTGAAGGTTAACTACAAATCATTCTTATTTATAAAAACAAGATTCCTACTAGACAATAATGACAATTTGAGGTCCTCACAGTTGCTGGAAATAGCTAGATGGTTTACTCCCACATCTGCTGGGGATCTTTACCCTTCAACATGCGCTGCTTCCTGTGTCCCGTTTAAAAATTTCCACAAATCAGAATTTTTCCTAAATCTAGCTAACTGCCTATATTAGTGAATTTGATTTACTTTCCAAAATTATAAACAAGTCCTAAAAATAATTTGATACTTAAGATTTTCAGTGCCCCCTTCCTTTAGCTTGGAAATTCAAAACAGGTACAGAAATTACAAAGTGAGTTAAAGACAAAGAATAGGTCAGATATTTTGCTGTCAGGTTAAAGAAAGGAGGGGTTTTTAATGATGTGGATTAATGAGACCAAAGATAACCTGAAAAGAAGTCTGGGTTTGGGTTATTCTTTGCCTAACGTGGGACTTTTTGCTATAGAAACAAAACGTACTGTATTTAACTTTAGAAGGTTTAATTCCCTGATAAAAGTTCACTGTTACAACTTAATTCAATCTGAGCATGTTTTTCCACACAATTATCAAAATGGCTGAAGCCCAGTCCAAAAATGAGAAAATAGATTTTAAAAATTAGTCATTTTGAGAAAAGACTAATCACTAATACTAACAACTGAACCAGATAGCAATCAAGACAGAAACAACAAAAAGAGAAATTAAACATGGAGAAGTCGTTCATAACACTGAAGTATTATACACAGAGAAATTTACTGGATTCAGGCATATGTTTCTCAATAGTGGAATAAAACAAAACATTACAATATTGAATTCTCTCTCCAAAGGTAAGTAAGAAAATGTTAAGAGAACCCTGGACAGATGACATGGGAGGAGAAAATTCTGTAATGGCTACAAGCATCATATGTTTTTAACTCATCAATTAGAAAAGATGACCCTAAAAAGAGCCTAATATGTTGGATCACAAAGAATATACCTATTAGCTTCATGACTAAATACATTACCTTGAATGGGTCTGCTCCATGGTCACATACCAAACTTTATGGTGGCAATTTGTCCTGGACATTGTGAATTAAATACTCTGTAACTGCCACAAG
This sequence comes from Homo sapiens, assembly GCF_000001405.40. Taxonomy (NCBI): domain Eukaryota; kingdom Metazoa; phylum Chordata; class Mammalia; order Primates; family Hominidae; genus Homo; species Homo sapiens. The sequence continues at coordinate 30,482,022 of NC_000008.11, read as the reverse complement.
GAAAAATGCAGCAACATCCCATGTACAAAGCAAGCAAAAGGATGTTGTATAAAATGGACAAGGCTTAGATGCAAGAAGTTTACTTTTAGTTGCCTCCTAGTTGGAGCTCTAAACTTACACATGCTGACTTAATCACCCATCCTCTCCACGTCTGTTTCCCTAACTACAACATCGGAAAGATTTCTAATACCTCTACTACTTTACATAGAAAAGTTCAAAACGTCAAGAAAGAGATCAGCCAGGAGCTCAGTAAATGTCCTACACTCTTATGTAAGTCAGCTTTGGGCAGCAGAAAGCCCAGGCTCATTATTCCATAGGTAAATACGAATTTTCCCTCAGGCCCACAAAACAGGACAGAATTAGACCTGTTTTATTTGGGGTCCTTCCCAAGTTATTAACACATAAGTAGCAAACTATTAATGATTAAAGGAGAGGACAGTGCTAAAGAAAGGCGTACTGCCAGTGAAAAAAAAAAAGAATGGAGAGCCTAGTGCAAGAAGAATAACCTAAAACCAGACCTCAAGACCAGACAACAGTGATCTGCGGCCAGCTGGCACAGGGGCAAACAGGGTTAAACACCTCTATCATTATATTACACTAGGTTCATTACCTGCTATTTGTAATGATAACCTTTGGGCACCAAGAAAAATTGAAATTATGTTCGCTGTACTCAGTATGATGAGGAAACACAGTTTTTTTTGACTATTATCATTTAAACATTAAAACAAAAACAAAAACAAACAAGCAAAAAACTTCAGGCTGGGTGTGGTGGCTCACGCTTGTAATCTCAACACTCTGGAAGGCCAAGGAGGGAGAATCACTTGAGTCCAGGAGCTGGAGACCAACCAGCCTGGGCAATACAGCAACACCATGTCTTTATTCTTTAACAAACAAACAAAACCCTTCAGTTATCTTTAAAAAACAAAAATGCAACCTACCACACCTAAGGGAATGTTGCCTTGTCAGATGACAGGTCACTATAAAAGCCTATTGTTCAGAAAATGAGTCAGTGACATCTTTATACACATAGGAGAAGTATAGTAAAGCAATGAGAGCCAAGTCTGTGAAGCTTCAACTGCTTGTTACTTCCTTTGTAAGAACAATGAAAAGAACATGGTGAAAACTTCATCTAACATAACTTTAAAGGACCCAGAATATTTCTGCATTTAGAAGGTTCCCACCTGGTTAAAATAAAACACTGCTAAATTGAAATTGTGGTTCTACTTTTAAGTTTAAAGTGTCATTATACTGAGAAAATTCTGGTTTTTACGTATTCAATGCAAAAATCATAAAACAACTTTTATATCAAAACATTCAATTATACACCGTGCTTCGGTGTATACCACTGGTGCTCAATAAATAATTGGTTTATACTTTGTTATACAGGAGAGGAACAGAGTGAGTAGGCAGTTATTCTGACAAGAAGGTCATTTATCCAAATCCAGAAAAAGTCTGGACTCTGGAATTCCTGGAATCCTAAGATGTTCCTATATGCTTTATATGAAAAACCAACAAGAATTAAGGTGTTTCTTCTCAGAGTGTACACATTTTTGTTCCAAAGTCTAAAAACCTTTTAAGGTTGTGTATCAATGACACCATTATATGAAGTATAAAGACTTTTCCTTAGACCTCTAAGTCATCACCTATATCAGGTCTCTCCAACAGCACTCTGCATGGTCTACTCAAAGGAGCAGCTGCCAGGGGTACCTGCAGGTACCACAGCAACACAAAGGCCAGACGCAAGTTCCCAGACGCCTCCAAAATGGTACCTGTATTACAACCAGTCAAGTGGCCGCTTGCCTTGTAGGAAGCACCCTAAACACTCTGAGTGCTTCAGTCAGCACTTGTTCACAGCCACTTAGGCCAACTGCCTAGAGCATGATGGAGCCAGCCTTCGCTGAGACTCCTCACCTGAGGATTCATCCTCAGCATCTGAAACCACATTCTGCTTCCTTCCACCTTCTCTAACTTAGTTCCCTTAAATTGTTTAGTTTTTCAACATACTAAGGAGGAAAAATATTCACCAAAACAATACTGGTAAAAGTCTCAAAACACATGGCAAACAACATAACTACAAACCAAATACAGATATATCTACTCAATTACAAATGACTGTAATTTATTCTATTACAACACACGTCTTTTGGGAAAGCCTTATATGTAAATTTTTAATCAACCAGAATAAAGGCTATAACCAGTTTTTTTTTTTTAATGCTGCATATCTAAAAGGAAAGCCTCATGAAATAAAAAAAGCCAGGATTTCAATCTATTCTGAGCATAGTCATTTAGAGTATAATGATGAGCAAGCTAACGCCTCAAATATCTCCTCTGGAAAAAACAAAGCAGCACTACGCACCACCATTGGATGGGATGGGGCTAGATTAAAATAAGACCCACATCATCAGATGTCAGATATTTTGAGCATTTCATTCAGAGCAATCAAAAAGCAGAGTGCTATTTAATAATCTGCATATCTGATCACAATTCTTGGAAAAAGCTCTTTAGAGTGCTAATTAAATTGATGAATCCCTCCCTCTTAGACTGTGCAGTCATATTCTTTCCACTTGATTTCCCGTCCAAAGAGATTCCATTACTTCCCACCACCTCATATGGAAACCCCCTACAATTACATCATTAGTACTTACATTCAAAGCATTCTTTGCAGCCTCTGCTTCTGAGCGACTGTCAAAACTGACAAAACCTACAGGCTGAGAAAAAAAAAGAGAAATATGAAGAAAAAAAATCAGATGATGTCTACTTTTCTAGGTCAAGGGTGACATCAAACTGAAGAGCTAAGATAAAGAAATGACCACAGGCAATGGGCAGAAATAAGAAAGCGAAGTCCCGAAGAATCATGACTCAGTGGCTTAGCCAAATTTCTAATATGAATCAAAGGGATGGTGAGGGTAGTTCTTCAAGAGCACAGCTGGGGATTTAGAGAATCATAAAAAAATCTAGAAGTGGTTGAAAGGTGAACAGCAGTGAACAAGGGAATAGAGGAAAACTTGGGTTGGAGAGGCTCTACTTTCCTAAATCAAATTCACTGTACCTCAGTTTCTTCATCTTTTAAAATGGAAAGAGAACCGAATCACCTTTTGGTACACTGTAAGTGCAAGAATACAATGACACAATGATAAAACCCCTGGACTCTCACTGCATGACCAAAATTACAAAGTGAACATTCCTATCTCAAATCCTAAGGGATGCCTTAAAAAATCCTGTGCTGGCTGGGCAGGGTGGCTCACGCCTGTAATCCCAGTACTTTGGGAGGCCAAGGTGGGCGGATCACGAGGTCAAGAGATCAAGACCATCCTGGCCAACATGGTGAAACCCTGTCTCTACTACAAATACAAAAACTAGCTGGGCGTGGTGGCATGCGCCTGTAGTCCCAGCTATTTGGGAGGCTGAGGCAGGAGAATCACTTGAACCTGGGAGGCGGAGGTTGCAGTGAGCCGAGATCGCGCCACTGCACTCCAGCCTGGCAACATAGTGAGACTCCGTCTCAAAAAAAAAAAAAAAAATCATATTCTTAATTAGGCTGTTCTGAGTAAATACAGAAAGGCCATAATCCCTTTGGACTCCCTATCTTTCAGTACAGAAGGGTGCCTCCAAGATCATTCTTCTCATGAGCCAGAGAGATGAATAGTGATTCGAGAGGTGTGTATGCCAAGTGTTTAGCTTAAAAAAAAAAGTATATAGCTACAATCTCTAAGCTTGTAGGAACTATTAGAATCACTGACTACCACTTCCATTTTGTACGTTCTCTGTTCCATTCTGGACTCGGGACTCTGCCTTAATTTAGGGGTTTGACAGACAGCATGATCCTTCACGATCTGATATTCACATTGATTGTAAAAGTTTGTTTAACCTCATTAAAAGAAATGGGAAAGACTTGGGAATAAAAGTGAATTTAAATAATAAACCACTATTTTCATTGAACATACAAAATCAATCTCAATGTATCACTGTGTTTATCTTCCTCTGGGACAGTCCCTGAAATTCCAGCTGAAGATTATAGAATTATGAAGTATTTTCCTGTGCTAATTCCTAATACATCTCACTTTTAATTTTAAAGACAAAAAACCCCTCAAATTCTAATGGGAATAAAAAAAGAATGTCAAGCCCCAGCAATATTCCTGAGGAAAGTAAAAAAGTGATCTTTATATGCCACTTTGAAATTCTTACCTGTTTAGATGTGAGCTTTATAAGAGAACCCTCATAGCCCTGAAAATAAAGAAAAACCAAGTTTAGCCAAAAGTAACTGTAGTAATACCATCTTGTTCATGTAAAAATAAGTTCTTTATTGATTACCTAACTCCTCCTACAAATGTCTCCTAAGTTATCTGGGAAAGCAAATTACACACATGCATGTGCATGTGCACACACACACACACACCTGTTTGCATTCTTGGGGCCTTTAAAAAAAATCAATCTATGGATTTATCTGTGTTTCTCTTCCTTCTATTTTTTTTTCATGAAATTACACAATGGTAGAAAAATGAGTGTCTCTGTTAATAGCAATCTTTTTGTTTTCTTGGTCTAGATAAGAATAGGAGTTTTACAGAAATAGGCAAGGAAAGAGGGTAAATTTAATACAACAGGAAGGTCAGAGCCATGTATTGGTCATGTAGCTGCTATAAAATAACAACAATAAAACATTAAGAATATAGTTGGGGCTGGGTGCGGTGACTCACGCCTGTAATCCCAGCACTTTGGGAGGCCAAGGCGGGCGGATCATGAGGTCTGGAGATCGAGACCATCGACAAGTGGTGAAACCCCATCTCTACTAAAAATACAAAAAAATTAGCCGAGCATGGTGGTGGGTGCCTGTAGTCCCAGCTACTTGGGAGGCTGAGGCAGGAGAATGGTATGAACCCGGGAGGCAGAGCTTGCAGTGAGCCGATGGCGTCACTACACTCCAGCCTGGGAGACACAGCCAGACTCCGTCTCAAAAAAATATAGTTGGTAAAACTCCCTGACCACATTTTCAAAACTGCCAGAAATGGTTAAGCAGGCAATGATGTTGAATTTTGTTGAGTTACTTTGCTAACTTACTGAAGGAACCAGTTTTCATGTTGCTCTTCTGATGGGGACATGCAAAAATAATCCCTTCAGGTTTTTATTCCAGCTCATGCTCAAGGAAGACAGAAACACTCCCTCCCTCTTTCACTCCCTCTCTTCACCCCTCCCGGCTCCTCAAGATAAGGATAACAAAATGTGTTTATTTCTGAAAATAATCAATAGCTGGTGGCTTGCATTAACGGACGACACAGGGGAAAAACACACCACTTGACGTGATTGACCACTACACACATCAGCGCAGAGACAGATTTGCAGACTAGGGTCAGCCTCCAGGGACTTTAATTAAAAGAGGGTTGTCAGGAATGTACTAGGGTGCTGACTTTCTAGTCGGGGTTTCTGGGCAGGATGTTGAGATTGATTCATCCTTACATCTTCCCAGCAGAGAACTATGTTACCAATTAGCTACTATAAACATTTCACCTCAAAGGCCTTGAGCTCTTATGGCCAGAGAGGTCATGATTCACAGCTCTGCCTCTTCCTTTCTTCAAGGTGCTCTCTTCTGAAAAAACTAGAGGTTTAAACACCATGAAGGTCTTGAAGGCAAAGGACAACTGGATATTTCACTCAAGTAAAACACCACTGGTAGGGATATACTGTGTTCTCAAGTCACAAACAGAAAAGCAGTATAACATAATAGTTCAGAACAGAGAGGGCAGAGTCAGACTGCTTGGTTTGAATCTTGGCTCTGCCAATTTTTATGTGTGTAAACTTGAGCACAATTTATTCAGCTCCAAGTTTCATTTTCCTCATTTGAAAAAATGAGACTCACCCACTTGAAAGGATTGTGACAATACTTTAATAATTCATATAAAGGGCTTGCTGGTGAATGTCTTTCTCTCTATACACCCCAAAACATAACAGTATTTTATACACTAAGAAGATCAATTTGCGTTAAAAGTTTGCATTCTATAAAAAGGATAGAAAAATGGTCCTTTTTATAAAAGTACAACCCGGCAGAAGAAACTCAGGAAATTCTATAAAAGGTGGCACTCTCTCCATACCACCTTCTCTTCCTTTCCCACTTCCTCCCACCTGACCTGGCACCTGACCTCTGTTTCCCTGTGCCATCATCATTATTGTTGCATTAAAGCGATGGCTGTCAGGTGGACTTATGTCCCTTATGACATGGTGCCCTCTTGGCACATAAGCTAGACTGTTTTATCTTTGTTGGTTCTAACTGGCTGCCCCTGCATCCCTCCTTCCTCCTCCCCAACACTAGAGTTTTTAGTTGTCATATCCAATTCCGTCTTCCTAAGAAGCTGAATCCTATCCCTCAACCTGTCATGCCTCTATCACTGGGGACCTGCTTCAGTGAGAATGATCTTTAACCAGAAATCAAGACAGCCCATCACCTAATCATAAGTGTGGTCTCTGCCAGGCACTGCTGCTAACACATCCACACTGACCAACTTAAGACTTCCTGAGCACAGGCCCTTCCAGAGAAGGAACATATCCCTTCCAGGGCCCCGATTCGATCAGCTCCAGCTTTCTCCTATCCTCCAAAGGCCAACCTTCAAAAGGTTTCTTCTTGGCAGCAAGGCTATTTTGGCTTAGTTTCTACGAAGTGCTTGGTGTTTAATTTCCTATGAAGTTTTCAATCCTAGCAACATTAAGTATCTATCAAGTGATCTTATTTCCATAGGAAGGACAGGTAACTGCATTAAATATTTCAATAAACACCAGGAAATATTACCATCAACTTACACCTAGGTATCCTTTAAAATTTTGTTTTACTTTGTTTGAAAGTTTTGCCATGGAAAAAATAACGGTGGTTAGGTTCTTAACTCAGTTCATAAAAACCTATTTACATTTCCAAAGAACAGTATCAACAGTACTATTTCAAATAATAAGGTATGAAACTAGAAATAAATCTTCACTTACATTACTGCATTTGAAATATAAATATGTAATTATCCTAAGTGAGACTGTACATTAGAACTCAGTTGTTAAATCTCCTTTACTCATTAACCTTTTAAAAACATCTGTTTTCTTCTCAAATATTTCATTTCTTGCTTCAAAAAGCTCCCAGAAAGCATACAGACTTTTGTCTCATTTTATAATTTCTGAAAGATAAAAAAAGGTACCTTAAATGGTCTGAAAAGCAGATAGAGCTCCCGAGGTTTGATATCCAGAGGAAGGCCACTGACAAATAGGGTCCGGACCTGGAAAAATAAATTTAGGAAGTGATCAAGGGTGTGGACACTCCAGAGAGTTAACTCTCACCTGATATCTCAGAAACATATTATTCCAAATATTCCACAACTCATACTAAATTCATGCTCTTTCCATGATACAACGAATACTTCACTGTTAAGATGCCACTAAGCCAACACTTTTTTTTCCTTTTTAAATTTTAGGGGAGATGCAGCCTTCTGTGTAATCTTAAGGTACATCCCCTAAGCCAACACTTGAATATTTCTATGTGAATTATTCAGAGTGAATTACATCTAGTTGATTTAAATTTACAAGCTAACTTTTCCCAACTAGCCATTGCACACTTCTAAAAATGTGAAGGATGGGGGGAGGTTCCATATAATTTAAATATTAGCTTAAGAAAAAAATGACATGAGCACAGTAAATCTGCCACTCCTCTGCCCTAAATATATCGCCTATATAATGTGCTTCAAAAATAATATAAAAACAATTTGTTTCCTCCTGCTTGTTTTGTTGCTGCTTTCCTCATAGGCATTAATTACAATAACTTTAATAAATGTAAAAGTAAAGTTAAGCCCAATGCACCTAAATAGTAACCAAAATGCATTAACTCTTCATCTGTTCGGTTCCAAAACAGCAGGGCCAACCTCACTGACTATTGTTCCCATTGCATTTTTGTTGTTGTTGTTGTTTTTTAAATTTTAAGTACTGGGGTACATGTGCAGGATGTACAGGTTACAAAGGTAAACACATACCATGGTGGTTTGCTGCACAGATCAACCTATCACCTGGGTATTAAGCCCAGCAACCATTAGCTATTCTTCCTGATGCTCTTCCTCCCCTCAAGCCCCCGACAAGCCCAATGTGTGTTATTCCCCATCATGTGTCCCTGTGCCCTCATCCTTCAGCTCCCACTTGTGAGAACATGTGGTGTCTGGTTTTCTGTTCCTGTGTTAGTTTGCTGAGGATGACTTATAGTTCCACCCATGTCCCTGCAAAGGACATGACCTTGTTCCTTTTTGTGGCTGCATAGTATTCCATGGTGTATATGTACCACATTTTCTTTATTTAGTCTATCATTGATGGACATTTGGGTTGATTCCATGATTTTGCTATTGTGAATAGTGCTGCAATGAACATACACGTGCATGTATCTTCCTAACAGAATGACGTATATTCCTTTGGGTATATATCCAGTAATGGGATTGCTGGGTCAAATGGTAGTTCTGCTTCTAGATCTTTGAGGAATCGCCATACTGTCTTCCACCCACTGTGTTTAAGGCACAATCAACACATAGGCCACCATGTACAAGGTACCTGGCTACGGTGCCACTAATAAAAGTCATTCAAGACACATATGTAAATACATATAGTGCAAAGTGTAGGGTACACACTATGTGCTTAGTGTCTACTAAAACACAGAACACAGGGGAAACACCAGAGAAAGCATCTGAGTAAGAATCGAAAGGATGGGCATTTACCAAATAGAGCCAAAAGATGAGGTGGGATCCCTAAGAATCACAGGCAGAGAAAAGGATTCACCAAGGCAGTGAAGTAGGAGAAGAAGAAAACATTCTTGGGGAAGGGCAAGCCAAAACTAAACAAGAAGCTTAGGGTCAAACACACAAAACATCAAAAGCCACTGGCTCAGGAATTTGATCTTGATTCAATAGGCAAGGAGTAGCTACTGAATTATCATCATATTTTCTATTTGTTTTTCTCTACTCAAACACAGATGCAACATGATTGAAAATTCGATGCTCAATTGTTCAATTGTTAACCATGAATATATACATGAAAGATTTTTCCTCAGTGAAAGATGGGGAGAATATTAGACAGACAGACAGTCTGCTACCATGTCTGGCTAATTTTTTGTAAAGATGGGGTTTCACCATGTTGCCCAGGCTGATCTCAAACTCCTGAGCTCAAGAGATCCTCCCATCTCGGCCTCCCACAGTGCTGGGATTACAGGCATGAGCCACCTCGCCTGGCTTTTTCTAGATTCCTAACACTTTTCACTGTTTCCTGTTACACAGAAGTGCGAATCACCAAGCAAGGCCCTTTTATTGACCCAGCACAGTACACAGTAAAATGTCATGCCATTTGCATGTAAGTATGTTTGATAAACACTATAATGATGTAAATAGCCCCAGAATTCTGAATGCCTTATTTTATGATATATTTATAAACAGCTTTATTGAGGTTATGATTGATATATAATAAACTACACATCTTGAAATATGTGATGTTTTGACATATGTATAACCTAAGAAACATCACAACCAAGACAATCTATCACCACCATCACAACCAAGACAATCTATCACCACCAAAAGTTTATTCATGCCCCTTTAATCCTTCCTCCCACTCTGTCCCACCATTCTCCATCCCCAGGCAATCACTGCTCTGATCTCTTTATATTAGTATATATGTCTCAAACACTTACATATACAGAGGGAACCACAGAGTATGTACCCTTTTCATCTGGCTTCTTTCCCTTAGCATGAAGTGAAATTTACTTTGAGATTCATCTATGTTGTTGAATGTATCAACAGTCTATTCCTTTTTATTACTGAGAAGTATTCTGTAGTGTGGATACACCACAGTTTATCCATTCACATGTTGACATTTAGGTTATTCTAGTTTTGGCTATTACAAATAAAATGGCTATGAACATTCATGTACAAATCTTTGTATGGATGTATACTTTCTTTCTTTTTGGATAAACACCTAGAAGTGGAATGCCTATATATGAAAGGTATATGCTTTTTTTAATGCCCATCAATTCCTTGTCTTATGTTTCAGAACATGGTAAATGTTCTGTGTGCACTTAAAACAAATGTGTATTCTGCTGGGGCTGGGTGGAATGATCTATAAGTATCAATTACATCAAGTTTGTTGTTCAAGTGTTCTGTATCTTTTGCATCCTCATTTCCACTACCCCCAACTTTGCCACCAGATAAACAAGTTCCTGGTGGTCTTTATGAAGTTCGCTGAGGCAGAATTGCTGACAAGTGTCAAAGATACAAACAGTGAGGAAATCCTGCTAATCCAGTGTGCCCTCCCTGTCACCCGCAACTCTCCTCCCATAGTCCAGAAAGTGAACACCATCTATTCCACTTGGCTGTTCTGGTCAGGACAACCTGGGCAGAGCGAGAATACCATCTTCCATTTATTCAGATTTTGGGAAGTGCCTGTTTTCTCTCTGACACTGTGCCAGGTTCTAACTGGATTACAGAGATTTCCACAAAAATGATACGATAAGCAGAACTTACGTTCTAAGTGTCATGGTGCCATTTATCTAGTGGTGCATCTTACCATGTGATAAATATGAATTAGAATTTGAGGAGTTAACCTAGAAAATAAACTATTATTTATAATATTGTTATAGAGAAAAGGGCTTCATAAATGTCAATTTACCAACAGAGGTTACTTGAAATCTGGGGATTATGAACAAAAGGTTACTTAATATAAACTAAGGTTCATCTGTATCATACAATGAAATATTACACAGCCAATAAAAATGACGTTCAAGGAAAAAGTATATATAGTTCCACTTTGTTCTATAAAGTAGCCAACATATAAGTATTTAGAGGAAAAAAATTTATCTTATAGTATGTGTACTCAAATGTTTCTATCGTTTAGCCTCAATGGTATAGTAACTGATTTTAATGTTTATTAGCTTATTTGTATTTTCCATCTTTCTAAAATAAATATGCATTAAATACTGTAAGTTTATTTTATTAGGTTGAGAATTACCTCAATTTATTACCTCCCTTTCTTTAAGGGACTAGAAACAAAGTCAATATTTGTATCAATATTATATTATAAAGTTTATGGAGGAAATTCTTTCTTATGTAAATATTCCATAATGGAAAGCGAAGAGATTCTTATCTTAGTGTTTCAATAGAAAATTGTCATACATGGGGAAAAAGAAAATCTGAGCTCCCGTCAGGCCTAAGTTTGCCACTCACCCATAGATGCCAAGAGGCTCAAAGCAACTCTGCTTTGTTCATCAAACTGGAGGCAGATCAGATGTTTGGCATTTTATTTAAACATGGACGAGACTTAGGTTACCTAGAATCTCATGAAGTCCACTATTGTTTCAGAAATCTACCAGAATATCTCATCTCACTCACTGAGATATTCTTTCCTCTAGTAGAATAGATTGACAAGGGGGAAATAATTTTTGAATACTTACATTATGTATTTGATTCCAACTAGAGGTCACTTAAATCCGGAAACATAATGTGCTTGGAGTCCTAGAGACCTCCTCAGACTAGGAAAGTCATCAAGCAAGTTTTAAAAAATCACGAATAATGAATGGAAAAAATAGCTTTCTGAATATCAAATTCATGCTTTTCTATGGTGACTGGGATCTAGAATCACAGATTTTTTTTTTTTAGATGGAATCTCGTTCTGTCGCCCAGGCTGGAGTGCAATGGCGTGATCTTGGCTTACTGAGACCTCTGTCTCCCGGGTTCAAGCCATTCTCCTGCCTTAGCCTCCCGAGTAGCTGGGATTACAGGTGCCCACCACCACGCTCAGCTAATTTTTGTATTTTTAGTAGAGATGGGGTTTCACCATGTTGGCCAGCCTGGTCTTGAACTCCTGAACTCAGGTGATCTGCCCGTCTTGGCCTCCCAAAGTGCTGGGATTACAGGTGTGAGCCACCGTGCCCGGCCTAGAATCACAGAAATATTTTAAAACATTTTAGTTTCTCTACTCTTATTACCATCATACTTTTCATCTGAGCCACTAAAGGGAGGGCACTTCAGAGTTTTGGCTTTGCTAAGCCTACTGAATTCATAGACATGATCCTTGCCTTCAGGGAGCTTACTGTCAGTGAAATAAACTGAATATGTAATGGCTGCCTGTGATAACAGAAAGCTTAGCTCATTCACAAAGTAACTAAAAAAACCCCAAGAGTAAGATACAAGCATAAGCAGCATGTAAATTTATGATGAAATACTCATTAACAAAACTGTTCCCCAAAAATAACAAATGAATTACTACGCCAACTGAACTTTGCAGCAGGTCAAAGCATTATCCAGAGCAGCCCTTAGTTTACCAGCAATGTCTATGGACACAGATGTGCCTGGCACTATGCCTTTAGCATCCGCAGATGTTTACTTTATGGAACACATGGGGAAACATATTTCTTAGACAAGTACACAACATGCCTCATAGAAGTTCAAGAGATGAAACTGCTGACAGCTTTGTCCCAAAGAGACTCAAAAAGATTTGTAGATGTACCTTCAACTTCCTTTTTACCCCAACAGGACTGAAAGAATAAATGCTAGTAAAAATCATCCTGTGCTGGGCAGAAGAGCAAGAGTGTTCTTGGCTTAGCCATTATCCAGCATTCCTGCAGAGGCTACAGTTAGATTTTGGATAAACTGGCCACGTGTTCTTAAATGGCATTGCCAGCTCCCACTAGGAAAGGCAAGACACATTTTATTGACTGTCTTCTCATTTAATAAACTCCGATTCAGTAAGTAAAGCCATTTGTGGCAGTCTTGAGCTTCCCTGGAGAGAAAGGCCAAAAGCAGGCCTTGAAATGGCCCTCTCTTTAATAAAGAGCATATCTAATCTTGTTGGTAATCTAGGCATGAAAATAAAAAGCAATAGAAAAATGCTCGACTTCAGTACACAACAGAGAATAATCACAGACACTTTTCAACTAGCAGCCACATCTGGTAAACACATAGTATCCAAAGACTATGAGCATTTTCTCTGCATGTTCTAGTTTTTCATAAAAGTTTTAAGGTCATCTATCTAGCTGCTCTGAGCTGGGCTCTTGAGGTTCCTCTTAAATTCATGGAACTGGGAAGGATAACTATCTTCTAATGACTCAGGAATGACTGTATAGTTACTTATTTGAAACACTCTTGAGTAAACCCATGGTGTTAATGGCTACATTCATCTCTCTCTCTATCTACCCATATTCTTATAGATATAAATGAAGACCTCAAAGCAGCTTTTAAATGTGCTGTATGTTTGAATCATTGTTTTGGAGAAACCATTCTTGAAACACACAGTGGATTCACAGATGAAACCTTTCTATGGGCATTTTAGAGTTTGAAGGCTGTTATTTGTAGTGTATAACACAGTCCTAGGCACAGAGTGTATGTTCTATAAATATCTCGACTGACTTAGAAACATATGCAAATCCAAGGATTTACATAATCCTGTATCCATGGAGATATACATATTTGCTTGTAAACAGTTCAGCTGGTGACATGGCAAGCAAAATAAGATGGCATTTCCCAGTCACAATTTATCAATAGAGTTACACAACATCAACTGACAAACACCTATATGTGTTTGTCAGGAGAGATTAGTATTATAAAGAAATTTAGAAGGGAGGAAAGGGAAGTAGGATAAAAACCAATCTGAATCAAGGAGAAAAATGTAAGAGATAGACTGAAATGGAGACAGACCCAAAAAGAGAAAGTGCAAAAAAAATTCAGGACCATATAGACCAGAATAGTGATCAATATATGGTTACCAGGAAAATTATCCACATTTTAATTTATGATAATTAAAACATACTTACAAATACATACGTCCAATTTCAACAAATGCAAATTCATACTTGAAGTTTTTTGGGGAAAGAAAAGCCCAAACTCATTAACCTGTATATTTAAAAAGCTGAGTAAGTAGATATCCAGATCTACTGACAAAGAACAAGGTTCACAATTATTAAGGGAAAAAGCAAACAGCAGGAACTGCCCATATTCCCACTTTAATTCTCTTAGGGTTTTTATAAGTTAGTACATGCTCAAGGGAAAAAAAAAAGGTATCAAAGGAATACATACCAAATTATCTATATGTTAATAGTGGAGAGGAAGGTAGAATTATAGATAACCTTCATTTTATGTATTTATACATTTTGGCATTTAAATTACAAGCATAAACAACTACTTTAAAAATGAGAACAAATCCAAGCCCAAATGTATTTCCTTCGTTTGAAAATACAAACTCAGCATGTCCACTGTCCTTAGAAATATTCTTTCTCATTTTCCTCCCTGTCCTTGATCCTCAGGGACAAGCTTGATCTGGCAAAAATATATTCATGTAACTTGCTTCACATTTCAATTCTGACCAAAAGTCAGTGTTTCTTTACTTCTGAAAAAATAATCTAACCAAAAAGGGGAACCAGTGACTAAGGTTGCCCCAGGAGCAGAAACATCCTGGTTTCAGTCAAAGGGGTATTCTTGCTTTGTGACTGCTCTACTAAGATAAGAACTGAGGGATCACTCCCATACCTATGGCAGTGCCATCCCTCTTCTGACAGACCATGTAATATAAACTTGGGTTTCAGAAACTGAGAAGTTAAGGCCTCCACATACCCATGCAGCATAAATCGCATACAGCTAGGGTGTTTTAATGCACAAGCGGGGCATCAGGGCCCAGCTTGTAAATTTTACACACTGGTTAACTTCTTTTACTCTTTTTAAATAATCTATTAAGTTATTTGTTAACTTTGTAACCATGAGCTGAAACACCAAGTTGCAAGACTGAACCCTGCTGAGGACTGCTGGTCATCTCATTTCCAAAGAAGGCTTTGTTGGCTTGGTAGGATTTCCCATTCAGGCCTTGCCACCATGAAAATGGATTACTGCAACCATTAATATGGCCTGTCAAGCATTTAATTCTGATTGCAGCTCAGCAGAAATGAACTGGCTTTGGTCAAGCTCCAGTTTCTAGTTGGCACTGACTTCAAGAAAAGCAGGTGGTCAAGTTCTTACTTCCTGATAATGGTCACCTATTGGACTTAAAAGACTTGTTCCTTTTCTGTGCCCTGGGAAGGCAAGTTTTGGTTCAGGAGGTCACATTGCTACAGACACCAAGGATTGACTAACCATAGGATTTAGAAAAGGGCCACTGGCCGGGTTTGGTGGCTCACGCCTGTAATCCCAGCACTTTGGGAGGCCGAGGCAGGTGGATCACCTGACGTCAGGAAATGGGAGACCAGCCTGACCAACATGGTGAAACCCCGTCTCTACTAAAAATACAAAAATTAGCCAGCGTGGTGGTCGGCACCTGTAATCCTAGCTACTTGGAAGGCTGAGGCAGGAGAATCACCTGAACCTGGGAGGCAGAGGTTGCTGTGAGCCGAGATTGCGCCACTGCACTCTAGCCTGGGCAACAGAGCAAGACTCCGTCTCAAAAAAAAAAAAAAAGAAAAAAAAGAAAGAAAGAAAAACCAAAACCACTGTGCTGTTGTTATGGACTCCCAGGTTTGGGTCTCGTTCTGGTCAGGCTGGAGTGCAGCGGTGCAATCATAGCTCACTGCAGCCTAGAACGCCTGGGCTCAAGTGATTCTCCCACCTCAGCCAACCAAGTAGCTAGGACTAAAGGTGTGTGCCACAACATCCAATTAATCTTATTATGTTTATTTTTTGTAGGGACGAGGTCTTGCCCAAGTTAGTCTCAAACTCCTGATCTCAAGTGATCTTCATACCTTAGCCTACCAAAGTATTGAGATTACAGGTGTAAGCTATCACACCTAGGCTATTTTAATATTAATCATTGCTCTTTCCTTTCTAAAAGAAAAAGCCATCCATATATTAATAATTATCCAGAGTACGTGACTCCCTAGTTTTGAGGGATCCAC